>NC_000007.14:116446172-116749203 GCF_000001405.40 Homo sapiens | reverse complement strand
ATGTTCACATCGATGTTCATCAGGGATATTGGCCTGAAATTTTCTTTTTTTGTGTTGTGTCTCTGTCTGGTTTTGGTATCAGGATGATGCTGGCCTCATAAAATGAGTTAGGGAGGAGTCCCTTGTTTTTCTATTGTTTGGAATAGTTTCAGAAGGAATGGTACCAGCTCCTCTTTGTACCTCTGGTAGAATTCGGCTGTGAATCCGTCTGGTCCTGGGCTTTTTTTGGTTGGTAGGCTGTTAATTACTGTCTCAATTGCAGAACTTGTTATTGGTCTATTCAGGGATTCAACTTCTTCCTAGTTTAGTCTTGGGAGGCTGTATGTGTCCAGGAATTTATCCATTTCTTCTAGATTTTCTAGTTATTTGCATGGAGATATTTATAGTATTCTCTGATGGTAGTTTGTATTTCTGTGGGATCAGTGGTGATATCCCCTTTATCATTTTGTACTGTGTCTATTTGATTCTTCTCTCTTTTCTTCTTGATGATTCTGGCTAGCAGTCTATCAATTTTGTTGATCTTTTCAAAAAACCAGCTCCTGGGGTTTTTCGTGTCTCTATGTCCTTCAGTTCTGCTCTGATCTTAGTTATTTCTTGTCTTCTGTTAGCTTTTGAATTTGTTTGCTCTTGCTTCTCTAGTTCTTTCAATTGTGATGTTAGGGGTTGATTTTAGGTCTTTCCCACTTTCTCCTGTGGGCATTTAGTGCTACAAATTTCCCTCTAAACACTGCTTTAGCTGTGTCCCAGAGATTCTGATATGTTGTGTCTTTGTCTTTGTTCTTATTGGTTTCAAAGAACTTATTTATTTCTGCCTTAATTTCATTATTTAACTTGAAAAATAACAAATGTACCAGTTGTTTACCGAGTAGTCAGTAGTCATTCAGGAGCAGGTTATTCAGTTTCCAGGTAGTTGTGTGGTTTTGAGTGAGCTTCTTTTTTGTTGTTGTTGTTTTTGTTTTTGACATGGAGTCTTGCTCTGTTGCCCAGGCTGGAGTGCAGTGGCGCCTTCGCGGCTCACTACAAGCTCCGCCTCCTGGGTTCACACCATTCTCCTGCCTCAGCCTCCCGAGTAGCTGGGACTACAGGCGCCCGCCACCATGCCCAGCTAATTTTTAGTATTTTTAGTGGAGATGGGGTTTCACCATGTTAGTCAGGATGTCTGGATCTCCTGACCTTGTGATCCGCCCGCCTCAGCCTCCCAAAGTGCTGGGATTACAGGCGTAAGCCACTGCACCCGGCCTTAAGTGAGTTTCTTAAACTCGAGTTCTAATTTGATTGTAGTGTCATCTGAGAGACTGTTTGTTTGCATTTGCTGAGGAGTGTTTTACTGCCAATTATGTGGCCAATTTTAGAATAAGTGCTATGTGGTGCTGAGAAGAATGTATATTCTACTGATTTGGAATGGAGAGTTCTGTAGATGTCTATTAGGTCTGCTTGGTCCAGAGCCGAGTTCAAGTCCTGGATACCCTTGTTAACTTTCTGTCTCCTTGATCTGTCTGATGTTGATAGTGGGGTGTTAAAGTCTCCTATTATTATTGTGTGGGAGTCTAAGTCTCCTTGTAGGTCTCTAAGGACTTGCTTTACGAATCTGGGTGTTCCTGTATTGGGAGCATATATATTTAGGATAGTTAGCTCTTCTGGTTGTGTTGATCCCTTTACCATTATGTAATGCCCTTCTTTGTCTTTTTTGATCTTTGTTGGTTTGAAGTCTGTTTTATCAGAGACTAGGATTGCAACCCCTGCTTTTTTTGCTTTCCATTTGCTTGGTAAATCTTCCTCCGCCCCTTTATTTTGAGCCTATGTGTGTCTTTGCACGTGAGATGGGTCTCCTGAATACAGCACACCAATGGGTCTTGACTCTTTATCCAATTTGCCAGTCTGTGTCTTTTAATTGGGGCATTTAGCCTATTTACATTTAAGGTTAATAGTGTTATGTGTGAATTTGATCCTAGCTGGTTATTTTGCCCATTGGTTGATGTAGTTTCTTCACAGTGTCAATGGTCTTTACAATTTGGTATGTTTCTGCAGTAGGTGGTACCGGTTTTTCCTTTCTATATTTTGTGCTTCCTTCAGGAGCTCTTGTAAGACAGGCCTGATGGTGACAAAATCTCTCAGCATTTGCTTGACTGTAAAGGATTTTATTTCTCCTTCACTTATGAAGCTTAGTTTGGCTGGATATGAAATTCTGGGAAGGAAATTATTTTCTTTAAGAATGTTGAATATTGGCCCCCACTGTCTTCTGGCTTGTAGGGTTTCTTTTTTTATATATATTTTTTATTATACTTTAAGTTCTAGGGTACATGTGCACAATGTGCGGGTTTGTTACATATGTATACATGTGCATGTTGGTGTGCTGCACCCATTAACTTGTCATTTACTTAGGTATATCTCCTAATGCTAACTCTCCCCCCTCCCCCGACCCCACAACAGGCCCCGGTGTGTGATATTCCCCTTCCTGTGTCCACGTGTTCTCATTGTTCAATTCCCACCTATGAGTGAGAACATGCGGTGTTTGGTTTTTTGTTCTTGCGATAGTTTGCTCAGAATGATGGTTTCCAGCTTCATCCATGTCCCTACAAAGGACATGAACTCATCCTTTTTTATGGCTGCATAGTATTCCATGGCATATATGTGCCACATTTTCTTAATCCAGTCTATCATTGTTGGACATTTGGGTTGGTTCCAAGTCTTTGCTATTCTGAATAGTGCTGCAATAAACATACATGTGCATGTGTCTTTACAGCAGCATGCTTTATAATCCTTTGGGTATATACCCAGTAATGGGACAGCTGGGTCAAATGGTATTTCTAGTTCTAGATCCCTAAGGAATCACCACACTGTCTTCCACAATGGTTGAACTAGTTTACAGTCCCATCAACAGTGTAAAAGTGTTCCTATTTCTCCACATCCTCTCCAGCACATATTGTTTCCTGACTTTTTAATGATTGCCATTCTAACTGGTGTGAGATGGTATCTCATTGCGGTTTTGATTTGCATTTCTCTGATGGCCAGTGATAATGAGCATTTTTTCATGTGTCTTTTGACTGCATAAATGTCTTCTTTTGAGAAGTGTCTGTTCATATCCTTTGCCTACTTGTTGATGGGGTTGTTAGATTTTTCTTGTAAATTGGTTTGAGTTCTTTGTAGATTCTGGATATTAGCCCTTTGTCAGATGAGTAGATTGCAAAAATTTTCTCCCATTCTGTAGGTTGCCTGTTCACTCTGATGGTAGTTTCTTTTGCTGTGCAGAAGCTCTTTAGTTTAATTAGATCCCATTTGTCAATTTTGGCTTTTGTTGCCATTGCTTTTGGTGTTTTAGACATGAAGTCCTTGCCCACGCCTATGTCCTGAATGGTATTGCCTAGGTTTTCTTCTAAGGTTTTTATAGTTTTAGGTCTAACATTTACATCTTTAATCCATCTTGAATAAATTTTTGTATAAGGTGTAAGGAAGGGATCCAGTTTCAGCTTTCTCCATATGGCTAGCCAGTTTTCCCAGCACCATTTGTTAAATAGAGAATCCTTTCCCCATACCTTGTTTTTGTCAGGTTTGTCAAAGATCAGATAGTTGTAGATGTGTGGTATTATTTCTGAGGGCTCTGTTCTGTTCCATTGATCTATATCTCTGTTTTGGTGCCAGTACCATGCTGTTTTGGTTACTGTAGCCTTGTAGTATAGTTTGAAGTCAGGTAGCATGATGCCTCCAGCTTTGTTCTTTTGGCTTAGTATTGACTTGACAATGCAGGCTCTTTTTTGGGTCCATATGAACGTTAAAGTAGTTTTTTCCAATTCTGTGAAGAAAGTCATTGGTAGCTTGATGGGGATGGCATTGAATCTATAAATTACCTTGGGCAGTATGGCCATTTTCATGATATTGATTCTTCCTATCCATGAGCATGGAATATTCTTCCATTTGTTTGTATCCTCTTTTATTTCCTTGAGCAGTGGTTTGTAGTTCTCCTTGAAGAGGTCCTTCACATCCCTTGTAAGTTGGATTCCTAGGTATTTTATTCTCTTTGAAGCAATTGTGAATGGGAGTTCACTCATGATTTGGCTCTCTGTTTGTCTGTTATTGGTGTATAAAAATGCTTGTGATTTTTGCACATTGAATTTGTATCCTGAGACTTTGCTAAAGTTGCTTATCAGCTTAAGGAGACTTTGGGCTGAGACGATGGAGTTTTCTAAATATACAATCATGTCATCTGCAAACAGGGACAATTTGACTTCCTCTTTTCCTAATTGAATACCCTTTATTTCTTTCTCCTGCCTGTTTGTCCTGGCCAGAAATTCCAACACTATGTTGAATAGGAGTGGTGAGAGAGGGCATCCCTGTCTTGTGTCTGTCTTGTAGGGTTTCTGCAGAGAGATCCACTGTTAGTCTGATGGGCTTCCCTTTGTGGGTAACCCGACTTTTCTCTCCGGCTGCCCTTAACATTTTTTCCTTCATTGCAACCTTGGTGAATCTGACTATTATGTGTCTTGGTGTTGCTCTTCTAGAGGAGTATCTTTGTGGTGTTCTCTGTATTTCCTGAATTTGAATGTTGGGCTGTCTTGCTAGGTTGGGGAAGTTCTCCTGGATAATATTCTGAAGAGTGTTTTCCAACTTGGTTCCATTCTCCCTGTAACTTTCAGGTACACCAATCAAATGTAGGTTTGGTCTTTTCACATAGTCGCATATTTCTTGGAGGTTTTGTTCATTCCTTTTCATTCTTTTTTCTCTAATCTTGTCTCCACACTTTATTTCATTAAGTTGATATTCAATCTCTGACATTCTTTCTTCCACTTGATTGATTTGGCTATTGATACTTGTGTATGCTTCATGAAGTTCTCATGCTGTGTTTTTCAGCTCCATCAGGTCATTTATGTTTTTCTCTAAACGGTTATTCTAGTTAGCAATTCCTCTAGCTTTTTTTTCAAGGTTCTTAGCTTCCTTGCATTGGGTTAGAACATGCTCCTTTAGCTTGGAGGAGTTTGTTATTACCCAAATTCTGAGGCCTGCTGCTGTCAATTTGTTAAACTCATTCTCTGTCCAATTCTGTTTCCTTGCTGGCAAGGAGTTGTGATCCTTTGGAGGAGAAGAGGTGTTCTGGTTTTTGGAATTTTCAGCCTTTCTGCGCTGGTTTTTCCTCATCTTCATGGATTTATCAACCTTTGGTCTTTGATGTTGGTGACCTTTGAATAGGGTTTTTGTGTGGACGTTCTTTTTGTTTATGTTAATGCTATTGCTTTCTGTTTGTTAGTTTTTCTTCTAACAGTCAGGCCTCACTGCTGCAGGTCTTCTGGAGTTTGCTGGAGGTCCACTCCAGACCCTGTTTGCCAGGGTATCACTAGCAGAGGCTGTAGAACAGCAAAGATTGCTGCCTATTCCTTCCTCTGGAAGCTTCATCCTAGAGGGGCACCCACCAGATGCCAGCCAGAGCTCTCCTGTGTGAGGTGTCTGTCGACCCCTGCTGGGAGGTGTCTCCCAGTCAGGAGGCACAGGGGTCAGGGGCCCACTTGAAGAGGCAATCTGTCCCTTAGCAGAGCTAGAGCACTGTGCTGGGGGATTTGCTGCTCTCTTCAGAGCCAGCAGGCAGGAATGTTTAAGTCTGCTGAAGCTGTACCCTTTACAGTGTGAGGGGAAAATAGCCTATTCAAGCCTCAGTAATGGTGGACACCCCTCCCTGCACCAAGCTCCAGCATCCCAGGTCAACTTCAGACTGCTGTGCTGGCAGTGAGAATTTGAAGCCAGTGCATCTTAGCTTGCTGGGTTCTGTAGGGGTGGGATCCACTGAGCTAGACCACTTGGCTCCCTGGCTTCAGCCCCCTTTCCAGGGGAGTGAATGGTTCTGTCTTGCTGGCATTCCAGGCACCACTGGGGTATGAAAAAAAACTCCTGCTCGGTGTCTGCCCAAATGGCCGCCCAGTTTTGTGCTTCAAACCCAGGGTCCTGGTGGTGTAGGCAAATGAGGGAATCTCCTGGTCTGTTAGTTGCCAAAACCATAGGGAAGTGTAGTATCTGGGCCGGAATGCATTGTTCCTCACAACACAGTCCCTCAAGGATTCCTTTTGCTAGGGGAGGGAGTTCCCCAATCCCTTGCCCTTCCCAGGTGAGGCAACATCCCACCTTGCTTCAGCTCAACCTCTGTGGGCTGCACCCACTGTCTAACCAGTCCCAATGAGATGAGCCGTGTACCTCTGTTGGACATGCAGAAATCACCTGCCTTCTGCACTGATCTTGCTGCGAGCTGCAGACCGGAGCTGTTCCTACTCGGCCATCTTAACACCCACCTCGAGTCTGTCTTATGTTTTGCAGGAAGAATGCTAACTGTCACAGTCTGGTGCAGCATGAAATCTTCCTAACAACTATGAACCTAGAGGGATTTATGGACTCAGCTGCCCTGCCTTCCTAACTGCAGCTTAAGCCTCACTGACTTGTGCATGGTAGCACGCAACCTTTGAGAATCATCAACTATAGAATGCTAGAGTTAAGAAGGGTGAGAGAGGAGGGACATTTAAATATTGCAAGAGATTCTCTGGTTCCAGAAAATTCTGAAATATTTACTTTATTTTTAAGCATTTTAGTATAGCTTTTATGCTTAGTAAAAGGAAGCACATTAGTAAAAATTAAATGTTTCATTTGTACAGGTTATCAAACCATTTTCTTTACTTAAAATACCAGCTTGGTTATTTTTGAAATGAAATTGTTGTGATTTAATTGCATGGGCACACACACATATATTTTCCATATCTATTTCATGGAATAGCAGAGTTCAGATTCCTAGTGTCTCAAATTGCTGAAGTTGTTTGTTTATAAAAGTATAAAATTGCATACGGTTCCAAAAGTATACTGAACAACAAAAAAGTACACAAATACTACAGTATAGATTTAAATTTGTTTTGTCACTGTCTTTAGTTTATTCTCTGGTCAATCAAGCTAAGTCTTAATAACTGTGTCACACCTAACAGAAAATAACTTGGTTTAAAACCCAGTCACCCACTACAAATCTTGCTCCAAACCGTAACTAAATGAAAACAGCCATGCACTTGGGGGTGGTTCTTGTTCTGACTCGCACATTTTGTTTACTTGGGCATGAACCAGGTGACCGAGACCTTTAACTTGAATCTTTCATAAGAACTATTTACTAAAGTCCAACTTTTCTACATGCACACAGAGAAAAATACACACTGGGTTCTCACCAGGGAAGTGTTTTTAAGCAAGATGTTTTGGACTAAGAAATTTTTAAAAATTGCGTGGAGATTTTCATAGTGCCGAATATATGCTTAAGCAAATAAGGCAACACAGTTAGCATGGCTGCGATGTTAGAGCCAATGTCCATTGCCAGAAACTGAGTTCTCTATCAGCAAGAGATGTGCTCATCTTGTTCTGGACTATATCTCCTCAGGGACTAGAGGGCAGCCTGCTAAATGGTATGCACTCAATAAATATTTTTGGAATGAATTAAAGAGTGGCATGGCTTACAGAAGTATAGATGTTAGTATAGTCATCCGTTGAGCCTTTGCTTTTTTTTCTGGGAACACTGAAGGAAGACTCACAGCCACCCATGGGTGTTGACCCTCCACTTGCCTTGCCCACCTCACCCCGGGAAATAATCTTCAGTCTCATCTGTGAACAGACAAGGCCACCATCTATGCATCGGACAGGAAGAAAACTGTCCTGTGTGCCCCAGCATGGCAGGGATCACCAGTTTGCAGGATTCAGCTCAGGGTTCCAGGATATGCCATGAACAGATCTGTTTCTGTGATGGAGGCTCATGTCTGGGCACTTGGCCTATATAGGAAGTGGCGAGGAATCAGAGAGTGGGTGAGTCAGGAGGGAACAGGCCCCAGTGTGAGAAAATGGGGAGCACTGTTGCTTATTCACCACCACTCTTTTATTCACACGGCACTAAAGGTGAGCAGCTGCCCAGCGATAGAACCTAGACAATGTGAAGCAAGCACTTCAGGTGCAGGACTTGGGGGGATGCCCAAACACCACCCCCTCCCTGCCCGAGGGATAAAGCCAAGAGAGAGATGGTGCTTTAGCTGATGACTCACAGCTAAATGAGTAAATTGATTTTTAAATTTTTTTCATTAGTGGGATTTGTATCTAAAAAAACAAAAAACAAACCAAACCAAACCAAAAAAAAAAAAAAAACACCAAACAAAAACATGTATGCCAGCTGTTAGAGATTCCTACCTTGTAGATTGCAGGCAGACAGATCTGTTGAGTCCATGTCCCGCTCAGGCATTCCTCCGATCGCACACATTTGTCGTGGCACCAGCCACACTGAACAAAGGGTGGGGCAGAGAGGCATTGACTGCAGGACTGGAAATGTCTGCAGCCCAAGCCATTCAATGGGATCTTCGTGATCTGTGAAGAGAAGGGGTGGAAAGAGCTTCCAGAGGGGTATCTAGTTTGTTAATTAATTATAAAGTAAGTACACAAAAGGTACATGTAAATATCATTTGATGGAATTTTCTAGACTTAGCAACTATGTGTGCAAATCCTGTCATAACGGTGATTAAAATTTTAAAAATCTGATTCCTTCCTTTCCTTTATTGTTAGCAGGTATGTGAAAAAGTAACATTATTGTCCAGTGAGCATAGCATTGCCACACAATGTTAGAGGTTCTACATAGTAGGGACATTGTGCCCTGTCTGAGATGATTTTAAAATAACAAGAGAGTATAATTTAAGTGGTGGGAAAACACACTTGAATCTCTGGAAAATTCTAAGTAAAGTTGCATGTCATTCTGGCATCAAGATGCACTTTCTTCTCTAGGAGAAAAGGGATTATTGGTTGGAGTCGGATTCCAATGTACATTTCCAGGATTTATCTGCCTGCACTAGAGCTCTGTCATTAGGACTGTAATTCTCATTCTGTGTGTTTATTTTTCTTGTTGAGAAATATAGGACAAAAGGAGAAGTTTTGAAAAAGACCTCCCTTAGGTCTAGTCTTTCTTGGAGAACAAATTAACTAGATTTCAGAAGATCTCTGGAATACTCACTAAAGAACTTAATGGAGGAGGGGTAAATTTAAGATGAAGAGAGACATTATAAAGGGCCAAGTGACACTGGTTGTAAATATGCATTTGGGAAAAACCACGTCTATGGAAATTCCCTGTGGGAACAGCTTACCTTCTTCCCAGTGATAACCAGTGTGTAGCCATTTTGGTTTAATGTATGCTCCACAATCACTTCTGGAGACACTGGATGGGAGTCCAGGAGAAAATTCACATGAGGGGTTGATGGTCCTGATCGAGAAACCACAACCTAAACAGCAAAAAAGTTATAACATCCTTATTCCAACAAGCTCAGTTTAAATATAAGTGGAAAATGTAGATGATAATGGTAATAACAGATTAGCAGGGCTTGTGGGTGTTTGAACTGAAGACCCAACAGTTCCCCTCATTGTAAATCAATATGTCATCTTCTAATCTCTTGCCTTGAAGCCAAATTATCTGAACCCCCAAGACAGACTTTGCCTATGATCTTTTAATGGTTTCAAGGGAAAGAGATCTTTCAATCAATTGGCAGCACATACAGACAAATCCCTGCAATTGTATTGGAAAATGGAGGAACCAAAACTCTCTCCAGAAAGAAGACACCACACATGCTACAATGAATCTGGATTATTTTTTAAATATATCCTCTTAATCCTCCCTGCCAGGCAGTTTCCCTTGATGTAATGGTTAAGAGTAGTGGACGCGGAGTCTGGAATACTGGAGCTAGTTCCAGCTGTGCTACTCTTAAGCCACATTTATAGATCTTTTCAGGTCAAAACAGGCCCCCAGCTACTTTGAAATGATGTGTTGTATTTTTTTATAAACCACTGTCCCACAATATATTATTACTTGGATTATAAAACTCTGCTTCTTGGTCTGGCTTTAAAATAAGGCCTGATGGTTTTAACAATGCCCGGGAAATGAGGTTTGATGATTGATGTCATTTTTGCTTTCAGGTTTTTAAAATTTGGGATGTTTCCCAGCTATCTAATTTCCATCTGTCCTGTTCCTAGAACCCAGTAATAATAAAGTTCAGAGCATAATTGACAACAATTGGGATAAAATCCAAATGATTATCTTACATGAACACTTAGATTTTTAGGAGGGTGTTGGAGTTCTCAGAGAAACTTTCACTCTTAAGTAGGCCACTGGGTTGCATATACATGAAGGTGGAGGAGGCTCAGCACAGCCCTAGACTTGAAATCTACTTTGTGAAATTGCCCAACATCTCTAATAGCCTTTTACATTGCATTGAACATGCATTTACTCGCGATGGGTATGAAATCACAGGACAAACATGGACATCTGTGAGATTACGATTACATAGTCACTCCCTCTACCTCAGCTTTCTCATTCGTATAATGGGAATGAAAATTACAGCAATAATTAACTGCTTTGTACTCTAACAAACACATACAACATATAAATGTTCTGGGGAACAATTGTAAATTTTTTCTTCAGCATAACAAAGGAGCCAAGTATCCTGAAGCAATTTGGGAAGATTCTCAAAGTACCTAATTTGTTCTCAGAGAGTGGATTGTTGATAGAGAAACTAACCAAGCTCACATACAGCTGTAAAAGTTAAACATCATGACATTTGTGCTCTAATGTTTGTTCTACTCTAAACACTCAACGCTTTCAAAACATCTCCATTAAAAAGGGTGGTTATATTTGCACAGAAGTTAAGTGATGGATGAAGGGTCACTTGGTCAGGATGGGAAAGGTTGGAAACTATTGTTATTTCCTAAAGTTAGGGCCCAATAGGTATTGGTGACCTTTGCAGGCAAAGTGAACAGAAATTCAATTACCAGTCCCACCTCCCTTTGGGTACTGGTTACAAGCAGAATATCAGATGTTAGACTTCTAAAGCTTCTATTACAAATTCTCCAGATTTTGGTTACCCAATTTTGCAATCTTAACTCCCTTCTGGGCTCATCACATCTCATTTTTCCTATACTCCTGCCCAATACCCCCCATATTTCTTTGGCTGTTGCCAATCACTTCAAACTGCAAAGGTAAAACAAAAAACAAAACAAAAACAAAAACACAAAAGCAAAAAAACTCCTTTTCTCACACACAGGTCAAAAGCAACACAGAACACCAGTCTGTCTTAATACCCTGACTTTGTTTTCCAGCTCATTCTATGCTTTGCACTTCACTGAAGATTATTCATCACTATGAACCTTGCAATGGACACCTGCATTTTGTGTCTGTCTCCCTGGTTTCCTCCGTTCTACTTAGACCGGCTACATAACAATCACCTCCTAGAGCCCTTTTTTTCTCCTACCTTCTTGCTCTTTTTAATACCATTTCCCAAATCTATAATAAGCAATCCCTTCTTAATTACTAGGTCATCATCTTTGACTTTATGAAATATCTGAAGCCCATCCAAATAGTCCTTTCCCAGAAAGAATTAACCTTTCTCTTTCTTTTCGGAAGCTCTTTGCACCTCTGGACTTGGATTGATTGATATGTGTATCCTCTGTTAAAAAGCTTTGTCTGAAAAGCACCAAATGTTTGTACTTTCATAACAGGAAACTGAGTCACATATTGTGCCAAGTGCTTTAAATGGAGATTTTATTTACTCCTCACAATACTCCTATAAGGTAGGTACTATTATTTTCCTTAAAAAAAATACAACATAGAATTTCAGCTAGAAAGTACATGAGTCAGATTTCCACAGAGCTTTATCTGAGGCCAGAATCCATGTGCTTGACCTCTTAAACACTCAACTGCTAGGCTCTTGGAGCACCAGAGTAAATACCATTGAAAAAGCTTCAACTCTGAGCTCCCAAGAGCCACTCGTGAGTAAAAGTACTAAAACAAATTTCACAATATATTTGCCTCGCCAGTTACTCCGTGTTTCAGTAATTTTTGCTGCACAAGTTAAGTGTGCCTAAGGAGAAAGTCTCTGCATCTAACTAGTTTTTGAGGGCATAGAGAAAATGTTACTAGCACACTCCGCCAAGCTCTACTTTTGATCACGAGTTAGCATGAGTGTTGCTTGCTATAGAAAATGGGATGAAGATGAGAAGACAGGAAGGCACATGGAGAAGTGAGGTGACTTGGAAGTGAGAATGCCATTTGGAATTTTGCGCAGAGGCTGTACCACAGATGCAAATGCCTTTTTAGTTGATCATTAGCCCGTTCTCTGCAGGGATACCTACTGCTATAAATGTTTTTCTACCCTTAATTCTTTTCTTTCTCTTATTGCTAGGATTCTAAATAATCGATTAACCACTTTAACTCTCAAAATACCCCTGAAGTAATGTGTGCCAGAAATTAGGAGTTCCTTTTGGTTGTCATGGAGATATTTCTAGGAACAGAACTAAATTTGCCATGTAAATGTAATTCTTATGATAAATAACCTGGGAATCTTAGAAGAATTCGCATAAAATAGAAGACCAACAATTATCTTTGAGTTCCTACTATTCAACAACTAATCTTTAGTAATTAGGTCACAGGATATTTTTTCTTTAATGGCCTTGAAAATACAGGACTAATACATTTGGGGCAGGGCAGAATCTGAATTTACCAAATGGTTGTGGTTTTGATCTCACATAGCCCCTTGTAGATAGGACATGGGGAAGAAATACATGTACAAATAAAACTGTTGTGGCTAGGCCCCCAAATCTGTAAACCTGAACAAAGTAACTTTGTGTGAGATATCCACAAATATGTAAAGGCCATATCTCCTTACCTCCCATATACAGTTTTATCTTTAATTAAACCGTTTTATTAATAGAATTAAATTTTAAGAATGATGAATACAATTTAAGATAAGATGTTTGTATGCAGTTTCTGTATACCTCCCCCATTGTTTTTAAAGTGGACAATTGAACGGTTTTAATTTTTTTTTTTTTTGAGACAGGGTTGTAGAATGCTTTCATTATCTCAAAAAGAAGCCCCACATCCCTTAGCTGTCATTCCCAGTCTCCCCATATCCTCTTAGCCCTTGACTACCACTAATCTACTTTCTATCTCTATAGGTTTTCCTATTCTAGATATTTCATATAAATGGAATCCTTGATTTTTAGTTATGGACATAACTGAAATTATTATTTATAAAAAGTTCTTTCTTACACAAAAGAAATTTCAGAACCCTTGAGTGTATTTTCCTCTAAAGAAATATACCAAATCTTGTGGGCACGGTGACTCATACCTGTAATCCCAGCACTTTGGGAGGCCAAGGCGGGCAGATCACTTGAGGCCAGGATTTCTAGACCAGCCTGGCCAACATGGCGAAAAACCCGTCTCTACTAAAAGTACAAAAATTAGCTGGGCATGGTGGTACGTGCCTGTAATCCCAGCTACTCAGGAGGCTAAGGCACAAGAATTGCTTGAATACTGGAGGTGGGGGTTACAGTGAGCCAAGATTGCACCACTGCACTCCAGCCTGGGCAACAGAGCGAGACACTGTGAAAAAAAAAAAAAAAAAGCCAAAGCTAACATTCTTTAGGGTTAAAACTAAGTTAATGATGTACACACACAAAAAGGCAGATAATATTTTTATCTGATTATTTTATAAAAGAGATGGGTAAGTTAGAAATCCCTAAAGAGAATCATTGTTCAAGTTGAAGCTTCCTTCAGCTGTGTCTCTGCCAGATGTTCACAACATTGACGAATTGGGGATCTGCATCTACATACTCTAAAATGGCAGTAATTCCAAACATGATGCATACTACAGGCTTCTCACAGAAAGCACTGACATGCCACGATGGGGGCACGGGAACTGAAGGAATTTGAAGACAGGAGGTCAACAGATAAACAAATTTTTCTTATTGGAAGTGAGTAATTATTCTTAGGTTCACTGATTACTAACACAGTCCTTTAAGTAGTGGTCATAAGTAATGATCTTGAACATGGGACATCTTTTTAGGTGATCTCTACCTCCTTGGGTTTCTTACTTAAGATCCAACTAGTCCAGTTAAGAGGCAGAAGAGAACAGGAGTGATGAGTGGGTGGTAACAACATTTAGGAACTTGGAGAGGCGAAAGGGGCATGCGGGAAGAGCTAGGATGGAACCACGGAGCCCAGTAGCAGCAGTGACAGTGCCCAGGCTGTGGCCATTGGGAGCAGGCACAGTGTAGTGCACATAGTAGTTGCCCAGTGAGTATTTGTGGAGCTGAACTTGAAACAATTCTTGAAAGGGCCTCCCCACCCCCTCTCGCATCCCTGATCCACTCACTCTCCCTGGCCTGACAGTCATGCACAAATATTTTAATAGCAATGCTTTGCATTTAGAGATTAAAAGCCTTATACAAGTGCTGTTAAAAAAAATCAAGGAAGCATTGTTCTGGATGTAGATTAGACGAGGCGCTCAGAAGGGAGACGTGGACAATCCCTGTGATTAGTCCTGTGATCTTCATGAGAATCCCTCTTCCCTCTCCCACGTAGCTGTGTACACTGTGTTAATGTTCCCAAGTCTGACTCTGTTCTACATCTCCTTCCCCAGTCTGTAAGAAGGCACGTTCTCATTGTTCACTTACACTATCTCAAACATTGCTTATCCTACTATTTTACTTCGAAGTATCCCAAGAGAGTGATCATGCAAATAAAAATTATTTTTAAATCTTCATCTACATTGACATGGCTCTGCAGATATTGAGACTTAAATATATGTATGCATCAGTATTTTCAGATATAGCTGCACCTGTACAAGATAAGTTACACATCATTAAATGTTAGGAACATGTCAAAAATGTCTTCCCTGCCATACACAAAATGTTGTTAGCTAAACAATATAATTCTTTCTAATCAAATGACCACTGTGAAATACCTGATTCACTTTGCACCCAACAGCTGGGGCTGTAGCTTGTGTTCCCAGCCAGAGCTGAACATAAGCACAATAGGAAAGACAGAAACAGCTGCAAACTCTTGGGAGAAAAAAATTTGCAAAGCAACTTTGCCATTAGGCTTCAGGGTAGGAAGGAAGTAAAATCATCTTTCTGTTCCCTTTTGTGTAGGGCAGCTGTCTTTGGGGGGAAAAAAAATGTCCATTCTATTTTGTAACAGAAACTTCATCGTATTTACTAAAACACGAGTTGTAGAAACTCAGGCCTAGCCATACATTTAACACTGTGGTGCAGTCAAAACATTTACAGAACTTTGTAGGAAGTCACTGCTCTGACAGATTAAAGTGGGAGGTTGCCATATCTGTGCTCCACTCCTGACTCCTCCCGCACTATTATTTACTGTAAATATATGGACTTCAGTGATGTTGATTGTTTGATCCTTCAAATGCTTTAGGTTTCTTTATAAAATTTAATGGAATGAAATTCTCTTAGGCAAGCGTCAGAGAAATAGATTCTCTGTGGTTTCGAATAGCCCTTTGTCTGTAGGTACTATTATTATCAGGTATCTTTCCTACTAAAATTTAATTTCTTAAAGGTAAGTTCTGTGTCACTGTTTCCTTTGCTTCATTCGTTTGTATAGTAAAGCAAAGTTAGGTAGTTCTTGATACTTATTTGATAAATTAAAAGCCACTTTTAAAAAAAATCAGTGATACCAGTACTTTTCATAAAATAAGCATTTTTTTTACCTTTTGTTTTGGATGCATAGTTAATAGGCAAAATATAGTTTCTTTTACACAAAGGCTAGGAGACAAGAATAAAACATTTGCTACAGCGTTTCTATAATGAGACTGATGCGTGACATATCCCTCAGGCGATTGACTCTGTCACACAGCAGAATTTACTCAGTTAATAAAGCAACATATTTAAATAAGGAATTGTATTACAACTTTAGAATGTGGAAATAGGCCAGGGAACTTTTGATGTTAAAAAAAGTCGGAGCTAAAGTAATCATAAAAAGCTTATTCATACAAAACTGGATTGGTGAGGTAATGGACGATTTTGAAAAAAAAAAAAGCAGAAATAAAGATAAAAGGGGGCAAATCAACATAATGAACACATTAGGAAATCAATAGATGCCAGCTTTTCTAGTCCTTCTTTGTATTTTTGCAATTGTATAGAATGCCATTGATGTAAATTAAAAACATGTATAAACACAGAACAATACTACACATTTTACACATAATAGATATGAGCATATTTCAAATCCATTAGAGTGCATGTCTCTGTGGGAGGGGCGGGGCTTCCCTCCTTCAGGTTTGAGAAGTTAAGGATAGAATTAAATGGTCAAGATGGATGAGTTGGATAAACAAGCACAGTGGAATGGACAGAGGAAAGGGGGAGAAAAGGCGTAGTTCAATGTGAAGCAATAGAAGGGAGATTACTAGGGGAATAATTAGATAACAGGACCTGTATGATTAGTTTTGAGCTAGGAAGGTTTTATTTACATGGTTTTTGACCTTGAAAAAATTCCACCATGCCCTTTAGTACAAGAAAAACATAACTTACAGGTTTTAAAATATGGCAATGATCAATATCCAGGCTGCTATAAAGAGAGTGGTAATTAAAAAAATGTTTTGTAGAAGAATACACATATAGGATGTATAGACAGGCAAGTTATAGGAAAAGCTTATCATTCTCAGTTGGTTTACTAGAGGTTATTGTCTGATGAGGGTACTAACTACATCAGACAATTACGAAATCTCCCTTTAAAAGAAATTTCTAGTATTCACAGAAGTTCAAGATTTCCATAGATGCTATTGTCATTCTTTCCTCATCAAGAATCTACTAACAACTCATGTTAAAGGCACCAATAACTACAAAACAGCAAAAACCAACCCAACAAGAGAGTCTTTTAATTTCTGCAAAGTGCTATGGTTCTTGTATCTAGGAAACACAGTAAGTTGAAATGGAAACTTTTGTTGTACAGAAATACTGTTGCTATCCATTAAAACCATTTCTTAATAAAATCTGGATTTTTTTTGTATCTGAACTTATTTGCATCCAACCCTACCATTTTACAGAATCAGGAGAGCTTGAGTTACAATGGGATTTTGATGATAATGTTGTCCCTTCCTAACTCCTGCCAATATTTCTCAATGATGTGAATGTTTCTTCTCATGAAGATGCATGGTTCACACAATAGCTCTCCTTTGATCTGTAGCTTCCCTTGAAATAAAAAAAAATTGCCTAGAAGTGCTTTGTTTCATTTTATTTTCCAATCACGTGACAGAAATTATAAATGGAAAAAAAATGCCACACCATTCTGGACGAGAAAATTAAAGCAAACAGATTCAAACTGAAAGCTTCAAGAACTTAATAAAAAGAGACCACACATTTAACAGAAAGTAGACCAGGCTTCATTGTTTGGCTTTCAGTCTGTGTTCCAGTTTCTACTATGATTTGGACTTTACAGTATTTGCAAATACCTTACTGCAAAAACGAAAACAAATTAATTGCACAATACCAGATAGAACAGACACAGCTACTCTCAGAAAGCACTTACCTGCATGAAGCGACCCTCTGATGTCCCAAGATTAGCTATGGTGAGGTCTCCTTTAATGAAGGTGGATATAGATGTTAAGAGGACTTCGCTGAATTGACCCATGAATAAGTCAACGCGCTGCAAAGCTGTGGTAAACTCTGTTCGATATTCATCACGGCGCGCTTCACAGCCTGATGAATTTCTCAGAAGTGTCTGGAATAAAATATGGTCATAGAGTTAATGTGAATCCAGACATGAACAAGCTGGTAAGAAACCTTTCAGTGTGTATTTTCAGAGCCTGGAGGATAATGGCAAGGATAATCATGCAAATAGACAAATAGCCACAGATAGGCATAAATATTTCTAGGGACTGAATGGCTCCAATTTCACTAGGCATTATTTATAGACTCTAAAACCTTACTATCGCAATTCACACCATGGTTCAATATGTGCACGCCTAAAAATGGAACTTAGCTGCTGCTATTATAAGAAAAACAAAACTTTTAAATGTCTCAGCCCTTGACACAAAGGTAATGCTTCTAGCAGGCAAGTCTGATGAGATGAATTTCAACTGGAATAATAATAAATGTTAGAGGCATGTTCTGACATTATATTTTTAAATGTGTGCCTTTGTGCATTCTTGTGCAGAGAGATGGTAGGGAGTGGTGGTTAACGGATAACTCACTGGGAGGCCACAGAGCACTGACCCAAGTGCTGGCATCAAATCCTGGCCCCTAATGCTTACTTGCTTTATGTAATAATCTTTCTGTATTCAGAAAATCATGTAATTTCTGTGTTTTATTCCCCCTAATCTGTAAAGTAGAGAGAACTAAAAAAATAGTACTTACCTTATAGAGCTTGTGTAACTATTAAACAAGCTAGTTTATATAAATCTCTCACAATAGAACCCAGCATGAGTGTTATATTTCTTTTAGAATTTGTCTAGCAGGTTTTCTGGAAGACCTCCCACGCAATAAAAACAAAACAAACAAACAAAGAGCCCAGCACTTGTAGATAACATCACTCAAGTATCTCCATTCACATGTCTCAGAGACCTCAGATTCAACAACATGCCCATCCTAGAAACCACAATCTTCCTCCTGCCTGACCTTAGGACACTACACACCTCAGTGAATGGCTCTACCATTCCTCCAGGTGCACAAGTCAGAAATCTAAGTGTCATCTCCAATTCCTCCCTCTCCCTCCGCCCCCATATACAGTCCATCACCAATTCCCAACAATTTCATTTCTAAATGCCTCCTAGACCCATCCAGTCTTCTCCTTCATGCCCTTCCTCCCAATTTTCATCCTAGCCACCTCATTCCTTCCTGGACTACTGCGGCGGCTTCTTAACTAGACCCACCACATCCACTGTTACCCTTGCCAGGTGATCTGTTCTTCACACTGCAGCAGGATTTTCTTTTTCAAACACAAATCTGACCATATCCCTCTCTATTTAAAACACTCAATGCTTCCCCATTGCTGTTAGGATAAAGAACAACATTTTTTTAACATGGACTGTATGGCTCCCTTCCCATCATCCGGCCCCTGCCCAACTTCTCCAGATCTGTGTTCTTAGTGCTCCAGCGAGCAGGCCTTCTTTCAGCGCTCCAAATATGTCACGTGTTCTCCCATTAAGGGCCTCTGCAGATGCTATTTCCCGGCTTGAAATGCTCCTTCCACCTTCATTCACCTTGTTAACTCCTACATCTCCTTCAGATCTTAGCTTATCACCATTTCTTCAGGAGGCCTGCCCTGACCCCACTATCTAAGTCAAATGCTTCTAGTGTAGATTCTCATAATATCATTTACCTGTGTACCCATAGCATAGCTGTAACATAGTTACAAGCTGCAACATAACATTTGCTTGCGTGATTTATAAGATAATGTGAAACTTCTCCCAAGCAGCTCGCTGCGATCAGGGACCCTACTCGTTCACCATGGTATTGCCAGTAGTTGATTAACTATCATGCATAGTAGATGTTTAGTAAATATTAATTGAATGAATGAACAAGTGAATCAATTATAAGTAGATGGGGGATGAGTATGGAGATATAAAACTATATTATTAAAGCTTTTTGTTTTTCCAGAAATTGGGGAAGTTAAAAGAGTTTATAAGGGACAAATGGGAGTATTTGGTTCTTGACTGTCCTAAGGAGATAGCTGGGAATTGGTAAATCTGGGGTAGACGATGGGGACGGGAGAAAGTATTAAGGAAAATGATGTATACCTTGGAAGAAAAGGAGAGCAAATTTCATTACATCTTTGTATGTAACTATAAGTGTAGGAAAATGATTAGGAAGTAAGAAATTCTCTATTATCATCCCATATGATAATAATCACAAAATGATCAAAGTATATTTCAAATCATTTTATTGTTTAAGAACAAACAAATAAAAGTTTAGTTATCCTTCTGTATAGCGACCTTATTCCTTAAGGTCAAATGTCTGCCACATGCAATCCAGAGTTTTTACATCTACTGACTTTTATGATTAAAAACCACCTAAAATGCTCTATTTTATATATCAACAACGATTTCTTCATTTTCAGTGGCAATAAATTAGCAAATAGAAACTTAGAGATGCTAAACCCACTGACTCTTGTAATTAATACTAATGTTTTAGGTCTAGTCATTTACTTTGATATATTAGCAAGTGCTATTTCCCTGTTTAATTAGAAGTATTTCTTCACTAAAGTACTATGGATTACTCTGAGGAGTAGCAGATAACTGAGATGTACCAGCAATTCGATAGCAACCGATTAATTGATAATTAAGTTTCTATTGGTGATCAATCATCCATTTTGCAGAGATAGCCAGAGCTAAGGGAATCTGCTTAAAGGAGCAAAGACCAATTTTAAATCTAAGGCCATTTGAAATATTCCATTATAGAGGTGGCAGCTCTTCAGGCTCAGGTTTTTGTGGTTGTCTTGTTTCTTCTTTTGTTAGTGTTTCTTCATCTCTAAGTCTAGGTGACATCCTGGGAACTTTAAAGCCTCAAACTTGACCTGGTGTGTGGTGCTGCCAGAGACATAATGGATTCACTGGGATATAAAAACAATCTGGTGGGTGTGAATGAGAGTCTTTGACCACAAACTACCTGCCTTCTATCAACAAGAGGACAGGAATTGTCTTATCATCTTTTATCCCCAGGACCCTGTATTATGCCTAGCACCCAGTAGGCATTTAATGACAGCCTGCTGAAAAATTAGTGCATCTGCAAAGTCACCAGAGATAAAGCCCATTTGCCTACTCAGTTTGCTTTGTGGTTGGTCTTGCTGAATCAGGCCAGCAGAAGAATGAAGAGGAGATGAAACTAAGGGTCTCCTCAGAGAATCTGCAAGCAGGAACTCACTGATCTTTTGTAAATGGAGGGAGAGCAATACAACCAGAACTTTAGCCTCTGTGCACCTGTTTGCACACATGTAAGGCGTAAATGTAGAACTCTGTATTAGAGTTAATGCAATATTTATATTGCACACTTCAAGTCTTCTCCTTCAGGACAGGAATTAGTGAGATCTCTAAATAGTATCTCCTCAAGAACTAATAGGATTAAATTATGTCTCTATTGCCCCCCCCATCAAATAAAATTTGTAAATATAGAGACATTGCACAATGTTGGAATAGGATCTGCAGAACTTCTTGATCTTGTGTGATTTAGAGCTAAAAAATAAATATGTCAGGTTCAAGTGGCATTCAAATTTCATAAGCCAGGAGACTCTAACCTTTTTCTTTTTCATTTTCTCCATAGCTGAGATCTGCAGAAGAGGTGTTGAGGCACTAGCCTCTAGGAAAAACTAACACTCCAGCATTTGCTGCAGCAGAGGTGCTCCTTGTGTCTTCCTATGGAGAATCCTGATAAACTCAATGATTGGGATCAAGGCATCAGGGACTGGCTTACAGAGCTGCACCCTGTCTTTGAGCCCTAACAGTAGGACTTCAACTAACAGGGAAACCTTGGATTAAGCTTTCAGTATCTCAGATGTAAAGCATTGTGCAAATATGACTAAATCTCAGTCTGATTCATTATGTCCCTCAAAGATAATCAGCAAATATGTTTGCTGCTCATTTGTGTGGAAAAGACGGGGTTGCTTTATCTCAGCACTGTAGACACAGTGCCTGGATGTGGCATTTAAGGTGGGGCTGGGGCCTAGCTGGAAGAACAACTACACATTTGCTGTCAGGGGTCCCCTTGCTACCTGTGCTTCCCTCAAAGCCAGGAGTTATCGTGTCTTAGGGTAAAACTGAGCATTGCTGGCAGAAAGCAGTTCTCTGGGACAGTAGCTGCTTTGGGGAACTGCAGAAGAGTCTAAAGAGCAGGTTTCACACCAGCACCCGCAGGGAACCAGCCTGACTCTCTCCTATGGTAACAAAGGGAGGAAAAAGGAAGGAAGGAAGGAAGGGAGGGAGGAAATCAAACTTTTTCCTGCACCCAGAATGTGCCAGGCACTGAGGTGGGTATTTTCATGTATAATAAGACCCACAGCAGCCCTGTGAGGTTTTATCACACTCCTCAGGAGGAGACTCAGTGAGCCGAGGGCTCAGTCACAGTGCCCAGTTCCCATTGGAGCAGGCATCAGAGAACAGCTCTCTCTTATGTTCAAACTCCTGAATTTCTTTTGCTTCTGCTTACTATTCTGGGCAACGTTCTGAGGATTGCACAATTACAAAAATGGAAAGGGCTTTCGAGATCATCTCATTTAAGTCCCTGACTTTAAGGCTGAAATTAATCTTTATTTTCTGGAAACAGCAGAGATAACCACTCGCATTCTGTACTAATCAGCTTGGCTCTCAAACCTAGCTCTCCTTGCTACCTATTTTGGTTATGAACATACCATGCTTGCATTTAGGTAACTCTG
The DNA here is from genome assembly GCF_000001405.40 of Homo sapiens. Taxonomy (NCBI): domain Eukaryota; kingdom Metazoa; phylum Chordata; class Mammalia; order Primates; family Hominidae; genus Homo; species Homo sapiens. The sequence continues at coordinate 116,727,023 of NC_000007.14, read as the reverse complement.
AAATTTCAGTCATCACCACCTTCTCTTTCTCTGGCATTTCCTATATCTAACCAGTCACTCAGTCCTGCTCAGCCTGGTCCACAGTGGTGCTTCTGGGCAGCCCTTCCAGCCACACCTGTACCCCTGGCCCAGCCTAAGTGCTTCCTCACTGGCCTTCTGGTCTCCTATCTCTTCTGCCTTGAAGCAGTCTCAAGCTGTCATTCCCTTCTTCAAAGCTTCAGTTGCTTCCCAAAGGCCTGCAGGAAAAGTCTAAGCTCCTTAGTATAGCTTTCACATCTGCCTTATCTTTTTATCCTTTTCTCCCTTAAGGTGTAAGGCAAGGTGACAATCTAGGACATCCAATGAATCTCAGAGTGGTTATCCCGAGTCAAGACCCTCCCATTTCTTGGGTCCTTGCACTGCTCTGGCAGCTGTGCTCCACTTTCCACAGTCACTGACACCCATTCCTTGCTCAGGTGAACCTGAGGTGAACCAGCTCTTTTCTAAAATCTCTCTTTACGAGTTCATTTGAATGACAGAGGTAATGTGCTTTATTGGCTGGGAAAGGGAAATAGTGACAAAGAATAAGGTGGACACTATAAGGCTGCAGGAAGATACCGTATAGCTTGAGATCTCTGAGTCAAGAAGGAAACCCCATGCATCCAATAAAGAATATTTTCTGGGCACACACCTGTGTAGCGCAACTACAGGCAAAGGAAAGACAAACACATGACTTACAATTGTTGTTTACCCACTTTTCCAGGAGGGGGAGGAATATTGCTAGGATGGGATATTCAGGGGACTTCAAAGGTAATATTCCCTTTTTGAGCCTGGTGGTAGAGATATGAGTATTTGTTTTATATCCCATATATATATATATATATATATATATATATATATACATATATATAGTCATGTGCTGCATAATGACATTTCAATCAGTGATAGACTGAATATATTATGGTGGTCCCATAAGATTCTATCTTATTGTTTTAGTTTCTTTTTTGAGAGACAGGGTATCCCCCTGTCACCCATGCTGGAGTGCAGTGATGTGTTCGTAGCTCACTGTAACCTCAAACTCCAGGGCTCAAGCAATTCTCCCACCTTAGCCTCCCAAAGTGCTGGGATTACAGGCATGAATTACCACACCCCGCTAATAATATCATATTTGTACTGTGCCTTTTCTAGTCTATAAATATATATACTAGTACATCTATAGATATATTTATACATTTGTATCTATAAATATATACTAGTATATTTAAAGATATATTTGTATACTTATAAAGACATATTTATATCTTTAGATATATTTAGATACACAAATACTTACCATTGTGTTACAATTGCCTACAGTATTCAGCAGAGTAACATGCTGTACAGGTTTGTTGCCTAGGAGCAAAAGGTCATACCATACAGCCTAGGTGTGTAGTAGGCTATATCACCTAGGTTAGTATAAGTACACTCTATGATGTTTGTACAATGACAAAATTGCCTATTCATGCATTTCTCAGAATGCAAGCAATGCAGGACCGTACATAATTCTTTTGTGTGTGTGTATATATATATATATATATATGTATATCATAAGAAAAATAAATTTTAAAACAATGAATAAATGGAAAATGAGGATATGGAGAAAACCTATTAAGAATTTTCCCCACCCCAACTTCTTGATGTCCTAAACAGTTTTGAAACATTCTCATGGCTTTGCTGAACTCACAATTATAATGTTACATAACATTTGCAGAGTAGATTATGGTTTTCAAAGTACATTATCTCATTTGCTCCTCTGAACAAGTCTGTGACTTGGGTTTGTTATGATCATTATAATTTTACAGATGAAGAAACTAAGATTCAGAGAGTTGAGTCAATAAATATTAGCATTTGAATCCTAATTGTTGATTTTGAATCCTATATTCCTTACATTACATCATACTTCTTACGTACAGGCATAGGAAGGCCAACCCACACTCTAGGGATGCCTAAGAGCCTTGTCTAAAAGAAGAATGAGCATGCCCATGGGCCAAGGCTGGTTCTACCCCAGGGAGGCATTGATGAGTTGCATGACCTTAGCATTTGTTCCTAGTGTTTACAATGTGTTAGACACAGTTCTAAGCATTTTACAAATATTAATTCATGGAATCTCAGAACAAGAAGCCTAGAAGGAAACTGAGGCACTGAGTGTTCACATTACCTTCAGTGCAGGGCTAGGACTAAGCCTAGGCTCTCTGGCTCCAGGGTCTTCACCTCCAATCTAGCACATTTTCTGCCTGTAAAGGGAGAGGTTGAGCGAATTGATTTCGAAATTCTCTTCCAGCTCTACCGGGTGGCTTCCAAAAGCTTCCCTTGCTGATTTTTTTTCCGATTCCAAGGAGTAAAAAAAACTGTTATCAGTCTGCTGTCAGAACAAATCATTGCTTGGGATGTTTAGGTGACCAAATGAGTAAACAATCATGGTCCTCCAACCACTACAGGCTGCTCAAAAATCTAGATAGATTCTGGATTTTATAGGAAATTTTTAAAAAGTATTGAGCCTTTTAAGGCTTATCCACGGAGCCAAGATGGCCGAATAGGAACAGCTCCGGTCTACAGCTCCCAGCGTGAGCGACGCAGAAGACGGGTGATTTCTGCATTTCCATCTGAGGTACTGGGTTCATCTCACTAGGGAGTGCCAGACAGTGGGCGCAGGTCAGTGGGTGCGTGCACCGTGCGCGAGCCGAAGCAGGGCGAGGCATTGCCTCACTTGGGAAGCACAAGGGGTCAGGGATCAAAGAAAGGGGTGACAGACGCACCTGGAAAATCGGGTCACTCCCACCCGAATATTGCGCTTTTCGGACCGGCTTAAAAAACGGCGCACCACGAGATTATATCCCTCACCTGGCTCGGAGGGTCCTACGCCCACGGAGTCCCGCTGATTGCTAGCACAGCAGTCTGAGATCAAACCGCAAGGCGGCAGCGAGGCTGGGGGAGGGGCACCCGCCATTGCCCAGGCTTGCTTAGGTAAACAAAGCAGCCTGGAAGCTAGAACTGGGTGGAGCCCACCAGAGCTCAAGGAGGCCTGCCTGCCTCTGTAGGCTCCACCTCTCGGGGCAGGGCACAGACAAACAAAAAGACAGCAGTAACCTCTGCAGACTTAAATGTCCCTGTCTGACAGCTTTGAAGAGAGCAGTGGTTCTCCCAGCATGCAGCTGGAGATCTGAGAATGGGCAGACTGCCTCCTCAAGTGGGTCCCTGACCCCTGACCCCCGAGCAGCCTAACTGGGAGGCACCCCCCAGCAGGGGCACACTGACACCTCACACGGCAGGGTACTCCAACAGACTTGCAGCTGAGGGTCCTGTCTGTTAGAAGGAAAACTAACAAACAGAAAGGACATCCACACCAAAAACCCATCTGTACATCACCATCATCAAAGACCAAAAGTAGATAAAACCACAAAGATGGGGAAAAAAACAGAACAGAAAAACTGGAAACTCTAAAACGCAGAGCGCCTCTCCTCCTCCAAAGGAACGCAGTTCCTCACCAGCAACGGAACAAAGCTGGATGGAGAATGACTTTGGCGAGCTGAGAGAAGAAGGCTTCAGATGATCAAATTACTCTGAGCTACGGGAGGACATTCAAACCAAAGGAAAAGAAGTTGAAAACTTTGAAAAAAATTTAGAAGAATGTATAACTAGAATAACCAATACAGAGAAGTGCTTAAAGGAGCTGATGGAGCTGAAAACCAAGGCTCGAGAACTACGTGAAGAATGCAGAAGCCTCAGGAGCCGATGCGATCAACTGGAAGAAAGGGTATCAGCAATGGAAGATGAAATGAATGAAATGAAGAGAGAAGGGAAGTTTAGAGAAAAAAGAATAAAAAGAAATGAGCAAAGCCTCCAAGAAATATGGGACTATGTGAAAAGACCAAATCTACGTCTGATTGGTGTACCTGAAAGTGATGGGGAGAATGGAACCAAGTTGGAAAACACTCTGCAGGATATTATCCAGGAGAACTTCCCCAATCTAGCAAGGCAGGCCAACGTTCAGATTCAGGAAATACAGAGAACACCACAAAGATACTCCTTGAGAAGAGCAACTCCAAGACACATAATTGTCAGATTCACCAAAGTTGAAATGAAGGAAAAAATGTTAAGGGCAGCCAGAGAGAAAGGTCGGGTTACCCTCAAAGGGAAGCCCATCAGACTAACAGCGGATCTCTTGGCAGAAACCCTACAAGCCAGAAGAGAGTGGGGGCCAATATTCCATATTCTTAAAGAAAAGAATTTTCAACCCAGAATTTCATATCCAGCCAAACTAAGCTTCATAAGTGAAGGAGAAATAAAATACTTTACAGACAAGCAAATGCTGAGAGATTTTGTCACCACCAGGCCTGCCCTAAAAGAGCTCCTGAAGGAAGCGCTAAACATGGAAAGGAACAACCGGTACCAGCCGCTGCAAAATCATGCCAAAATGTAAAGACCATTGAGACTAGGAAGAAACTGCATCAACTAACGAGCAAAATAACCAGCTAACATCATAATGACAGGATCAAATTCACACATAACAATATTAACTTTAAATGTAAATGGACTAAATGCTCCAATTAAAACACACAGACTGGCAAATTGGATAAAGAGTCAAGACCCATCAGTGTGCTGTATTCAGGAAACCCATCTCACGTGCAGAGACACACATAGGCTCAAAATAAAAGGATGGAGGAAGAGCTACCAAGCAAATGGAAAACAAAAAAAGGCAGGGGTTGCAATCCTAGTCTCTGATAAAACAGACTTTAAACCAACAAAGATCAAAAGAGACAAGGCCATTACATAATGGTAAAGGGATCAATTCAACAAGAAGAGCTAACTATCCTAAATATATATGCACCCAATACAGGAGTACCCAGATTCATAAAGCAAGTCCTGAGTGACCTACAAAGAGACTTAGACTCCCACACATTAATAATGGGAGACTTTAACACCCCACTGTCAACATTAGACAGATCAACGAGACAGAAAGTCAACAAGGATACCCAGGAATTGAACTCAGCTCTGCACCAAGAGGACCTAATAGACATCTACAGAACTCTCCACCCCAAATCAACAGAATATACATTTTTTTCAGCACCACACCACACCTATTCCAAAATTGACCACATACTTGGAAGTAAAGCTCTCCTCAGCAAATGTAAGAGAACAGAGATTATAACAAACTATCTCTCAGACCACAGCACAATCAAACTAGAACTCAGGATTAAGAATCTCACTCAAAACCGCTCAACTACATGGAAACTGAACAACCTGCTCCTGAATGACTACTGGATACATAACGAAATGAAGGCAGAAATAAAGATGTTCTTTGAAACCAACGAGAACAAAGACACAACATACCAGAATCTCTGGGACGCATTCAAAGCAGTGTGGAGAGGGAAATTTATAGCACTAAATGCCCACAAGAGAAAGCAGGAAAGTTCCAAAATTGACACCCTAACATCACAATTAAAAGAACTAGAAAAGCAAGAGCAAACACATTCAAAAGCTAGCAGAAGGCAAGAAATAACTAAATCAGAGCAGAACTGAGGAAATAGAGACACAAAAAACCCTTCAAAAAATTAATGAATCCAGGAGCTGGTTTTTTGAAAGGATCAACAAAATTGATAGACCGCTAGCAAGACTAATAAAGAAGAAAAGAGAGAAGAATCAAATAGACACAATAAAAAATGATAAAGGGGATATCACCACCAATCCCACAGAAATACAAACTACCATCAGAGAATACTACAAACACTTCTACGCAAATAAACTAGAAAATCTAGAAGAAATGGATAAATTCCTCGACACATACACTCTCCCAAGACTAAACCAGGAAGAAGTAGAATCTGTGAATAGACCAATAACAGGAGCTGAAATTGTGGCAATAATCAATAGTTTACCAACCAAAAAGAGTCCAGGACCAGATGGATTCACAGCCGAATTCTATCAGAGGTGCAAGGAGGAACTGGTACCATTCCTTCTGAAACTATTCCAATCAATAGAAAAAGAGAGAATCCTCCCTAACTCATTTTATGAGGCCAGCATCATTCTGATACCAAAGCTGGGCAGAGACACAACCAAAAAAGAGAATTTTAGACCAATATCCTTGATGAACATTGATGCAAAAATCCTCAATAAAATACTGGCAAAACGAATCCAGCAGCACATCAAAAAGCTTATCCACCATGATCAAGTGGGCTTCATCCCTGGGATGCAAGGCTGGTTCAATATACGCAAATCAATAAATGTAATCCAGCATATAAACAGAGCCAAAGACAAAAACCACATGATTATCTCAATAGATGCAGAAAAAGCCTTTGACAAAATTCAACAACCCTTCATGTTAAAAACTCTCAATAAATTAGGTATTGATGGGACGTATTTCAAAATAATAAGAGCTATCTATGACAAACCCACAGCCAATATCATACTGAATGGGCAAAAACTGGAAGCATTCCCTTTGAAAACTGGCACAAGACAGGGATGCCCTCTCTCACCACTCCTATTCAACATAGTGTTGGAAGTTCTGGCCAGGGCAATCAGGCAGGAGAAGGAAATAAAGGGTATTCAATTAGGAAAAGTGGAAGTCAAATTGTCCCTGTTTGCAGACGACATGATTGTATATCTAGAAAACCCCATTGTCTCAGCCCAAAATCTCCTTAAGCTGATAAGCAACTTCAGCAAAGTCTCAGGATACAAAATCAATGTACAAAAATCACAAGCATTCTTATACACCAATAACAGACAAACAGAGAGCCAAATCATGAGTGAACTCCCATTCACAATTGCTTCAAAGAGAATAAAATACCTAGGAATCCAACTTACAAGGGATGTGAAGGACCTCTTCAAGGAGAACTACAAACCACTGCTCAAGGAAATAAAAGAGGATACAAACAAATGGAAGAACATGCTCATGGGTAGGAAGAATCCATATCGTGAAAATGGCCATACTGCCCAAGGTAATTTATAGATTCAATGCCATCCCCATAAAGCTACCAATGACTTTCTTCACAGAATTGGAAAAAACTACTTTAAAGTTCATATGGAACCAAAAAAGAGCCCGCATCGCCAAGTCAATCCTGAGCCAAAAGAACAAAGCTGGAGGCATCACGCTACCTGACTTCAAACTATACTACAAGGCTACAGTAACCAAAACAGCATGGTACTGGTACCAAAACAGAGATATAGATCAATGGAACAGAACAGAGCCCTCAGAAATAACGCTGCATATCTACAACTATCTGATCTTTGACAAACCTGAGAAAAACAAGCAATGGGGAAAGGATTCCCTATTTAATAAATGGTGCTGGGAAAACTGGCTAGCCATATGGAGAAAGCTGAAACTGGATCCCTTCCTTACACCTTATACAAAAATTTATTCAAGATGGATTAAAGACTTAAACGTTAGACCTAAAACCATAAAAACCCTAGAAGAAAACCTAGGTATTACCATTCAGGACATAGGCATGGGCAAGGACTTCATGTCCAAAACACCAAAAGCAATGGCAACAAAAGCCAAAATTGACAAATGGGATCTAATTAAACTAAAGAGCTTCTGCACAGCAAAAGAAACTATCATCAGAGTGAATAGGCAACCTACAAAATGGGAGAAAATTTTTGCAACCTACTCATCTGACAAAGGGCTAATATCCAGAATCTACAATGAACTCAAACAAATTTACAAGAAAAAAACAACCCCATCAAAAAGTGGGCGAAGGATATGAACAGACACTTCTCAAAAGAAGACATTTATGCAGCCAAAAAACACATGAAAAAATGCTCATCATCACTGGCCATCAGAGAAATGCAAATCAAAACCACAATGAGATACCATCTCACACCAGTTAGAATGGCAATCATTAAAAAGTCAGGAAACAACAGGTGCTGGAGAGGATGTGGAGAAATAGGAACACTTTTACACTGTTGGTGGGACTGTAAACTAGTTCAACCATTGTGGAAGTCAGTGTGGCGATTCCTCAGGGATCTAGAACTAGAAATACCATTTGACCCAGCCATCCCATTACTGGGTATATACCCAAAGGACTATAAATCATGCTGCTATAAAGACACATGCACACGTATGTTTATTGCGACATTATTCACAATAGCAAAGACTTGGAACCAACCCAAATGTCCAACAATGATAGACTGGATTAAGAAAATGTGGCACATATACACCATGGAATACTATGCAGCCATAAAAAATGATGAGTTCACGTCCTTTGTAGGGACATGGATGAAATTGGAAATCATCATTCTCAGTAAACTATTGCAAGAACAAAAAACCAAACACCGCATATTCTCACTCATAGGTGGGAATTGAACAATGAGATCACATGAACACAGGAAGGGGAATATCACACTCTGGGGACTGTGGTGGGGTGGGGGGAGGGGGGAGGGATAGCATTGGGAGATATACCTAATGCTAGATGATGAGTTAGTGGGTGCAGCACACCAGCATGGCACATGTATACATATGTAACTAACCTGCACAATGTGCACATGTATCCTAAAACTTAAAGTATAAAAAAAAAAGGCTTATCCACTTCTAAAATAATCGTATGTCTCTGAGAAACAATGGTAAACAATGTGTTTTATTATTTATTTTATTTATTTTTTAAAATTTTTATTTATTTATTTATTTTGAGATGGAGTCTAGCTCTGTCGCCGAGGCTGGAGTGCAGTGGCGTGATCTCGGCTCACTACAACCTCCGCCTCCTGGGTTCAAGCAATTCCCTGCTTCAGCCTCCTGAATAGCTGAGACTACAGGTGCCCGCCACCATATCTGGCTAACTTTTTTGTATTTTTATTAGAGACTGGGTTTCACCATTTTGGCCAGGTTGGTCTTGAACCCCTGACCTTGTGATCCACCTGTCTCGGCTTCCCAAAGTGCTGGGATTACAGGTGTGAGCCACCGTGCCCTGCCTCCTGTTTTATTATTTTTTAAAAACTTGTTGCAAACTTGCTTCCTTAGCCCAAAGTCTTATATACTGTCATAGAGTTAAAGAATAGGAATTCCTCTACAATTTGTAAGCCTTGATGTGATACATCAATTAATCTAGTCTTCCTTTAGCTTTCTATGAGTACTTGCCAGATTCTTTTTACCTGACTTAGTCATATAGCTTTTTTTATAAAAAGAAAATTGAAGTGCTATATATCTCAATATATTTGATTCAAAATGTTTCCCCTAATTAACATTATGATGTATGCAGTGAATATGTAATTATATTTAATTCAGTGTAATTAAGAATGTGATATATTTAAAATAGTGATTCATTTAATTGATCTATAGGACAGATTTAGCTCATCTATAGATAATTTAAATCAGTCTTGCAAATAAAATTTTTAAAAATGTACTATCTTGTAAAATCTTTGCCAGTTCACTTGTATCACCTTTCTCTCCTCTTTGACCATGACTAAATTACCAGAAGCATTTGAATATATACTTTATTCATAATCATTCTTTGTAGAAATTCTAGCTAGATATGGTAATGGTTTTCTGGGAAATACATATTTTGAAATAGAAAGTACCTCTTTGTCTAGAGCTTTTCATACAGTTGACTGAAAACTTAATTGCTTTAATTTCAGGAATTCTTATTTCCCTAAATTTCACTCATGTGTTTTTTTTATTAAATAGAACTGGGAGAGAGGACAGTGTGGAACTGACTGCACGCAGGGAGGCACAGAGCTTTCAATTTCAGGGTCTGGCGCTGTTTCTTATAGACATATTTTAACTCTTTACTGTCTGTACTGAGATGTCTAAGATGTTGACATTGAATTCAGAATTGTCTGTAAAATACAGAAGAGTCAGCTCTCTGGCAAAGCAGATCCTTCTCTTTGGGGTCCTTAATGCACGGCCAGGCTGTTAGGGTGCTGTGGTCAAACCCTAAGAATCTGACCAAGTTGTTTTGTGCTATGAAGAGGACTCCATCTGATGTGCTCAGGGCACAGTTGAAAAGAAAGAGGCTTCCTCAACACATCTGTTTCCACTAACGCCTCTTGAGGAAGTAATCCTGCCCTATGGCTTCAATAGTCATGGCCTGGAAGTCCTAGCAAGGGAGCAAAGCTGGGGGGGGCAAAATTTAAGAGGCTTCAATTTCTTTCTGCCCTAGCCAGAGAGGGCATGCTCTGCGGTTGTGTGTGCAGCCAGACAGCCGGGAGCACAGCATAAGCAGGCATCCGGCCAGCCAGCCACGGGCTGAGCACTGGTGATTCACAAGGTGATGGAAGCTACTGTGGCTCTGCCCTCACAGCCTCGTGGTGATGACCTAACTCTACACACCCCGTTGCCATCTCTTCCGAGGACCAGCCCTGTCTCTGCAAATGCCTTCAAGCTATGTTTGAATACGCCATTGATGATGTTCAAAGCCATCACTTTTCTCTCCAAACTGATTTCCTCTTCCAGCTTCCTATTTCTCAATGCATCAATAGCTACCCTCTCCGTAAGTTTGAGATCTGAACCATCTTTGAGTCTTTCCTTTATTGTTCATATCTTCTTTCTTTCTTTCTTTCTTTCTTTCTTTCTTTCTTTCTTTCTTTCTTTCTTTCTTTCTTTCTTTCTTTCTCTTTCTTTCTTTTCTTTTTCTTTCTTTCCTTCTTTCTTTCCTTCCTTACTCTTTCTTTCTTTCATATTTCTCTTTCTTTCTCTCTTTTTCCCTCCTTCCTTCCCTCCCTCCCTCTCTCTCCGTTTCTTTTCTCTCTCTCTCTCTCTCTCTCTCTCTCTCTCTCTCTCTCTCTCTCTCTCTCTCCCTCTCTCCCTCCTTCCCTCTTGCTTGCTTGCTTGAAAGGCTCTGGCTCTGTCACCCAGGCGGCAGTGCAGTGGCACAATCTTGGCTCACTGCAACCTCTTCCCTTCTGGGCTCAAGAGATCCTCCCTCCTCAGCATCCAGAGTAGCTGGGACTACAGGCATGTGCCACAATACCTGGCTAATTTTTGTATTTCTTTGTAGAGATGGGATTTTGCCATGTTGCCCAGGCTGGTCTTGAATTCACAGGCTCTAGCAATCCTTCCACCTCGACCTCCCAAAGTGTTAGGATTACAGGCATGAGCCACCATGCCTGGCTGATTCTTATACTCTCTTCTATTGAATTAAAGGAAATTGCCTACATGGCCTCCTACAATCTGATTCCTTTGATTTTAGAATCTTCTTCCTTAAGCCGACTTCTACAACTTTTTAGTGTAATGCTCCCTAAATACCTTCTCAGCTTGTCCTGTGACAACCATGCTAACCTAGCAGAGAACTTGGGTCAGGGGTGGCCCTGCCCTTCCTGGCTGTGCAGCTTTAGGATTCCTAGATCTCTAAACCTCAGTTCTTCACTTGTAAAGTGGGAAAACACATATCTACATAACAGATTTGTTTTGAGGCTTAAATGAAATGAATCCAGTGCCAGAAACATATTAAATGGTCACTTCATTTAGAAGACCTACAGTAGGCCGAATAATGTCTTCCCAAAATTCATGTCCACCTGGAAAGTCAGATCGTGACCTTATTTGGAAATAGGCTCTTTGATATGTGATTAGTTAAGGATCTTGAGATGAAATCATCCTGGATTTAGTGAGTGCCCTGAATTCAATGACTGTTGTCCTTATAAGAAGAGGGGACACAGAGAGACATGGTGGACTGCCACATAAAGATGGAGGCAGAGAGGGGAGTAAAGCTGCCACAACCTAAGATGCCTGGGACACCAGAATTGCAAGAGGCAAGGAAGGAGTCCTCCCTAGAGCCTCCAGAGGGAGCATGGCCCTGGCTGATGCCTTGATTTCAGACATCTGGCCTCCAGAACCATGTGAGGATAAATTTCTGTTGTTTTCAGCCACCCAGTTTGTGGTAATTTGTTATGGGAGCTCTGGAAAATGAATATAATACCATACCATGTGACAGACTGTTCTAGGTGCTGAAGGATATGGCAGCAAATAAAAAAGACATAAATCCCTGCCTTGTGCAACTAAACAGTTATTATTATCACTATTGTTGGTCTAGTAAGCCCTCATAATGCCTATGAAGACAAAATCCAATTGTTTAGATCAATGAGCCTCAATTTCATCATCTGTAAAATGGAAACACTCACACCTATTGAAGAGAATTACTTAAGTTCATAAGTAAGGTCATCCATGGCTCTCCAAAATTTGTGGACCTGTTATCTGTCCACTATTATTTTACACTATTCTCTAATGCAGGGGTTGGCACATGTTTTTTGGGAAAGGGCTAGATAGAATATATGCTAGTCTTTGAGGGCCATAGGGTCCCTGTGGCCTGTGTGTGTGTGTGTGTGTGTGTGTGTGTGTGCGTGCATGTGAGTGTTTAACTGTATAAAAAGGGAAAAAAATATAAACAAAATAAGTTTTCACTTGTTGAGAATATAAAAACAGGCTATCGTTTGTCAATCCTGGCAAATGCTTCTACCTTGGGTCTAGCCTCTACATAGGGAGACAAAAGATTGACACGTACAATAGCTAACTGATGCAAAGTATAAGAACTCAGTTGATAGTTACATTCTGAAAACACTGTACTGGCAGTAAATCCTCTAAGACTAGGAAAAAAATAAGATCTGTGTGGGCTTAAACAGCTGGAGAAGGCTCATGGCAGAGGTCGAAGTTGAGCCAGTTCTTAATGGAAGCTGGATTAGTAAAGAGAAAAGAGAGATAAATACTTGGAGCAGAATATATTTTATGTATATGTGTATATGGGTTTATATACATATGTATACAAACGCATTTAAATATAAATGAAATAAATAAATCCTTTCTCTTGAGGTACCACCACAATTCAAAAGAATCAATTCTACAATGATATGGACCTTGGAATTCTAAGTGTTAAAACTTTTGCTTCTTTATCATCATTTCCTAAGGTGAATCAGATCTGAAACAGACTGTGTCCATGTGTTTTTGGTTAGCAGCCTTCATACTGCACTTCAATCATAGCCAGGAGTGACAGAGTGATTCATAAAGAAAATTGTTCCAAGTTAGGAAGGTTTTAATGCTTAGTGCAAAGAGGTTTTCTGCTTTCCTCTACTTAGTTAACAGAAACAATTTCAATGCACTTACTCATAGAAGTATAAGAGATTTTCAGAAGACACAACACCAATTACCCTGCACTAACAAATAAAACAGAAGTAGTTCTTCTTGGAGGTGGTAAGAGCCATGGTCTGTTTATGTGCCTAACAGTGTCACATTCAATAGAAACAGGTGATAAATGTCTTCACAGAGGGCCAGGAGAGATGAACGATGGATGAAACAAGAGTCCTTCAATTGTGTCCCAATATATCGTTCAAGCCCATGACTATATTCTAGCCTGCCATTAATCCAACTGTCATGACCTCTTATCCCTCCTTTCCATCTTGCCACCGTGGAGTGAGACTCTTTACTTATCTGCTCCCCTTGTTTCTGATAGGACCTGTTGATCAGAAACCTCCATCTGTGGGCTCCCCTTCTCAGCAGCCAAGGTCCCTGCCAGAGGCCCTTACTCAGTTCTCACTGCATCTACACCAAGGCCAAGCTCAGGAAAGCTTCTCTCTGTACCAAGCACGTACTTGGTGCCTTTGAATGTTGCCACTGGGATTACGATCCTGTGGCCACAGGAAGGATGGTGTTGATAAAGACCTTTGCCCTTAACTTCTTTTCCTTTTTTTTTTTTTTTTGAGACGGAGTCTCGCTCTGTCGCCCAGGCTGGAGTGCAGTGGCGGGATCTCGGCTCACTGCAAGCTCCGCCTCCCGGGTTCACGCCATTCTCCTGCCTCAGCCTCCCAAGTAGCTGGGACTACAGGCGCCCGCCATTACCCCCGGCTAATTTTTTGTATTTTTAGTAGAGACGGGGTTTCACCGTTTTAGCCGGGATGGTCTCGATCTCCTGACCTCGTGATCCGCCCACCTCGGCCTCCCAAAGTGCTGGGATTACAGGCGTGAGCCACCGCGCCCGGCCTCTTTTCCTTAACCCATATATCATTTTCAACTTGAAATCATGGATTGGTGACCAATAGTGAAAATCTGTGGACTTCAAATGAAAGTTTCAAGGGGGTATCTCTACTGGTGTCACTGCTCAAGCCACGCCCACTAAAGCATTGCGTAAAGTCCCTCTTACAGATGGTATCACCCGCTCAAAGGGTGAGTGCTGTTGAAAGGCTTGAGAAAACCTTACGGGAGCAGAGAAAGTATTCCCTCTTTCTCCTTTTAATGACTTTAATTCTGAGTTCCAAATTTCGATTACAAAACTCTGGAATTCCTATCTATTCACCCTCCCTATCTTAATCTTTCCTTTTTCTTTCATTTTTCTTCTTCTTTGTTCTTTGATCAATCTTCATTGCAGACTGGTGAATGAAGGAGGGTGTGTGTGGGGGGGACGGGAGGGGCATAGGTAATAGTGAGTAAAACTCCCCAGTTTTTCTCCAGTGCTAATTTAGCTCTTGAAAACTCCCCAATTCTATAAATTAGTTTTTAGGGATTTAGGGGAGAGACGGAAAAACTGTTTTATCTAAATAATTATTTTTATGAATCAGCATTCTATTTATAGTAATATATTTTACATACAGGGCTCTGTCATACTTCTTTGCTCATCCGATAAATGTATATATTGTTCAAGCTATTGTATTAGGTGCTGGGACTGTGGAGATAAATGGCATAGTTCATCCCCTCAGGGGGCTAACGATGGAACTGTTGGACACATTACCACGGAGTGTGATAAGAGACATGGTAGAAATAAGCAGAGTGCTACTGGTGTGCTCAGGAAACGCAACAAATCCAGAATATGGGGGGCAGGGGATGAGTTGAAGGCTAGGGAAAAATGTCCTGGGGAAGGAAAATGCCAGCATGGAAGTTTTAAAGAATAGGGAAAAAGTGTTCACTTGACAAAATGAGTGTTAAAGGGAATCTGAAGTGGACCAAGCTACACGTGTTAAGGCAGGGTTGTGAGGGAGGCTGATGGATTCTGGGAACTACAAGAATGACAGGTTGCGTGTAGGACAGGGTGGCAGTGCTGTGCTTGAACCATCTCATAACAGTTCACAGAGCCAAGTGTGTACATCTCTTCCTCATTGTTGTTCAGTGACTAACGCTGTTTCAGTGGTACCTTGAAACTGGCTCAGTGGGATATTTACACCATAGAAATTGGCAAATGCTACAAATTAGGGGCTTCTGCTGCCCCTCCCCCCAGAGTTTAACATTTACCAGCACATCACTGGGCGTGAAGGAGGACCAGGAAATAGTCAGGGCCAAGGACAGAAACTCCTTAAATATCATATTATTATCCCTCAGATTATCATCAGATATACAAATAGGTTTGCTCTTAACAAAGATTACTTACTCCAACAGCACTTTGGAGACAAATAGATTGGGTGGAGTTGAGGAGGAGCCACTGAGGTCTAGTTTTATCTTATTGGCATCAATGTCAATACACTAAACAAAAAAAAAAACCTGTCTGGAATGATAATATACAATTTTCTCTTTCTGCTTTGTGTGTATAGAGAAGAAAAGAAGTAAAAATTTTTAAGCTTCATATTTACTATGAATGAAACCAGGCTTTATTTTGAAGAAGGAATACAAGACTGAATTAGATTATGTTAATGAAGAAGTCTGAGATACGATAAATGATTCCTTGGAAATATTAAATTTCTTGATTAAATAGGTATTGTTAGTTGTCACCAAACCAGCAACTGGATAGAGTGCTTAAGAAACTCTTAAATGAGGCTGGAACACAAGAATGAGAAAGTCAACACAGGTTAATGACTGAGCAAGGTTGTGTAAACTATTACTTAATCCCAATTGAGGGTTTTCTGAGCCACTGGGGAACTACGTTCAGGTTGATAGACAAGAATAAGGTTAGCAGGAAACACAGCATTAAACAAACAACAGCTCAGTTTAATTTGTGATTTACCCGTACTTCAGAGTACAAAAGGAAAGCTTTGCTAATAGCAAGAAAGGTAAAATGAAGCCATGCCAACATCGTTATTAAAATAATTGGCCAGCCATTCACTGGAACAGAGATTTTATTATACATTGGCAGTGAAAATAGAAAATGTGACTGTTTCTTAACTAGTTCTTGAACCACCAGCATACAGGGTATTAACTAAGGTGCTGGGAGTTTTAACAGCTGGTTCCAAGAGCCAAGTGCATGCAGGGGAAGCTTTCATATCTAAAGATCACACAAATAATTAATATTTACTTATGAAAATTTAGGTGTTTACTTTCCAAATATTTCATAATCCTTCTTTTTTCATGAGTTCATCTGCATTCAATTGGATTGTTATCTTATCACCAGGGTTATAAGATATCAAATAGCATATAGTTAACACCATGGTTACCCTAGATCTCACAATAATTTGGAGGGTTTTTTTTTTAATAAGAAAACTTTCTTTTGTTAGGTGTGGTGAAGTCCTGTTGTACATTTTTTTCTGTGATCTGTAACTGTGCCGCAAATAGTGAACTCCAAAATTTCAGTACCGAGGTCAACATGTTTTTCTGTGCAAAATCTACTAAAAACAAATGGAGACAGGAGGCAGGCATGAGGCAATTATGCTACCTACTCAGCCTAAAAAATGTAATTGCTACTCATGTCTCATGTTTTTTTCTTAAGCATTTGGTTTTAAAAAGAATCTAGACAGAAAATCTCAGAATTAGTCACAATTTACCATACTACGGTATTACTTTTCAAAGCAGGCACATATAAAGCGGGTCCTCTTTGTACATGTCAATAATCTCTGCTTTGACCTTTTGAAATTAATTACAAGTTTTACCTACTTTGTTAAACTACTACTTATATATTACAAATCATTTTTTCAAACACTGACTAATATCCTTAATATCAGGCCAGTAACAGAATTGATCTTGTGCTTTGCATGCCCAACTCTACTTGAATCAATACCTTTCCTATAACAGTTCTGAAAGTGAGAGTAAGTTTAGTTGAGAGTAAGAAATATTGCTCATTTATTTCCACATTGGCGCCAGATAAACCCAATGTAATTGGTGTTTTTCACATTAGAAATACTTCTCAATTACTCTTACTAATACATTTATTCATTCTTGTTTACCATGATGTTGGAGCCACAAATAAGTTTACATTTAACAAATTATCAGTTAGATTATGCCCTATTAGAAATTCCTCTTCTTTATTCATTTAATTCAGTTCCTTAAGCCCCAGGATCACCTAATTTGACCTCATATTCATCTCTATTATTGTACTTTAGAACATTTCCAGAGTCTTGGACCTTCTCATATTATTGAATACATGAAGAAAAATAGTCTCACTTTCCTATTATTTTTCCTGAGGTTGTGTGTAACCCCTATACACAGTGTACTCTTGTAAACAGTTTTTTACACTCAAGATTCTGGTCGCCTTACGGGAAAATAAATAGTCCTCTGCCTGTAATTACAGCCTTCAGGAAGGGGCAAGCCAGTGACCTCTCTGACTTGTAGGCACAGGAATAAGCCCTGAAGCCTCCTATTCCCTTGGAAAACACCCCTTCTTTCTCGGCCAAGCAAAAATAAAAAAAATGAACACAAAGAAAGGTGAATATTTCTTTTGATGCCTCACACATCTTTTTACACCTGTATTTCAAATCTTCCTGGTCTGTAAAGATGACTAAAACAATACTGCTTATGATTCAGTCATACTTTGGCAATTCAGATGGTCTCTGTTTATCGTGTGAACACATAGATTTCTTTTGAGAATCCAAGTTTTTATATCAAATAAAATCAACACTATTGTTTATGATTTGCAAAGCATATGCTTAGGTACAAAGAAGCATGACAAAGTGCCTTCCCTACAAGACATAAACTTATTTAGATATTTGTGTGATTAAATATGTATAGATGAACAGGATTAAAATGAAACAGAAAGGCAACATGTGTCTGTAGGTAAAGATGAAGGCATTGCCTATAAACCGGAACAATATAAAGATGGCACTGACTGGAGAGCACTCATTTGTACATTCATAAGTGCTCATGATATCCTTGTGAGCACTTGTCTCTCCTTTGGCCCTCCATGCACATGATTCTCATGAGAAGGAAATGGTCTAAAAATGGATGCAATTGTGCAGAGTACAGTGCACAGAGGCAGAAAGACAATGTGACTTGGGATCACTTCAGCATCACATTCCCTTGAATTCTATTAATGTTTATAATTTTGATAGTTTCAAAAGAGCTTATTTTGTGTGTTCTCAGATTCTTATGTTTCTCTTGGTCATAAAACTTATTGGTAAAAGGACAATCCCCTCCTCCCCAAAGAGGAACATGTTCTTCTGACAAACGGGGTCCCAAGGGTTGGCCATAGAAGGAAGAAGAGGGAAACAAGGAAGAAACAACCTGGCCTATGTAAGAAACAGTGATTTTCAAAGAAGCTGATTAAGGTGACAGGCCAGGAAAGGCAGTGAGTGTGAGCAGGATCTAAAGTATGTTCTTAGCTTCTAGTAATCTACATATTATTTTCTTCATATGAAGAAGAACCACATAATAAAAAGTAACTTAATTCATTTAGAAATCAAAAGAATGTTTAAACACATTTACTGCTGTTTATTTTAAGGCAGGAAATGTTTTAAAAAGTTAAATTCTCCAGCATTGTACTACTTCTTGCAATGTTTTTCTAAGTGTAAGATAGTATGCACTAATGACCACAAACCACTTAAGAAAGCTGATTTAATGTAGCAGCTTGTAGTTAAGATGTAAAGCTTGTGAAATAAGTAATGACTATTAGTTTATATATTTAGTTTATATATTTGCCTGTGTACTAAAGACGTATTGCTTTTTTAAAGTTTTAAGCTTTATATAAAGGTTAGCTTTCACCTCCTCAGGACAGCCTTTTGTGACTCAACTACCAAATTTAGATATTCCCTCTCATTTGCATTCACAGATGTTTATTTCCCTCACAGCACATTTCATAAATTATCATGATGTATTTGTTCACTGGTGTGACTGAATGTTTACTGTCATCTTCACTAGTCTATCTGCTTGTTGAAGACAGGTACAGTCTAGCTCATTCTCCATTGTAATACTATCAGGTTTAGAGACTAAATAAATATCTGTTGAATTTCTGGTTGAATCTTGGTTACATGAATTAATCCTTTCCTCTGTCTCCTGCTGAAAACAATGATTACAAGGTTTTGGCCCTTTTATGCACTAAATAAAATGGTTAGGCTTCTAGCACTTGGCTTAAACTAATAAGATGAAAGAACAAGCAGGTAATGTAATTAGCTTAAGATAAATGGAAAATATTGCACATTTTATTGTCAAGATATTTTTTAGAGATATTAGTTTTCGCTATTGACTGCTACTGCATTAGTGCTTGTAATCTCCTTAGTGCATTAGCACTAAATACTATTGATTCACTCAGAGCTAACAGACCAATTTAATCTGTGCATTTTCCCCATTTCCTGAGCATGACTTCACCTATAGTTTAGTTAGTAGACTGGTTGCTAGATGCAAGTGTTAATCGGACATTTTAAAATTTAAAACATTGTTAGAAAATTTAATATCATACAAATTTACTTCTTTGATACACAGACACAAATTTTAACTAATCATGAATAACTATATATTTTGAGATGATGACTCAGCAAACTTAATTTTTATAAAATCAGCCTTCGAAGAGAATGGTTTACAAATCAAAACTAACCTTAATTCTCTCCTTTTATCTAGGGCACGATTTGAAGTATCATCTACCATTTTAATGTCCTCTGACTGATGAACATTTTGCTGATTTACCCAAATAAGACAAATGAAGTCAGACTTCACTCTGAATTCACAATGGTTTTTTTTTGTTTGTTTTATAGTTATACTGTTCATAAATCATTTTTCCCCATTTGTGATCACCAAGAATGGTTAAAACAAAGCTTTGGTCTAAATTAGCATGCAATTGCTAGACATTTTTCTTTCCTCTTGTGGGGAGACTGGAAAATATTTTTGAAGTATATATGGGTAGCTACACTTTGTCTGCTCCAACATTAGACTAGGTCTAGGGTGAAGTGCAGTAAACTGCTTCCCAAGGCAGAGTGAGGCTTTTAGAATAGGAAGTCAACATGGCTCAGCAAGTAATTCACATGCAAATGAACCTGCCTGGAACATTTTAGTTAGAAAAAAATATGTAATTAGCAGACTGGAATGTATCCAGGATCCTAGATTCGGTTACCACATATACTATTTAAAAAAAAAAAAAAAAAAATCAAGGGAAGGAGTTTTAATGACTTCAGGAGTAGCTGAGCCCTTGGTTTCATTTTCCTGATAACGAGCACTTTACAGTCCTCCCTGGACGCTGGAGATGTGACTTAGGGCACATATCTGGGCTCTGAATCATTCTGAACTCTGTGTGCCCACTGAATCAGTGTCTGTGCCAACCCATGAATAAGCAGTGGCAGAAATTCCTGGAGGGTCTTCTATCCAAATTCTGATGGGTCCCCATTTTTCTTTTTAGACTGAGGAGATAAGAACATAGGGTGGGATGGCCACTGATAAGGCAGAAGTCTGAAGTAAGGATGTAACACCCAAAATGTGAAACAGTATTCGGAGTAAAAATATACATTATTACTCAAGGAGGTTCATATCCTTATCAATGCAGCATCCCACATGCTTCCAGAAATCGCTAATCATGTTTATGTCAATGAAAATATCATGTATCAGAGTTGTGGATTCAAAGATTTTAATTAACATTTGGGCTTTACAAAAATCAACTTTAAGATTTATTTCATTTTGTACAAACTCCTTCCCGTTTGCGATATCAGTTTTATCAGATGAATCTCCGTGTAGAAATCAACTACCTAAATAAGACACAGGTTATAATGCCACCTGCTTGAAAGGACATTAAGAATAATGTCAAATTAATTTAAAATGCATGCGGCATAGTTAACGCTTCATTCCCCACACAAGTGAGAGATATTATCAATCATATCATGAATTAATATAACCCACGGGTAAAACCTACCCACAGTTTTGGTGACAGCTTCAGCACTGTGTTCTCTTGCTATTAGGTTATAAAAACATCATGCCTTTGCTTTTTCATCTTTCCTGGGGTAGAGAGACTTGTGAATGAGCCATGTAATGGTTTAAAGAGCAGTCAGCAAGAGGAAGGGAAAAAGCAAAAGGAATTAAAGGTTCATTTTGTAACATGTTTTCTAACACCCCAAGGGTGTGCCCAGTGATCTCAGGGGGCGTTACAAAATTCTGGAAAGAAACTAATTTTAAATTTCTTTTAATAAAATAATGCAATATGCCACTTTTCGTGGAATGAGTAGCATGGATAATTAAAATAAAGAAGTTAGGAAGCAGTGACTCCCTGAGCCTATGAGAGGATGAAGTAGTGTCTAGGAAAGAAAAAGAAATGAAATGTAAAATTAATAACCTTTTACTTACATTTTTTAAAAAGTACATTGAATCTTTATACCTCAAGGATTTTCTTTCTTGCAAGATTTTGCTTTGGTAGCTATTACATTTGGCATATGGCCAAGATATTTAATATTTAGGTTTGAAAGGCTGTCTAATATTAAGAATGAAGAATCCTTAACAACATTTTTCATATTGGATAACATTTTCTCATTTTTGAGCACAATAAGTAAAAAACTCTATAATCTGGCTTCACATTTTTCATCCCTAATACAAAATACATTCTCTTGAGAGTGCTAGATTGTTGGAATAAGGCATGCCAAACCAGTATAATCACATGGATGTTATTTGTAACATTGACTCCACATTCACAGTTCAAGTGGTGTGGGAGATTATAGATATATGGCCTATAAAAGTTATAAATCTTTGTTTATTTTATTAAATATTACGAGACATGCCCTGAGGATGACAGATCAATAACGGTCCTTGTGGTTTCCTGATGGAAGGCTGCAATTATTTTCTTCCATTACAACTTAAATGTAACTCGATTTTACTCATCTATCATCTTTATAATCATAATAAAGAAACATCACTGTATGTTTATTTTTCTGCCTATTCCTATTATTCCTTGTTTGCATCTTGTTTTGATTTTTGTCCTCCTTTAAAATTGTTCTAATCACTTTGCTTTCTTCCTTTGATGGCTCTGAGTAGTGACTCTTTAACTTTGGCATTCTGTGAAACGGAGATGGAAAATTACTACCTTAAGTTTCCTTTATTTTGGGAAGCAGTTGGCTACTCTTTGAATTTGAGTATAAATGATATTTAAAAACAAGGAAGCCCAATACAAACAACCTATGAGGTTGACTTTTTCTAAAACTGCATTATCTGCAAATTCTTGAATGCAAGATATGACAAAGTACATAAGAGTAATATCTTAGGTCATGGATAGTTAGGATTGAAAGTGAGAGGAAGGAGAACAATTTATACCTTCTAACTTGACTATAGTACAGTTTTGATTCAATTGTCTTTCTCCCCATCCTCTGCCCCCTCAAACTACCACCACTCCTCACCCCATCTCTTTTTTGGAACTATTATAATCTTAAGAACAACATAACACAAATTAACCATTATGGAGGTAGGTCACTCATAACAGTTAGAGAGGGAAGTGAAAGACTTGTAAACAATAGAACCAGAATGTGCCTCTTCCAGAGAATAATCCAATCATTTGAATTTGTCTTTCTTTACGCAAGTATTCCTTACAATAATAGCTGCTATTTATTTTGTGCCAAGGACCAAGTTGGGACCTTTTACAGATGTTATTAATATACTTGTCCACACTATAGTCCTGCACGCAGGACGATGGGTTCAGAGTTTAAATAATGCTTTCATGGCCATCCAGGTAGAAGACGGTGGGGTTCAGATTTGAACCAACATCTCTGATTTTAGTCTCTTTCCATTAGTCCATGCTGTCTCCCAACGGGCTAAATTTATAGTCATCTTGTGCCAGGTACCTCATATATATTATCCCAAATTTTCACAAAAACCTGTGAAGTAGGTATTGTTATCTGCATGATACCAATGAGACTCAGCCTCCAAGAAGTCAGGTAATGTGGCAGAAGTCACATGGTTGGTATGCAGTAAACCAGGACTTCCACCCAGGTGTGTCTGGCACCAAATGCTTTTCCCCTTCACTTGATCCAACTTTGGTCATTAAGGTCATCAAGATGTTGGCGAAAATACTTGCTACAGGTCTTTCAAATGCTTATCTATAGAGCAAAACTTTGATAATAGAACTTCAAGAAAAACAGTGTTGTGTGCTAATTGTATTTTCTGAGAGGCGAGAGCTATTTCAAGAATGCTTTTCTAATTTCAACTTTGATTAAAATTTTTTCTAAAATGTACGATTTCACTTGTTTTAATAAATATTCTATAACTTAGGGAACAGGATCTTTGCTGATTTGGGGATTTAAAAAATTCTCTTATTCTGTATTGATTCTCATTTGTAGGAGATTGGGCCAATGTGTACTGATTCTCCTTTTTTTCCTGAAATTGTCACATTAATCAATCCCTTATATGTAAAAGACTGTTAGAGATTCCACAGTCTTAAAATTAAATTCCACTTAATTTTAAACAAGTTAATGAAATTTTTGCTACTGCTTATCCTCAAATAGAGATGAGGGTTTTTTCTCCCTACATATGGGCCTTTACAAAGGTTCCATCCATATTATGGGACAATTTTCTCAATTATTTTATTTTGAATAATAATATGCTATTTAGAGAATATGCATTAGCCTAAAACAACTTCAATCAATACTAATTTAGGATGCTTATAGAGGTTGATTGATGAATGGGTAAAGGAGGAGGTAAAGATATTAAACAGATTTAGTAATTATTTGTGGGTGTATAATCTCATAGTACTCAATATTGGAAGTCACTGTAAACAAATTCTTTAGAATCACTTTCAAAAGCAACATAAAAAATGGACACATTGTGAGGATCAAGAATATATTCTTATAGAACAACTGACATAGTCAACAACACTGGTATTCTATAAGTGGGCATTTGTGGCTTGGGATAAGTTTCCAGAAACAGCATCATATGTGGAGACAAAGAGTTCTGAAGCACAAATAGCTTATGGGTGAAGATGACGAGTACTGGGAATTATCAAATGACTCAAAAGAGGGCTTTTGTGATGTCATCAATATGAGAAGATGCATGTGAAGAGTTTGCATAGACATATTTCATGAAATGTGAGACTGGGAAAAGCAACAAAATATGTGATCCTAAACAAGCAAGTCAGGCCTGGTACACCTGCTGGACCCCTAAAATGTAAAAGGCCCGTCCCTGGCACTCCCATTATCTGATCTTGTGATAGAAACACTTTTTGCACATGGTGGAGAGCTCTTGGAGTGCCAGGAAATCCCTCTTTCAGCAATGTGTCAACACTGAGGACTGGGCAGAAGCATAAGTAGAAAGTTACTGCTGCAGCTCAGCTTTCTTAACCTTGTCCACAAGAGTCCCTTTATAAATGTATTAGAGATGTTAATAACAAAACTACAATATGTGTGTCTTTTCACCAAACTTGATGCCAAAGTAAAAACTCAGTTCCAAGAAATTATTAAAAGGGTCACTTGATTTCTGGCCAAGTAAATCTGCCAAGACAAAATGGAGTCATCTTATTGCTTGAGAGTCCTGCTAAACAGCTTTGATCTTGTAATCATTTTGTTTTTTTTGTGTGTGATGAATGGCTCTAGGTGCCTTCATTTTGGCATTAAGCTAGGAAATGATTATATGCTCATTATTGGAACAATCTGAGGTCTGGATGGGGTATATGGAGAGAGAGAATATGTGTAGTCTCAGTCTCAGAAGAATTTTGATCTTTGTAACCAGAGAAGATAAACAGGCAAATAAATAGAGGAGGTTTGAAGGTATTTGTCTATGGAATTTGGCCAGTGTAAAAGTTGGCTTCCTTTGTAAGAAGACTATGTTGGCAAGTTCCATCTTGTTTCCCGCAAGAATTTTTGTGATGGGAGTGATAATGGTTTCAGGTGTGGCTAGTGCATTTTGGGAATTTTTCCTGGGCGATAAAACTGACCTGAATTTCATTGGCTAATCCTGTCTGTTTGTCTCCCTTGGAACACTAAAAAAGTCAAAAGGGTAGGATAAAATTCAGATGTGTTTTGAGAATTTCTAGAATTGATAAGTATTTTTACATCTAAGGATTGAAATGTACAAAATTTAAAAAATGAGATATCAATATACCTTTATGAATTCTCTTTTTAATTTTTTTCTTGCCCTACCCTTCTTTTTAATTTTTAACAAAGAAAGATTTAAATAGCAAATCCATGTGCTCTAGGAGCCCTGGAGGAATTCCTAATAGACTCTTTTAAAACTTGTGTCTCAGAATCAACTTACTGGATGCAGAAAAATATCTTCTCTGTAATGCTATTAATATTATATTTTTATTTCCTAATCCCAGGTTTCTGAAAATCATTTTGTTTCCTTTCATTCTTTTGTAGTTTCTAGTAAAGAAAAGGGGGAGCTTCATAAGGAATTCTATTGCTTCTTTGCAACATATATTAAATGTATGTAGGGGGAAATAAGTCTTAGTTGGAATGTATGTGCATTTATGTTATGTATATTCATAGACTTTGGAAGAGAGAGGAAGGAAGTTTTGTTTTTAGTTCACCAAAAGATGAACTGACTTTCTTGGAAGTATTTTCCTAGCATCATAAAAAGTTAACTATAGTTTCCATCTAGAGAAGTGTCCCAGACATTTCAGCAAAAGTCAACCAAATGTCTCTGAATTCATATGCCTTTACCCCTCAGCAAATTATATACTTTATGCTACTGAGGACATGTTTAATGTTCTACCTGATTGCAATTATAACCTTTATATCTTAGATTGAAACCTGTTAAAGTAAGTGAAACATACCATGCCAAAGTCAAACTGTCTTTAGAAAAGCTATACTATTTGTTCATTCAATGATGGTCATAGTCAGGTCCGTATTCCAAATCTGGCCCAGATCAAGAAACTCAAAGCCACAATAAACACTCAGACCAGGTGATCAACTGACTAGCAGGATAAATCTCCAGGTATAGCTGGTAGCTGTTACTATATTTAAATCACAGCACCAAGAATATCTCTAACAGCTCCTAAGAAAATACCATTTCATATAAGTATAAATAATCATCAACCAAAATATTTATGCTTATAAATAACAAATACCAACCAGGTAAAGTGCCAAGCTAGAACTTGGTAGACACAAGTCTTTTCCAGAAGGAAGTCCATGATTAAAGTCAAGCTCTAAAGGAAGGACTTGGGAACAAACATTTCCTCTCTACTCTTACAGGTTATTTAGAGAAGTATACGAGCTCATTTAAAAATGTTTTATTTACCAGCATTTCAGAAGAGGTTTTTTAAAGTTAAGTTCCTTTAAGTAATGTCAAGAATATAGATTAATCAGTTGTGTATCAGTGAGAGAATATAATCTCATAAGGAACAATTCTTTAAGGCATACAAATTAGCTTGAACATCTTGTAAATGTTGCAGAGATTATATAGAAATGTCAATAATTATGTTTTATGGGAATTGCTGCTGTGATAAAAATCTGTGTAAATCTGATAAAATCTGTGTAAATCTGATAAAATCTGTGTAAATATAAAAAAGCTTATATGGGAAATAACTTTAATATAATCTGAAATGTCACGAACATGCAAATCTGAATTGTAAAAACATTTTTCTTTTAGTTACCATTTACATTTTAAAGATATAATTTTAGGTGTAAATGAAGATTCAATTCCTCAATTTTCTTGGAAAAAATCTGCAACTATTTTGGATAAACACCATTTACAAAGCACAAAAGAAGCCCTGGATATTCTTTTTGAGACTGATACTTATTTCTAATTTATACCTCACAGTTTATAAGTGGGGAACTGATGTGACTTACCCTATTAAAGCAGTGCTCATGATTGGGTCCGTAAAAATGCTGGAGACATCTCACATTGTTTTTGTTGACGATCTTGTTGAAGAAGTCGTTGACATATTTGATAGGGAATGCACACATGGCAGATCGATCCATTGGTTCGGCAGAATCTGGCTTGCTTTGTGCGAACACCCCGAAAAGAATGTCATCATTCAGGCTGGCTCCTATTTGTCTAGCAAGCTGGGCCCCAGGCTTGCTGACATACGCAGCCTGAAGTATATTAAACACTTCCTTCTTTGTGGATCTCTTTTTTCTCTTTTCTGTGAGAATACACTCCAGAGGCATTTCCATGTAGGAATGCAATCCAGAGTTTATGGAACAGAACCTGATTATTCTTGTGTGAAAAGTCTGAGCATCTAGAGTTTCCCTTTGGACCGTCAAGAAGTAAATAAAATTGTTGCTTTCAAAGGCATGGACATACTTAATGGGGTAAGAATCTCTGAACTCAGGTAAAACATCAATGTAGGACTGGTCCGTCAAAAACATAAAACCATCTTTCGTTTCCTTTAGCCTTCTCACTGATATCGAATGCAATGGATGATCTGGGAAATAAGAAGAATTTATGGTATTGCCTACAAAGAAGTTGATGAACCGGTCCTTTACAGATGAAAGGACTTTGGCTCCCAGGGCGCTCACCACACAGTCAGGACACTGGCTGGGCTCTTCTATCTGTGGGGAGAATATGCAGTGAACCTCCGACTGTATGTCAGCAGTATGATTGTGGGGAAAGACATGTCGCTGGCAGGTCCCTCTGTTGACGCTGCCACAGCTAATGAGTTGATCATCATAGTAGGTGTCGACAACTAGAGCCATGTTGATGTTATCTTTCCAAACACCTCCTGATAAATTGGCTTTGCTGCTGCAGTCCTGACATGGGAAACAATCTGGGTGTTCCAGCACAGGCCCAGTCTTGTACTCAGCAACCTTCTGAAGGTCTTCCTCATTTAAAACATAAATGTAGTTAGTGGCACCAAGGAAAATGTGATGCTCATGTAGAATGACATTCTGGATGGGTGTTTCCGCGGTGAAGTTGGGAAGCTGATACTTCATATTCACATTCATCTCGGACTTTGCTAGTGCCTCTTTACACTCCCCATTGCTCCTCTGCACCAAGGTAAACAGGAGCACGAGGATGCCAGGTGCAAGCACAGCGGGGGCCTTCATTATGAGAGGTTTATCTGCCAAAACAGGTTCAAGGCGAGAGCAGTTCAGTTGTCAGAAATGAAGAGAAAACTGAAAGACCTATACCATTTAATCTATCAGAAATAAAGCTTCCCAACTGGACTTTTACATAGAAGGAAAACAAAAACTCTAGCAAGTTTCACATAAAGATGCATTGTGCGGTTGGACATGACTCCACATAGTTTAATTTTAGAACTCAAGCCATGAACGAATAATTTTAGAGAACCATTGAGATGCAAACAATGTTCTGTATTAAGGTTGATACAGTAACTAAGTTAGACTCATTCAGCAATGAAAGAAAAAACATAGCAACTTTCTTTCTTAACCCCTTGCTGGTTGTTTAACGTGGTTTAATAACTGTGGTTAATGACTAGGTTGATATTTAAACTTTCTCTGTTAGTCAAGTAAAGGAACTGTGGTTCACATTCATTTATTCTAGAAATCACAGCAGGCATTGTTTTCTTGAGCGCATGTAGAATTACTAGGCTAAATTTAGCTTCCTTTTGGAAGAAAACAATCATAAATTCTAGAAGCAATATGATCACATGCTGTTTATAGGATTTTGTGTGGAGAGGAATGGTATGGTTATAATTTGGCTATAGTTAACCTATTGTTTTAGACAGACAAATGTTTAATGTAAGATCACTGGGAACTGAAAAACAGGAGGCTGAAAATGTATAAAATACAACATAATCTTCAGAACTAAAGTCCTAGAACTACTTCTCAGGGAAAAACAACATATTGTTCATTACCAAGTCAAAAAGCTATTTAGTAAAAAGAACATTATTTTAACATTTCATTGTATGCATATAGACAGTATTTCTATGAGGAAACATGAATGGGCCTGTTATTCAGTATTTAAAACTTAAGGTGCACAAGTTATAAACATTGTGAGTTCTCCTTATAATAGTTATAGGCAGGGTAGTAGGTTGGAAAGGAGAGGCCTTAGAATGAATATAAACTAAATAGGTATGACTTTTTTTTAAATAGCATAATTCTGATAGGACAAAGGGAGCCTCTAAAAACATACTAGGCATCATGACTGCCAAAGACTAACCCTGGATCTACAAAAACCACATCAGAAATCACTGAGCAGCTGGTATGTGCAGGGCACTGTGCTTGCGCTATGAGAAATGGGACATAGCCCCTGCCCTTCAGTGAAGCTGCAATGTGGCTGAGTGATAACACATATATGCTGATTATTGTGGCACTGCAAATGGTATTACAATACCCTGCATAGCACAAACCAAAAGCTACAAGTATCAAGGGAAAAAAGCACAGCCTGTACTTAGGATTATTATGATCATGAGCAATAGAGACAAGTTCACCATGTTGTGAGGTCCAGGAGAGCAAGGACAAGGTCTGCTTGGCTCATCATTGTATCCCAAGTACCTAGTACAGAGCCTGAGATGCAGAAGGTGTTAAACAAATAGATACTGAATAAATGATGAATAAAAATTAAGCCGAAATTCGAAGTTACATAATGGTTAAGTGTAGTAGCCAAAATTTGCGTCCAAAATTTTTTGACTCCAAATCAAAAATAATTTTACCCTACTAATAGTCTAAGAATTGGGGACTTTAAGAGGTGATTAATAATCATTAAGGAATTTTGAGCTAGACCGTCATACAATGAAGGTTTTACTCTAGGAAGATTGATCTGGAGGCAGGGTGGCTTAGAACAGAGAGATCCTGGCAATGGAAAGACCAGTTGACAGGCTATTTTTATATCCCATAATGAGGTAACAAGAGCCAGAACAAATATGGTAGCACCAAGGATAGAAGGAATGAATAAGGGACATATTTGAATAAGTAGGATTTGATACCCTAATATATCAAACACAGTGCAAAAAAGAAAGCAAAGACAAACAAAGATGATTAGCAGTTATCTGGAAAAAGTAGAACAAGTTATAAAACTAGGGTAGACTGCACTGGGAAGTTAGGCTGAATATATGGGAATGGTAGATTGGTTTTAACCACGTTGAGTCGGGTGTGCTGCTGGGAAATGAGTGCATATTCTCCTATAAGGATGACTAGCAGGTTTTACATTATTCACCAGGAAGCAGGTGCCTGGAACAAGTGAAGAATGAAAACTCTGGGCAGACAGAGCATTAGTGCCAAAGAACAGAGGCGGAAATGAGAAGGATTCTGAGAAGCCTGCCTTGACTGGGAAAGCGGCATGATCAGTCTTGGGTGAAACAGTATCTGTCTTGAGTGAGACACATGAGTGTCAGGTATTTGCCACTGCTGCACTAGAAGGAATAAAAATTTAGAACTTGATTGGCAGAGTAACAGAGACTCCACTCCGACTAGAAATAAACTTTGCACATTATCTGCACAGAGGTGATGGTTAAAACCAGGAATGGGTGTGTTCATGAATGGACTAGATGAAAGAAGAGAAGGCAAATGGCCTAAATCTTAGGGGATACCCACAGTTGAGAAATCTATGCAGGAGTCAAGGAAGGTTAAGGTCAGTGAGGCATCAAGAGAGCAAATATTGCACTGTGTCACAAAAGCCAAGTGAGGGTCTCAAGGAGGACGTTGGTCCACATGGAACCCGTTTGTTGATCTTCAAGGCAGTAGTTTCTATAGTAGTATCAGATGTTAAATTGAGGGAATGGGTGATGAAGAAGTAGAATGTTTATCAAAGGGAAGACAAGCAAAAAGTAGTAACAGGGTGAAAAGGAGTTTAAATTGTGGGAAAGACATATGATTATTGGCAGGACCCCCCTTTCTTCTACTAACATTTATTGGATGTCTACAAAGACATGATGCCCTTCCCTGGGAAGCTCAAGTCACTTGATGGTTAACAGTTATCAGAATGCAGAGGAAGGGAGACCAACTCGACTGGAAATGATGCTAGAGCCGAGTCTCAAAGGAGGATAAAGAATGAAAATTCCTGGCTGAGCGCGGTGGTTCATGCCTGTAATCCTAGCACTTTGGGAGGCTGAGGTGGGCAGATCACTTGAGGTCAGGAGTTTGAACCCAGGCTGACCAACACTGTGAACCCCCATCTCTACTACAAAAAAATTAGCTGGGTGTGGTGACAGGTGCCTGTAATCCTAGCTACTTGGGAGGCTGAGGCAGGAGAATTGCTTGAACTTGGGAAGCGGAGGTTGTAGTGAGCCAAGATCGTGCCACTGGGGGTACAGGTTATGAAG
Source organism: Homo sapiens (assembly GCF_000001405.40). Lineage (NCBI taxonomy): Eukaryota > Metazoa > Chordata > Mammalia > Primates > Hominidae > Homo > Homo sapiens. The sequence goes on along the minus strand of NC_000007.14, from coordinate 116,695,908 downwards.
GGATAAGCCAAGCTAGAGAACTGTAGTTGGACCAGAGGACAAGATGAAGCCTCAGTAAGGCAAAGCCATGTAATAATAAAAATAACAAGAACATGTATTGAGTGCTTACCATATGGGAAGCATTCTGCTAAACTCTTTGATTTACTCTTCATCACCACCCTGTGAAGAAGGAAGTATTATTATCCTTCTCTTCTAGATAAGCAAACTTGCTAAAATCACACAGTTAGAACCAAGATTCAATTCCACGTCTGGCTAACAAGAACCCATCCATGCTCTTAAGTGCTTCACTATGCCGAAGCAGCTTCCAAAGCGAGGTGGGAGCATGCACTAGAACAGAAGTCAGACAATCAGCCCTCTGATTCTAGCCCTTTCCCTCTCTAGCTGTGTGACTCCAGGCAATCACCCACCTCTGAGTCCCAGGGTCAGATATTCTCACGTGACCATTTTAAGGATCAAAAAGAGATCTCATCTCTGAAAGCACTTTGATCAATATAGAGTATATATAAATGCTTGCTATTTTATCTGTAATTCTCATTGTTTTGCAATGTACTAGCAAATTTTTGGTGCTGGTAGAGGGAATAACAAGGGATAGAAGAAAAGGATTAGGGACAATTTGTTGTACTAGAGGGCAAATACAAACTGTAAACCAAACTGCAAATATGTATCTAAACCATCTAGAGCACAATGGGAAAAATAAATATTATGTGAAAAGTTAACTGCACTTATCAATATGGTATCAGTGTATCTAACAAAATTGAGCTTAATATATAATTTATTGCTGTATTTTCTGTAGAAATTATAATGAAAGAAAGGAAACGAATTATTATTGCCAAAAGGGAGAAAAATATTGTAACCAATTTGCATGTTAGTTGATGTCCATTAATGCAGTGTGAAGTGTGAATGACATTTTTTCTTCTAGGCTTTTTGAAGGAGCCTTCAAAATAATCTGTAATCCTAGCACTTTGGGAGGCAGAGGTGGGTGGATCACGTGGTCAGGAGATCACAACCATCCTGGCCAATATGGTGAAACCCCGTCTCTACTAAAAGTACAAAAATTAGCTGGGTGTGGTGGCGCATGCCTGTAATCCCAGCTACTTGGGAGGCTGAGGCAGGAGAATCTCTTGAACCAGGGAATTGGAGGTTGCAGTGAGTTGAGATTGCGCCACTGCACTCCAGCCTGATGACAGAGCGAGACTCCATCTAAAAAAAATAAAAACAAAAACAAAAAAATTAGAGATATTATATTAAATTATGTTTTTAAAATAAGATTCATATCTTAAGGTTCGCACATAAGTCACACACTGTACTAAATCTCAGTGGACAAGAATCCAAGAAAATGTACACATGTAGAAATAGGCTTTTTGTTACTTCATTTGATGAAATGGAAAATCAGTGGGGAAGAAGAATATATTTTCTATTTAAAGAAAAACCCTCACAGAACACAGTTGGAGTTAGTACCTTAATCTCCTACACCTTCTTTACATTATCTGTTACCATATGGTGATGCCATTTTTCAAGTGAATACATCAAAAAAAGGTTAACTTTTTTAATTAAAGAAAAAAATGGGACTAGGGCCTATTGTCAGCAACAGAAATTTTAATTAAACTAGAGGTTTCTGTTTAAACCTCAGATAATGAGAAAATGTAATCACCAAAAACGCCCCATTTCCTTGATCATTCCCATTAATAAAGGCCCTTCCCCATTAACAAAGGTGTGTGTTGGTCAGATCAGATCTTTTCTGGGAAACGTTTTGTGTCCTTCCTAAGGAAAGGAGGGAGACCTTTTAGAAGTATTTGGCGCTGAGCTGGGCACTATGATGATAACTGCTAGTTAAATGAGTGACAACTGAGAGGCCAAGTGCACAGGCACTGGCCAGATTTTAGGGTTTAAATCCAATCACTGTCCATGTTACCTTAGGCAAGTAAGTCTAAGCCTGTATTTTCTCATCTAAAATATGGGCAGGATTATAGTACCTACCTCACTTGTGAGAGTTATTCTAAGGATTCAATAAGTTAATGCATGTAAATCACTAAGAACACTGCCTGGCACATAGCAGGTCAATGCATGTTCTCTATTGTTCGTACATGGCCCCCAACAAACACTTATAAGCATCTAAGTGTCAGATACTGTACAGAGTGCTGAAGATACAAAGATAAATAAAACGCTTTCCAAATGTCAGTGAGATCTCAGGCCAGTAGTGGAGATAGGCAGACTATAGTTTAAACTCAATGTAGAAATGTCTATGGAGGCCCTTAAAGGGGAACTTAACTAGGACAGAAAGTCACGTGGGCTTACCAATCAATCAATCATGGTGCTTTCCTCATAATGCATTCACAATTCTGAGGTCAAACACTGGAGAGGGCCTAGGTTTAGTTGTGGCAGTGCAGCTAATTATTTGTATGACCCAGGCAAGTCACCCAACTCCTCTGAGGTCAACTGCTTTCTTATTTGAAAATTATAATGCTGAACCAGCTGTGTGCTGGCTCATGACAGCCTACTATGTGCATCTCTTCCCAACTTGTGTTTCAGTGACCTCATCTTGGTAGCCTAAAATCAGCCATGGTGGCTGTATTGACACCATAGAAATTGGCAAACACTACAAATCAGGGCTTGTTATTAAAGCCCGCAGAGGGATGGTTATTAAATATTTAATGGCATACTCCTGGGTGGAACTAAAGAACTTCAAAGTGTTTTCCAATTCTAATAATTTTCAACTCTGAGATTGTTCCTCTATGATTACATTTTACACCAATGCCATTGACTTGGCATATTATTGCTTTCACTTCCTCATCTATGTAACTTGCCAGATCTGGCTGTGTGAGCATTTTAATATTTATATTGGTAGTGAAATACTCCAGAAATACTTTCACTTTTCATATATTTTTGTCCTGATATATTTATTCCCCCATGATGTGTCTGGATCAGGCTTTCAATATAGACTGTCTTTTCACTGTTTCTGTTATTTTTGCTTTCTGAAATAGAGCTAGCCATTTAACCAACTTTGAGTTCCCTGCTAAAAGGAACACGTAAAGATGATTCAAACAGACTGACTAATTCATTCTCTTAAAATGTTGTGCACATATCAGGTGAAAGTGAATCATCCATAAAACATTTCTTTATTTCTTTTCAGATGAAAGTTAAGGTAATATCACTGGCAAAACATTTCCTGGGAGTGATCATCTCAATGGCACCTTGGCCACTAAACTATTGATATTTAGGAGTACTTCCTTTAAAGAAGATGGCTGTTATTAATAGTTACAAATACCAGTTCAGCCTACCTTTAAAACCAGCGACTTAATCTGTCCACCATCTGCCCACCTCTGGTTTTCTCATTCAACTAGCTTACATTGGTCTTTTCATTTCCCAGAAATCTAGCGATACATTCAAATCTCTAAGTATTCATTGAGTAATTGTCAACACTATGACTGTCCTCATCATAAAAACATTGCAGAGCCTACAAAAATGTATATTGCATTCAAACACCGATTCCTCAGGAAAAAACCCAACAGAGGCAATAGAATAAGTTTCTTCTTAAGAGAGAGACTTTCTAAACCGTGACATAGGTAATTTTGCTTTCTTTAGGGATTAATTTTCTTAGCTGTCATAATTTATAACTATGTAGATAGCACTTTATAGTAAATAGATATGGTCAGCTCCATCATCTCTTCTAATCATGATTACCTTATAAGGTAAGCATTATCCTGTGTTTCCAGATGACAAAACTGAGGTTCAAAGAGGAGAAAATATTATCTGAAATCTACTAAATGAGCAATTCAGTTCTTCTGAGTGTATTTCTAATTGTTTTAAAATGTATGATCCTTATTTGAATTGTTTTAAATTATTTGCATTTCCTGGAAAAGATTTTTATTCCAAAGGCACAGTATTTTAATAAATACCTCTTTTTACCTTCCCAGAATCCACTGTCTCTTATACCGGCAACTCTTTTGAAAATTCTCCCTCTCCTATCTCCTGGGACTGTCAATCACATGGTCTACATCTTTCAACACAGAATGAGTGTGCAAACCAGGCTGGCCTTTCAACGAACTCTGTTCTCTTGACACGGAGCTTGGTCAGGGTTGAGTATGTGGCCAAAGCAAGGCCAAACAGAATCTCTTTGGAGATTTAATATGGATGCTGGGAGAGGGCCTCTTTCATTCTGACAGCATGAGCACTAAAGATGATGTTAACTTGGGATGTCTGATGCCCATCTTTGCCACTATGTGGAGAAAGCCAGCCTGAGCATGAAACTGACCCAAGAGGCCAGAGAGCCCAGACACGGAGGGAGGCAGGCTCCTGATGTGATTGTCTGAGCATCTGTATCCAGCCATGTCTTAAGCTAAGGCGAGCCAGTAAAATTTCTTCTTTTCTTCCTTATTTCTTTTTTTAAATAAGTTTAAAAATGATTCTTTCATTCCTTGCTCCTGAAAAGGTCCTGAGCTAACAATGTCCAGTAGACAATACTACAAACTTGAGTTTAAACACAAAGTCAAGTGCATAAAACCAACTTTACGTAAAATATTCAAGTAATTGGGACAAAGATGGTCTCTTTATTTACTTGAATAATTACTTTAAATATTTCACTTTGCATTTGAGAACATATCTATTAGTTAAGATTTCTGAGGTGGTATACTAGTATTTTCTTATTATATAATTCTAAAATCTTCTACAATATTTACATAAGATAATCTCAAAATGGAAATAATGGATCTAAGTAAAGAGTTAAGATATAGAAACTGGAAAATATTTCAACATTGCTTTTAAGTGCAAGAAAGGGATTTATGATGATGGAATATGGCTGAGGCCCCATATTAAGGAAATTACAGTCATAAAAATAGCCATGGCTAAATCTCCAGGAAGACTTGCCAGAGTGAAATCTTAGGGAAAAATCTTAGCCCTGTCCACATTTATATTATGTTTATTAACTTTAAAAGTAGGTCTATTAAAATAAAGTTAAGATTCCAATAGAAGATTCCTAATGACATTTAAAATACTGTATTTATAAACACTCACTGTTTATGAAGAATCATATTACATTATATCATATGATATTAATCAAGTATTTGGGAGCACCCATTGCATGCCACGTACTTGACTAGATACTAAGAGTTTCTTCCCTCAAAGAGTGTACAGTCCGTGGATTTGAAGATAACAGGATAAACTCCGAAATCTAAATGTGCAACCTAAATGGAAAAGTGGATAGATCCACTGGGCTGAAAGCAAATTTGTAAACATGCTTAGTTGAATGCTTGATTCTTATGCCTAAAGACTTAACAGTTAGTGTTATGATCATCAAAAGCACCTACATTTACTTTAAAAAGATAAAACAATAGGCCATGTCAAAAATCCCTTCTATCGTAGCCAGACACTACCTTGACAATGGTTTCCAACAGTGAATCGAAGGGACAGGAGGAATCTTCAGAATTTTTCAGTGCATTCAACTGCTCTTTGGTATAATCACATTTAAACAGCCCAAAACATTCTGGAGACAAGGTGGAGTGTAGTGGAGAGAGTGTGGGCTTTAGTGTCAGACAGACTTAGATGGGATGTGAATATGGCCTTTTTCACTGACATGCCTTCTGATTTGAGTGTCAGTTTCTTATATTCAAAACGTGGGGATAATGATATACATCTCATGGGTTGGCCATGAGAGTTGGAGATAAACTGTGAGAAACACTGTCCTTCAGTTATGCAGCACACCCTAGCATTTAATAATAGCTACTATGCTTATTATCCTAACTTGTGTTTTGGCCAGTTTTTGCCTGCCCTCATAAAAAATGAGGAAGTTGGCACAGTCCCTTGGGTGAGACCACTCCAAATACCTGGTGACTGTTTCATCACTTTAGTCCTCTCATCTAAAGTTTAAATAGTGTTATTTCTTCTTTTCCCACCCTTTAGCCATCTTGTGGTTTTCCTCTAACCTCGGTTCAAGTTCTTGAAGCCCTTCGAAAATTGCCCCCCAAGACAGAAGCCACAGTAACAGCCTCCCATACTAGAGAAGTAAAAACAAATAGGAACCAGTATTTTAACTCTTTAAAAAAGAGTTAGCTCAGGCCAGGCACTGTGACTCACGCCAGCAATCCCAGCACTTCAGGAGGCTGAGGCCAGACGATTGCTTGAGTTCAGGAGTTTGAGACCAGCCTGGGCAAACCCCATCTCTACAAAAAATAAAAAAATTAGCCAGGCATGGTGGCATGTGCCTATAGTCCCAGCTACTGTGGAAGCTGAGGTGGGAGAATCACTTGAGCTAGGGAGGTTGAGGCTGCAGTGAACCGTGATCACACCATTGCACTCCAGCCTGGATGACAGAGCCAGACTCTGTCTCAAAAAAAAAAAAAAAAAAAAAAAAAAAGAGTAAGCCCATATCCCAACTGAGATTTAGCAAGTAAAGATATAGGATGCTGAGTTAAATTTGAATTTCAGATAAACAGTGGATAATTTGTTTAGTATAAGCATGTCCCAGGAATGTATTTTATATGACAATCCTAGTCGTCAGCAAATGGGGAAAAATAAGGGAACAATAATCTTTTTTACCCACAAAACTCACATTAAAAAGATTTGGGCCAAATCTATTTATCTGTTGGGGTAGAATGTTTTTAAAGCTTTCTGTGGTATATATGTATTGCAAAACTGCATAGCATTTTTTCATTTGGGTTTGCTTCTGTGCATCTAAAACATGTTTTAAAAGTTCCTGGCAGGTGGTTTTAAGTGTCATATGAAGGTATAACTATATGAAAGGGAGTAAAGAAACTTTTTCCCCTCTATAGTTGTACTGTATGTGGCAGCCTGTCATTTACATGAAATTTCTGAAACAGAAAAGGTATTCCCAGATTGATTTACATGCTTTATTTATAATAAATGAGCTTATTAAAAAATTCAAATACAGGTGGCTATAGGAGATAAACAAGTTAAGCTTTGTACAGGAATGATTTGCATGTGTTATAATTAATGTTTCCAGGGGGTGCTCTAAACGGTTTCTTGATTATTACACAAATGTTGTTTCTTTGACAGATAGTGCTTTTATTCAGATTCTTATCTGTTTTTGCATCCCCTCTTAGTCCTATAATCATTTAAAAAGTTGAAAATGGCTGCCTGTTAGCATAAGAAAAAGCCAATTGTGCATTTTCTAGTTGTAACATATGATTGAGACTATTATCCAACTCTGATATGGCAAGAGTAAAGATAAAAAGAATAGAATGCCATTATATCCTCAAGATTATCCTTTATAAATTCATATTCTGTCAGCAAACATCTTTGTCCTTTTAAGAATGGTTGAAAGTACTCAACTTCTTGGAAAGAAGAATAAATGGACATTTGTTTTTACCATTGTACATAATGTAAAAAATATTGTTCAGAAAATACATTGAACTCTCAGAGCCCTGATTGACAGATGGGCTTTTGTCCCATTAATAAATTGTAGGTCAGACAAAAATGTTTCATTGCCCTTGAAAGTGTGAAGGTTGAACTTCCCCAATGTAAAGAAAGTGCTAAAATGCATGAAAACTTATACAAGTATTTGTTTTCGTATTTTTCAGCCAAATGGATGGACATAATTTTGTGATTCAGACTGTGTAGCAGTGTTACCAGTTTTTGTTCAATTAATCCAGGAAGACTGAATAACATAAATCCGCAAATCACATTTGAGAAACATCTTTCCAAGTCTATATATTAAAAAAAAAAAGAGGCAATCAACCTTTGCCAGTTGCATTCAAATACTGGGTTTGGAAAGGATAAACCGACTGAATAGTCAGAATGTGAACCACTGAAGGGAGACAAGTTGGAGAGGAAGCTGGTACATTACTCACGAATGAATCAGACATCCCCTCCCTCCGTGTTTGAAAATGTCCTCGGCATAAAGCATGGTACAATTCCAAACGAGGAACTATGCTCAGGATTGGATTTATATGACTGATCAGTTTCCTCTGCTGTTATCGAAAGCAGATATCAAATGGCTGTGGAGGAATGCAGGTGGTGAGTGAACCCCATTCTTTTCACAGTGGCTGTCACACAAAGAAAGAGAAATCAGCACCCAGGGACAGAGAGACAAAGGGGAGAGGTGTGAGGGTGCCAAAGGCCAAGCCCCCTCTAGTCTCAAAATGCAGAGCGTTTGAATGAGCTGGGCGTTCCTTGTAGTGCTATTTTCTCTTAGGTCTGAATTTATTTTGCTTATTTGCTCACACCTGAGAAATTTTCTTGGAAATCAATGTTTGCAAGTAGACTCTGACACTGGTATGAACTAAGGTCTCTTTTTCACGATCAAAATTGTCAGTATATGACATTTTCTTATTTAGGCAAAGTAGACAAGAATTGTTAGAAATCATGAGAATACTGTGAATGTGAAGGAATAGCCAAACCTGGCCACATTTTGTACAGATGTGGATTCCTTGGGTGAACATAATGCAATCCTAACAGTGTTGGAAGAAGAATTAAAAGTATATGAATAGCATTATGTTGAGATCAATATGTCACCAGAAAATAAAGAACCAAACAAAACTGTTTACAAAAATCTTAAACACTTTTAAAAGAATAGAGAATGCTGAGCAAATAGATTCTCATAAAACTAGGATAGTACAGAAAAATAAGTACAGAATCCAATTTCTGAAACTCAGTAAACACTCTGGATCCTTGAAAAATCAATAAAGCAAAAGGTTAGGACAACCTGAAAACAACTGTGCTTAGGATTGCATTTACGTAACTCATCAATTCAAGGAAAACAATTCAGGGCAGGTTGTGTGTATATAGGCGGTATGTGTATTTATGGGAGAGGAAAGAAATAGAAGAGAGAAGAGAGGGCAAGAAATTAAAACAAACAACTTTTCCAACCATACAGGTGTTGCCCCTTGACTGGGAATCTCCACCTTCCACCTGCAACACGCCCAGGCTGTGCTGTAAAGGTGTGCGCATGTCAGTGGAGCAGCACGGGGGAGAAGAGCTAACTATGCAGACAGAAAGCGGGGCCAAGGAGTATTTCAGAGGGGATACTACTTGAGCTGTGTCTTGCAGGATAAGTTGGAGCTGCTCAGGTGCAGCTGAGGTAGGGGACAGACACTTTGGGTGGAGTGGACTCACACACGGGCACCTGGGGAGAAGATGCAGGGTTGTCCAGGAAGCTGCAATTGGCATAGAGGCCAGGTGGGCTGGGTTGACAGTGGAAAAAGGTATAAGATTAGGCTGTGGCCACATTAAAGAAAGTCTGATATGTTTTGTTGAAGGATCTCCAGAGAATCCCGAAATCCATCTCTCCAATATCACTTTTGTCTATGCAACAGCTATTTAAGACCAAATTTGACAAGTATTTACTGGGGTCCTACTATGCATCAGATGCTTGGGATACATCAGTAAACAAAACCCAACACCCCTGCTCTTGTGGAACTTACTTTTTAGCTGGGGACAACAATTAATACCCATAACAAGCTGATGATGTAGTGTTTCAGAAGTTGATGTGTGTTACAGGGAAAAACAAAAAGTAGGGCTGGGGCATCAGAACTGCCTGGAGGAGAGGTATGGGGATAGGTTTGTAGCTCGGAAATTGGGAAGGTGGCTTTTGTGGACCCAGATGTCTGAGATGGGAAAAGAGATTTCTGGGCAGAGGCAAGAAGGAAGAACTAAATGTGCCTGGTGTGTCTGAAGCACAGCAAGGGGGCCAGTAAGCCTGGACTTTGTTGACCGGGAGCTGAGATCAAAAGGACAAAGAAGCAGAGCATGTAAGGCCTTGTAGGCCCCTGGGAGATTCAGGTTTTTATTGGAGTGAAATGGGGAGTCATTGCAGGGTGTTGAACAAGGGGGGATTATGTTGGAATGTATTCACCTCGATCATATGGGAGAGAAGACTGCTAGTGGCTGGGGGGCAGTTCAGGGCAAAGGTGGAGTGGTGAGGCCAGCTGGGAGGCTCCAGTGGTGTTCCAGGAGGGGGACCCTGGTGGCCTGGGCCAGGAAGGAAGGGGAGAGTGGGGAGATGTGGCCGAATTCTGGTTCTATTTTGAAGACAGAGCTATTTTGTCACATGCCTCAGATCGAACTCCATCCGGATTTACTGATGGAGTCAGATCTGAGGCATGTGAGAAAAAAAGGAGAATATGCCAAGGATTTTGACTTTTTTAACAGAGAGAATGGCTTTGCCAGTTACCGACATGCAGACTCTGGTTGGTGAAGCATGTTTGTAGGATATGAGGAGACCAGGAATGTAGTTTTGCCCACAATGGAGGTTTTTTTATTTTTATTTTTTTGACATGGAGTCTTGCTCTGTTGCCCAGGCTGGAGTGCAGTGATGTGGTGTTGGCTAACTGCAACCTCCGCCTCCCAAGTTCAAGCGATTCTCCTGCCTCAGCCTCCTGAGTAGTTGGGATTACAGGCACACATCACCACACCTGGCTAAATTTTGTATTTTTAGTAGAGACGGGGTTTCACCATGTTGGCCAGGCTGGTCTTGAACTCCTGACCACCACCCGCCTCACTATCCACCCGCCTCAGCCTCCCAAAGTGCTGGGATTACAGGCATGAGCCACTGCACTCAGCCTGACATACATTTTTTAGGCATCTAAGTGGAGATGCCGGGCATGCAGTTGGATGTTTGAGTCCCGGGGTTAAGGAGAAAGGTCTGGGCTAGAGATTTAAATTAAGAAGTTGTCAGCATGTAGACATCATGAAAAGCCATGAGAGTGGATGGGATCTCCGAGGAGAGGGACTGTAGAGAATGAAGAGAGGAGGACTGAGTGATGGCGCCACCAAAGCTAATAGGTCAGGAGACAAAGACAGATGGGACAAGAGACCAAGAAGGAGCAGTTGGATATCCTTCTGTTATCTCCATCTACTCCCACAAAACCTGGTCTCCCTCTCTGTATCCTACCTCAGTGCTGAACATGTCCCATATTTCTAGGACATCATCTTTGACACCCACCTACAAATATTTTAAACATGTCCATCTCCTTATTGGCTTCCATGCCCATGGTCAGGGCAGTGTCACTTCATACCTGGATTACTACAACAGCTTCCTCGCTGGTCTTCCCTCTCCATTCTCACCCTGATCATCTGCCCCCTAGCATACCAGAGATATCTTTCTAAACTGACAATTTGACTATGTCACTTCTTTGCTGAAAAAAAATGTCAACCCCTTGGCAGAGCTTACAAACCACATACCATTTTTTTCTGCCCCACTCTCCAGTCTTGCCTCTTGCCATCACACCATTAGAAATCTAGGCTCTGGCCACTCTGCCCTCTTCCAGTTCTTGAAGCAAGCCATGTGCTCAGCCACTCTGGGTTTCAGCACATGTGGATCCCTCTTTATGGATATTCTTGCCCTCAACTTCACATGGATAAGTTGTCCTCTCTCTTCAAGCCTCATCTTAGGGAACAGTTCTGGGAAGCCTTCTCTGATGCATCTCTTACCTTCTAGTAAGGAATTAGGAACTCTCCTATGTGCTCAAACATCAAACCTGTCTTCCCCTTATCTAGCCTTTACCACACTATATAGTAACTTATTTATCTGTGTCTCCCATCAGAGTGTAAGCTCCACTTTTAGCCCTTAGCATAGTGTCATTACATGGCACTTAGTAAGCATTTATTGAATGAATGGACAACAGAATCAATCAATATACAAAAGAATGTTCCTGAACAAAGTTTCTAGCATTATGGAAAGAAAGGAAGGACTAGATTATACACATATTAAAGTGAGAAAAATTATGTGGGAATTATTCAATATGGATTTTGATTGTAGAGGAGACTGAAAAGCCAAGAATGGCTAAAAAATTGTCTATCTGGGTATCATAAACCAAGGTAAGGAAAATAGGGAGAGGAGACTTTGAGGGTAAAAGTAATTAGTTGAGTTAATAACCCTGATGTAGCTTCTGGTCATCTAAGTGGTGGAGTCTGTAAGGTAGCTGACAACATGAAAGTGGTGGTCTAGAGAAAAGAGGAAGTGAGAGAGAGCGGTTTGTGAACCACTCGTCCATCGGTGTATTGGAAGTCACTGAAGTGAGATCACTTGTGAATGTGTTTTGTAAGTAGAAAGGAGGAATTCAGATGGAGCCTTACAGAAGACTAGAATCTAACCTTTATGTTTTAAAGGGTAAAAAGAACAATTGTAGGCAAAGAAAATGTGGAGAGATAAGCTAAGGAGAACTTTCGAGAAGGGAGAAATAAAATGTATGGTGTCAAATTCTACAGACGGGTCAAAAGGGATAAAAACCAGTGTCCATCAGATCTGGCCATGAGGAGGGCACTGGTGATTAGAATGAGGACACTTTCTTGGGCATGTGGTACAGACTGCTTGAGTTGAATGACTTAAGAATGAATGGGAATGAAGAAAGTAGAGAAACTGAGTTAGACATTTATTTTCAAGAATTCATTATTTAAAGGCTAAAATGAAAACAGGAGTGACTACTTAAGGAAATTGTGTATTCAAGATCCTATCAGGATGCCTGATGTGTGTGTTTTATTTCTTTCTAGAAGAATCAGTAAGTTGAGTAAGAGGTGAATGAAAAATAGAGAAGCCATGGAATACTATGCAGACATAAAAAAGAATGAGATTCTGTCTTTTGCAGAAACATGGATGGAATTGGAGGCTGTTATCCTTAGCAAACTAACAAAGGAACAGAAAACCAAATACTGCATGTTCTCACTTATAAGTGGGAGCTAAACGATGAGAACCTATGAACACAAAGAAAGGAACAACAGACATTGGGGTCTACTTGAGGGGGCAGAGGAGGGAGAGGAGCAGAAAAGATAACTATTGGGTACTAGGCTTAATACCTGGGTGATGAAATAAACCCTGTGGCACGAGTTTACCTATGTAACAAATCTGCGCATGTACCACTGAGCCTAAAATATAATTTTTTTAAAAAAGAAAAATGGTGAGGGAGATTTTAAACACGGGAAGAGTTGTAAGGTGGGTAGGATAGAGGGAGGAGGTGCTCACAGGTGTGGGGAACAACAGGGTCAAGACTTAGGTAGAAAAGACTGTTTCATCCTTTGAGACAGAAAGAGGTAATAATGGGTGACATGGAAACAACTGGGCTTGTGTTTACTCTCTAAACTATAAGGAAAGATCTTATACTGAGAATAAGGAGAGCCCAAAAGATGCAAGAGCTTAAGAAATGGTGAGAGTTTGGAATCACTGCAGTGGGCATGGCGAAAAATTGGACTGGAGACATGCAAACAGACTTGCTGGTTAAGAGAATCAGGTGCTATGAATTGGGCAAAATGGGAAAGAACCAAAACAAGAATGAAAGTTCACTCCAGGTCATCCTTATCCTAATGCACAATGTCCATTCTCATTGAACGTCTTCACTGTCAGTAGGCAGGTTTGGGCATTAAATGGTTACATAATTATGAACTCAGTGGTAAATTCCTTGTAATGTTTATATAATTCATCAGGTCTATGGGCCCTTATTAACAGAAAATGCCAGCATTTAATTATTTTTATTTCAAAACCGGTTTTATTGAATTCTGCAAGGAATAACTTCAGGGAAAAGAAAACACATTGAAACAGATACTCTCCTCTCTTTTCAATAAAGCCAACAGTCTAAAGATGTTAAAGAAATAAATCACATATAATGATCATCTAACTCTGAAAATTAAAACCCATTTAGGGATTATGAAGGAACCTTGATCCTGGATACCAGTCTAAGTTATTCGTCTAATATCTTTAATAATGTTTGGAAAGTAATTAATCAACTTATGACATAGATTCAAGGGCTGTCACCTTTCATTGTCATTAATGAAACTGTCTGGGATTTTATCTGCACTTTTCTGGTGATTTAAAGAACAATTTTTTTTTGGTAAGTTCTTTGAAGACCAAAAGAATGTTTAAAATCACTGGGCCTTGACGTACAGATTTCAATGAACAATAATCCAAGTATGTGTTAGTGAGACCGAAATAAAATTTAGAAATATCTTAATTTTGACAAGACAGAAAGGGAATTTTTGAAAAGTCCAAAATGCATATTCATTTATGTTAGGAGGAAGTTTTTTTTTTTGTCAACAATCTCTGCTTTGGTTACTTCTTTACATAATACAAATTACAAATATCATACTATTTGATACTCATTAAAAACAACAATAGCTAAGGTAATATTTTAAGCCCAAAGGTTTGCCTAGGTCCTAAGTGATCATATTGGCTTGCTGTCTTTGTATTAACCAGATGGTTGTGAGACCACAGTCTCACTTTGGACAGTGTAGCCATTGGCTGGAGCCATATGAATTCTGCCTGAAGTGAGGGCAGAATCAGATGAAAGTGGCTCACCTAAGACCCTCAGAGGAGCCAAAAGACAAGTAGTGAAGGCAGGCCTTGATAGAAGCTTTCCTTGAATCTTTATATCACTGTCTAAATTCGTATTTAGAATAGAAAAATACAATTCCTACATCCATGCTAGTATGAACTTTGTATAGTCAAGGACCAAAGAAATGGTTTCAAGGTAGTATCCTCAAGGAAAGCTAATATATATCCCCAGAGACAATATCCCAGTGGAAAAGGATTACAGATAACAGGTTTTAGGGCCATAACTTTTGGTCCCAACAGGAATTTATAGATTATAATGAGCTAGATATGCTAGAATATTTCAGTCATGAAAATGGTGTAAAACCTTTATAAATTTGCCTGAGTTTTCTTTTTATATTTTGATTTCCTCAGAGAAAATGGAATTTCATTTAGAGTGCCTGGGAGTAGATAACAGAGTGCTTAGAACATGCCTCTGACACTCAGAATAAAAGCTTTCTCTGCTTCTGTGACATATTCCTGCTATTCTTCCTGGTAACTGAGGGGAGGACAGACTAAGAGGCCCAATTTAGGACTGGATAGATGATAGTCTATCTTTCTCCAGAATCAAACCACATGTAACACAAGTTGGCAGAAATTTAGACTTTGTAAAGCAATGTCTAAATTTTCCCACCATTTCCCAAGGTGGGAAAATGGTAAAGGTACCATTTTCCCATGAGCTTTACTTTATTCCATACCCTCCCTCCCCCACTTTTTCTGAGACAGGGTCTCTCTTTGTCACCCATGCTGGAGTGCAGTGGTATGATCTCGGCTCACTACAGCCTTGGCCTCCCAGGCTCAGGTGATCCTCCCACCTCAGCCTCCTGAGTAGCTGGGACTGCAAGTGTGCGCCACCATGTCCAGCTACTTTTTGTAATTTTTTTAAGAGGGGGGTTTTGCTATGTTGCCCAGGCTGGTCTCAAACTCCTGAGCTCAAGCCATCCACCCACCTTGGCCTCCTAAAGTGCTGGGATTACAAGCGTGAGCCACTGTGCCTGGCCTATACACCATTTTGACCTGCCTCTTTCCTACTTAGAATTCAGGCAGCCTGATTCTTAATGGGACACCCTCTTTATGACTTAGGGTGCACTCAAGCCCATGACCCTTCAGCATATCCCGCCCACCTTTCCCCTTCCTTTGCTCATTGATCCAATATCCCATCTAAACCTCCAGGCCTTCTCCTTTATTATCTATTTTCTATATATGGCATAAGAATTGTCATAAAAAATCTTTCTTAAATTGAACTACATTTTCCCAACTGTTCAAATACTCAGGCATTCATTCATTTTTCAAGTTGTGAGACCTTTACATTGGAATTTTAAAAGTCATGTAAATACGAATGTGTACAAAAACACTGATATATGATTTATTACTGATGGTTTGGTTCCACCAATGAAATAAAAATTAGGCATGTCTAAACAAAGCTGTATAAATAAGTCAGTGCTGATACAGTGCCATCTACAATTAAATGTCAAAACAAGCTGTAATGATAATGTATTTAGTAAATCTTCAGGTTAACCTAAGAGAATCTCTATTTTAAGACCCTATTAACACAATTTTCCTTTTACCCCCCCGCCCCCTCAAGATATAAGAAATTGCCAATTCCATCACCCCAAATGTGATACTAAAACAGCATGCTTTTCACCAGGAAAGGTTTTCTGAGGATAAAAATGTGATGAGCCATTAGAAATTCACAATATGGTATCAAGAAAGATCTCAATGCCTATATTTTAGCATGATAGTTTATTTCTTTAAGAGAGAAGGAGCTGCTGTCTCCAAAGCAGCCATTCTTTAATCATGTCATTTGAAATGCACTTAAAGCTATGTCAAATTCATATAGGAAGTCTGGTTACCAGAAAATACACATTCACAAACAGGAAATCTAACTACAGCAAGAAGGTGTTTTCCCCCGACACAATAGAGTTCAAAGATGTGTCATCCATGTAATTTGGAGCAATACCCAACACCACTCTTATTGCTGAGTATTCCTCTCTCCCCTCTCCTATATTATGACAACTCGTGATTATAGCATTACGTTTTCTAAGCCTGTTTGGACTTGCTGCTCTTGCTTATACATACAAGCGACCTGCCCTTTTTCTGTGCATAGCTTTCAATCAGTAAGCATGTCAAGGTGGGAGGAAGGATGACAGGAATAGTAAAAGGGGGAAAATCAATTTTCAGAAAGCATATGGCAACAACTGAATATTTAATCAAATTAGTCTAGAAATTCCTTCCTATTTTCAGCACTCTTTGCAAGGCAGTTGCTTCATGGTGCAAAATGAATTTCAATAAATGTCATATATTTAGTTAGATGGCTTATTTTAAAAATTTGTCGAACAAGGTCACTGACTTAGAATAGATCTTATTCCAAGGTATGACAGATGGATATCAATATTGAATAGAAGAACTGACATTAGCTAGAAGTTTCTGGGCAGAAGAAAGAGTCATTCAACACTCTACAAAATACTTACTGAGTACCTACTATGTGCCAGAATAAAATGATGAATATTTGGGCTTTGTATTTATATTACAAAACAGAGAGGAAATGTGTCAAAATAATTTCCTTGGGGTTAGTAAGGATTACAACTGAGTATTACTGGTAAACAAGGACTTTAAAAAGTGCTTAAAATTTTCACATTGCATCATTCAAACATCCATACTGTCATGGTTGCAAGATTTTAGACCTAATCAGATTTTTGAGGATGCTGTTTATTGACGCTTAGCAAAAACCAACTTCCTATTTTTTTCTGGAACAAAAAGGCCTTACACAATTTTAGAGATCTCTTGGACATCAAAGAGCTTAGAGGGACATACAGTTTGTGAGTAATGATTTAAGATTTAGTGAATCAAAGACACATGGATTAAATTTCCCTTAAAAGACCCCTAGGTTTAAAATTTAATAGCTAAAATGCTGGTCTAGATACACTCTGGTCCCAATGCTGGTCCCAAGCAAAGCCAAAACCTATTTTTAAAGCTAGGTTGAATTGTCTTATGGACCCAAACCTTGGCTGGGTTTTCCTTTCCCACATGATTAGGCCTCAAAGGAGGCAACCTATCTCTAATAAATTTACCACTTCTCTTTTTCTCTGACTTGCAAAGACCATATTATTTCAAAGGTCTCAGCTTTGAATGTCTTTCTTTACATTTTTAATAAAATATTAAAAATTAGAAATCTTCCACGGTCTTATCAAACAGTTATTCCCCAAGTCATTCTTTTTTAAAAAAAAACATACATTTTCAAATTGGACCTGAGAGTCTAGGTGCTGCCTCAGAATTCCAACTATTAAGGAGTAGGAGACCATTTCAAAACAGGAATAGACCACTGATCTTAATATGTATACTGTATGTGCACTGTTTCATGATATATTATTATATTTGCATTTAAAATAGTAGGAAGAAATACAGTACATAATCTCCCTTTCTAACACAGTGGCCTTCTGGAGGGCTGCTAGCTTGGGCATTTCACTGAGATTTTAGGATTAAAGGAAACAAATTAGTGCACAACCTGTGAGCTTTTATTCCTTTGGAAAAATAGATTTTAACACTGATCTGATTGCTTTTAAAGGGCACTGGAAACCAGGAGGGCAGTGCATGTTTTGAATTTCAATGGCAGGGTAATAACAACGGGTGAAGTTCAGTCATTTCCAGAGACAGAGACAGAGAGAGAGAGAGACAGAGAGAGAGAGAGAGAAAGACAATATTCCAAAGGGGGAGTTTATCCTGAATCAGAGAACTTGGAAATGAAATTGATGCATAAAGCCATGATGGATTCAGGTTTCAGAAAACTACTACTTCAGTTTAAGAATGAAATAACTAGATTACCCTTTAGTTTAGAAACGTACATAGTTTGATGTAAAGTATGTGGGCTGATGAGTTTAGAAAAATAACCACGTGCCAATAGGAACTGACATAAAATATTGGTTTTAAAAAATTTGTTTAGTTAATTTTCTGAGAATTTTAGAAAATAAAATATTTTGTAGAAGCAGTCCTGGGGCTCTCGGGCCATGCATGCTGCTGCAATTGGGACCATCAGGAGCCCAATCTGGCTTGCAGACTTTCTGCCACTGTAAGCTGTATGGTGTTTTAAAGACACTGAGTCAACATTTTAAAATTGGGAGAGTCCTAGCTTCTCTTGAAAATCTGAAAGATACTACCACATGGGCCCATGCCATACACTGAGCCTCACAACAGCTCTAATCACGCCAAGCAGTGACTGCCCCTCTGCTTTTCCTAAGCAGTTTGTCAATCCCTAGTGAAATGGTTAGTTTTCCTCATTTAAGTTACCTGTTTGCAAATCTTGATACAGGATATAAATAGGGGAATAAGGGAAAAGGAAGAAAAGAGGAAGAAAATCCAATGCAGTGACTTAATACTGGAAAGGAAAAGGAAGGAGAGCGAGGGGGAAAGAAAGAAGTGCATAGCAGACAGAAGCTGCACACCATCAGCAACTGCCTCTTGCTGTCTTTAGATTTATACTATGGAAGGGATCAGTGAAAAAAGCCATGGGTATCCTTCTCAACAAATCCCACTGTGACAGGCTCACAGTGTGGAAAATAAGAAGGAAAATTGTCTGAATGGAGCAATATCTCTGATAGAGGATGGAGTATGGGATGGGACCAGGCGGATGCAAAACAAAACAAAACAAAACAAAACAAAAAAACAAAAAAAAAAACAAAACAACACTCTGGGTCTTCTTCTTCCATGTCTCATAAACCAAGAGATGTGGGCCACTCCTGTATCTTCATCTTTAACATGGTAGCTAATGATGGCAGGCACTGTCCAGGTATTTCCCTACAAAAACAGGGGCACTATTCAGGTATCTCCCTCCAAAATCAGGGAGTCTATGGACAGTTGTGCAAGCTGTGAACTGCACAATTTCAGGAAAAACAAGATGAGAATAGCACTCCTGAGAAGTGCTCCTCATATGCGCCTGGCTCACTTCCTTATCTCCTTCAGATTCTAGCCCAAAGCCCACCTTTGAAGACAAGCCTTCCCTGACCTCACTATTGAGTTTTTCAATCACCATCCCACTCTCTCTTATCCTTGACAGTCACTATTCTCTTTTCCATTTTATTCTACCTTGAAGCTATTATCATCACCTGACATACAACACATTTCAGTTATGTATTTCTTTATTGTTTGCCAACTCAATAGAACAGAGTGTCATGAGGTTAGAGGTTTTCATCTGTTTTATACTCTGTGGAAATGCCAGATTTTAGAACTATGCCTCGTAGGTTGTCAAAAAATTGTCCTGAATGAATGACTAAATCCTCATTCACATTCTTGGAGTACAGGAACCTGGCTTTCACGATAACTTGTGATTCTCTAAGCACATTTCATAATTGCTATCCTTAATTATATTAGGAGAGATACATTTTCAAATTCTATTGCCCATTATATAATCGCCTGTGGGCCCTATAGCTACATAATTTATTATAGAAATTAAAATCAATGGGAGTAACCTACATAAACATACTTGCACACATTTATGCAATCACAGAGAGAAATATGTGTACCTGGGTATGTGATTACAAAGTTAACTTTTTTATTTCACTGAGCTCATACCTCCTGCTACAAATGCCACACGTGATTTTTTCTCTCAATTAAGTTTTACAGCTTATAAAAGCACTTTTTTCATTTTGTCCCATGAAAAGCAAAGTAGTCAGATTTTACTGGATGTTTTTATTGAAACAAATCCCAAGCGGAATATACTAACCTGTTTAACACAGCTGAAAAGATATCTGAGAATGGGCTTTCTGATAGAAGGATAGATTACAAAATTATTCACGGCTCTTAATCTGATAACAGGAGCAGAATGCCCCACACATATGAATGAAACCTTTTCTCGGTATGTCTCACTACAAAGAAAAGAAAAAAAGAAAAGAAAAGAAATTAAAAAAAAAAAAGAGAGAGAGAACTGGAGAAAGAGAAGGTGACAAAAACTCCAGGGACTAGATATGTTATATTCATCATTTACCACTATCTTAAGCATCCCTAATGATGCCTCCATGGAAAATGTTTCCAATAGTTGATGGCTGAGGAAAGGTGGTATGGTGCTATTGAAATAGCATGGAGCTAGTCTCAAGCTCAGTTTCCTTGTCTATAACATAAGAATGTTAAGATGTTATCAGACTTGCCTATCTTGTAAGGTCGTTTTGGTATCAGAAAGGTGATGTATGCAGAAACAGCTTGAAAATGTTAAGGTTTTTAAGTTCCAAACTTTGATTTTTAAAAAAAAATTCTATTATTTCATAGCAAATAGGATGATTTTGAAAGCGTTTCTCATGTGATGTCCTCTTAATAATTATGAATTTGTGTTCATTTAATATGTGATATTTGTCTGTGTATCTAGATCATAAACTTCTCAAGGGCAGATTCCATTTCTTTCTTTTAAAGAAAATGCTGTAGTACCTAGCACATATGATACTCTACCTATAGGTCCTAGCTATTTTTGGTCAGGCAAATGTGGATCTAGCAGCAACTCAGTGTCAGTTGAGAACACATCATCAAAGTGATTCTGAACTAACATTAGTCAGTGTATCTATCATTTATTACTGAGAAGTGACTATTTATTTTGCACTGAGCAAAACCCATGAAGAAACTCTGCCCTAAGGGCTTGGTGTCAAAAACACTAGTTTCAGCATACACCAGCCAGGAAAAGAAGGCTCACTTCCGGACACTTGAGTTTCTACATACATTTTCTCCCCTTAAGAGGGCACAATGAGGAAATTGAGTATCCTATGAATAAACACAGCAGACCAAGGAAATCTTAGGGATTTAGACCACGGAAAAGAAAGCGTAGATGGCTCTGGCGAGAATCACTAAGCCTAATGCCTAAAGAAGAAACGAGCAAACTGGGCTGGAGAAATGGGGGCACGGAAGGCCTTGAAAGCAGCTCTGACCAAACCAAGGGAAAGGGTTGAGGAGGAAGAGGACAGAGAAATGGGAGGTAATCTGAATGTGTGAGGAACTGTGCTCACCATGGGGGTGTTGCCATGTCTTTGGTGCAGCCACTTGGAGAAAATAAGCCAGTTAGAGGATGTTAGCTCCTCTGAGTTATTCACGTTGTTTTGAGATGACCACATTTGAGAAAAAGTTAATTTGAGACTATTATGTAGATCTGCAGAAGGATAATATGACTAATGCTACTTCAAACACTATTTTAAAAACAGCTAAGGAAATTGATTTTTGAAATGTATTTCTTAGTCTAGCCCTCATTAAGACAATTTTTTTTTAAAGATTTCAAGATTAATGCAAGGCATATACTTACATAGTCTTAAAAGGAATTTATAAAATATGGGTATTTCTCCTGCTTAGCAAAGGGTCATTTTTCTCTATTATAGGTTTAAAAGTAGTGAAAATATTAGTTATGAGCTTTCGTATTGACTGGCTATGATTAATCTGGTACATTTTTTATCATGAAGATAAACTCCATCAACTAATTTTGAAAGCATGTAGTATACATCTAATGTAAACCCCTACTGCCATGTATCAAGAACAAAGCAATTTTGAAAAAGCAGTAGTCGGCAGACTGTCTTCTATATGCCACAAATTCCATCATGTTAAAAGCAAAATATATTTAAGTTAATAACTATAGCTTATACACCATTAAGTTTGAAAACGGAATAGAATTTTTAAAACAGCAGTACATTTTATAGGCTATCAGACACATTTTTGTACTACCAAAATTTCTTATGAATGATGTAAATTTTCCCTCTGTTATTCAGCAGTTCAAAAAGAATGAACATTGAATACACCACAGACTTGCAAATGATAGGAACCAAAGTACCTCACTTATGTTCCATTATGGAAGTTTACACGTTCAAAACAAAGCTCAATTAGCTTAGATCAAGGAAGGAAAGCTATGTACCTGTAAATAATCCAAGCACCACTTACACTGTTTACATAAAAATGCAATTTATGTCCCTGTAGCACAGAGAAACATGATGTACATCATTTTCAGATCATCTTCATGCAGAAAAAATTCATTAGTCAGCTATAATAGTTTAGCTGTAAGGGAATATAATGTTTTTCTGAATCCATTTGCATGGCAATGTGCATGTGTCTGGCTGATGAAAGCGACAGAATAAACCCCCACCCAAAGCTACAGAATGTGAACAGTCTTCTTAAAATTCAAGAGAGGGTCCAGATAGTCTATATTGCCTCCAACGTCAGTTCTTACAATCCTCTCACATTCATGGACCATCTTAACATAGCAATTAAAGTATCTTGATTATTTTGCCTAAGAGAGTTGACAATATTTCATTCTGCCCGAGGGCTCCTTTGAACATAAAACTGTGATAAGGTAAAATACACTGGGCAACTATTCATGCGTGAGCCATTGGAGCCCTCTCCAACTGCCAAATTAGCAAATGGCTCTTTTAAAACATGAAAGATATGAATGGGAAACCGTACTTCGGAGTAAATTCTGCATTGACAATAGTCAGGGAAAGTACTTTCACTGGTGCTTTAATTATCGGGTCAGCACTACGACTGGCCACATCGCTCAGCCTCTGGTTATAATCTATTTCACCTAATAAGATAGATGTCCACCACAAGCCCCAGAAAGAGATAAGGTACGATGGAAAATTGATGGATCACAAGCCCCGCGTGATTGCCAGAAATGAATTCAGACTTTCACAGAAACACCTGCCCCTTGGAAGGACCCCAACATAACACAGATAAAGCAAGGCTGGGAACAAGGAAACAGCTCGGCTCAAACCTTGCCAGCTGCATCACGGTGGGACGAGGATGACCGGATCCCTTTTGTAAGGGCTGAGTCAGATCCCAGCTTTAAAACTTGCTGGGCCGTAACAGTCACACATCACCCACTGTCCCAGCGCCCCTCTCCCTCCTAAGTCATACAGGTGGCCATCAGAAGCAACCCCCTAAAAAGACAAGCCCCATTCTAGTTTCGTCCTCGCCGTGGCCACGTCTCTTCAGTTTCCGAAGCCCCTAAACTCTAGCCCACCTACGTGGTTTTGCCCCCTGGAACAGCAGTCAGGTCTCTTAGGGGAACAAAGAAAGCAGAACCCCTGAGGCGAGGGATTGGGTACTGGATCTGAAAGGGGCTGCAATTTTACCTTTCGGTGCCCAGGAACCAGTGGAGAAGTCAGCGGCGCAAGGACCACACGCGCGCTCCGCGCCTCCCCGCCTCCTCTCAGCAAGTCAGCTGTCGCCCCGCATCTGGCTCGCGCCCTCCACTCGGCTCCGCATCTGCTCACAAAGCGCTCGGGGCGCCGCGGGCGGCGAGGGCCTCCGGGTCACCTGCGGCCGGGCTGAGCCCAGCGCCCCGCCCGCCCGCCGGCCGCACTCCCTCCGCCCCTTCCCACACGCGCGCTGCCCTGCCAGTGACTCAGCCGGGCATCGGCGCGCGCGGCCCGCGGCGGCCCGGGCGCGTTGGGGCCGGAGGCACCGCCAGGCGACCAGACTGAGGCGCTCGCCTGCCCGCCCCAGCACGTGTCTGTCTGCCTCGCGTGCTGTCCGTCCCCTAGTCCGCGGGTTCCGAGGACCGCTGAGGTGGGGACTGGCACCACCCAGAGGGAAATCGGCCCCCGCCCTTCCTGCCGTCCGCGCCGCGCCTGGCCCCGCGGGGGTCGCGTTTCCTCCCGCCTCTGCCCCGCCCACGACAAGGTGAAACTTTCTAGGTGGAGAAGTTTTCTCGCCCTGGCTGCGCGCTCTCCTCCCCCAGCTCAGGCAGTCTGAAGTTAGCACAGCCGGAGATAAGCGGGACCGAGTCTCCCCCTCCTGGCGCTTGGGAGGCGAGTGTCACCCCGGGCTCAGATGCAGGGCGCGCACCCTCCTGGCACCCCGCTCGCTGACCCCGGGAAGGGCGCGAGCTTTGCTCTCGGCCTCTCCCACGTCTCCGCTAACCGCCCCGCGCCCACCCGGGTTTAGAGAGATTTGGGCACCGCAGAAACAAGGAGTTCATTGTTAGAGGCGGAGGTAGAAGTGGATGGACGAATTGTCCCAATGATTTCATTATGCAACGATTATCCTCTACTATAATAACTCAAATTTCTGCAAGGAAGAACAACAGAGGAGTTTAACCCTGAGGAGACTTCCATTTCTTTTTTTCTTTTTTTTTTTTTCCATAGCCGGAAGCAGGCTGATTAAATAACTGGGCAAATAGCGATGAATAAGCACAACAGAACAAAAGTTTAATTCTTGAATGTTGAAATCTTATGATGATTTTTAAAAAAGAGCTTTTGGGGCCTCGGTGAACTCTATTAGGAGTAATTGTGTTGGGATAACTTTGTATTTCGCTATAAAAATTGGCACCTACAAGAGTAAATGAACACTCAAAGGTAATAGGATCTAAGGAACGGGCATTGCCGGTTAGAACTTGAGTTCGTTCCGGCTCTCATACCAACTTGTTCAATCATGGCAATAGATAATGAGACATAGATATCTTCGTTATTGAAAGTCATGGGTTAAAATAACAGTTACTATGCAGGTTCAGTTCTTATTTACTACAGAATGAAACATAGAAAAATGTAGTAAGAATAGTTATCATTTCCCAAGTGCCAGGCACTTGGAAATGATAATGTAACCAGAGGTTACATAAGAGTGATTTCAGTCCTCAAAAGAGATTACCTCTTGATTCCCCAGTTTTATGGAAAAGGAAAGTTCCCATTACGTTACTAAAGTCTTGCATTGAACCATTTTGCAGGTAAAGAAACTGAGTCCCTAAAAGTTCCCAGGAGAGTCACATAGCTGGTTAGTAAGAGGGGCAAAGTTAGAACTTAGCTTTCAGCCCAGTCAGGTGTCCTTCACACCATACCAAGAGGCCTCAGCAGGCTAAATAAACAACGCGGCCTGACTGGAGATTTCCTGATACGGCATGGCATAATTTATCAATGACTATAGCTCATTAAAAAACACTAATTTACTGGTAATAAGGCACTGGGCCTATTTATGGACAGATCAATTACAGATTTTGGGTTCAGTAACAGCTTTCAATAAAAGATGAATAAATTAATGAATTTAAAAAGTTTTACACACACACACACACACACACACACACACACACAGAGCCATAGTTGTCTAAAGGAATGATTAGAGTGCTGTTTCTATTTCCTGGTTTCCATAGCAATATGTTAACTGGATTTTTAGATCACATTATGTAGTTGCCTTAACAGGTTTTCTGAGTTTGAGTGCCATGATAAAAATATAAAAGAAAAAATTTACAATTAAAGTTGTAGAAAGACCCAGAAAAGCCAATGCAAACTGGAAAATAAAATAGATGATAAATACAAACAACCCGTTGTGTATTTTCAGCACTGAAACTTTCTAGTTTCTAATAACTAACAAAATTTCAATCCAGTTTTGAAACTGTATTGAAAATCATCATTTCATTTATCAACTGTAAATAAGGAGATAACATTTTATGAAATAACATAACTAACAATAGCATAACTAAAAGTATCTGGGTGTGTGAAGGTCAAGTAATTTTTACACACTACCTAGACAGATTTGATTGGGAAAATGTTTACAGATAATTTCAGATTTTTGGAAATGAATGGAAACAGATATTTTAAAAGGTAATAGGAGTTCTATAATTCAATTTTGGTTTTGCAGCAAACTTTTAATTGTTGCTATTTAACTTTCCTTGGGTTCATGTCATGGGTGATACACTGTATGATGAAGTTCTGTTGGTATTTTCTTAACCAAACCAAATCTCTTGTGGTCCACACTGTTGGCTGGCTAAGCCAGCATCTGTTCCCAACGAGATTTTCCTGTTCCTGCCTCCACTCTTGGGGCTTGAAAAGAGAAATATTTGCTTTCCCAGACTCCTTTGCAGCTAGACATGGCCATGTGATGTCATTCTGGTAATGAGGTATAAGTTGAAGTCTGATGGGGCCTTGTGGGAAAGGGTTTAAGGCTGGTGCCACCCCTTTTCCTTTCTTGCTTCTTGATTTCATATATGATGCCCAGTGAAGAACTAACCATCTTGTGACCAGCATGCAGAAGTTGGTGCTGACATTGCTGAGGTACAGCCCTACTGCCAGTAGACACCTGCTTCCAGATTTCTTGTTTTGTGGAAAAAAAACAAAAACAAAACTTGTTCTAGACACTGGTAGCTGGGACTTCTGTCACCTGCAGCTGAAAGCAATTAAAACTGATAGACCCCTCAAATTGGGAACAACATCTCCAAGACTGAGTTGAGCATAATAGTTAAGAGTTTTAGAACCAAACAACCTGGATTTCAATCCCAGCTATGTCTCTTGCTAGCTGTGTAGCTACAGGCCAGTGGATTAAACTCTCTCGTGTCTCATCTGTGAAATGGGGATCATGATAGGGTTATTGTGAGGATAAAATGAGGAGCTACAAGTAGAGCACATGGAACAGTGTCTGGTAAAATATAAATGATCCAAAGGCATAAGCAGGTCTTATCCATCCACCTGTGGATAACATAATGTTGAACTACAAACAGGATCCCATCTCTTAACTTTGAGATGGGTCTAGTGATAGCTGTGACAAAGAGACAGAGGAACAGCCACCTCCTGCTCTAATATGCTCTATCTTTTTTTCCCTCCCTTTAACACATTAAAATTTGGGTCTTTGAAGGCACTCTTGAAGTTGGTGCTGTTTTTGAAATAAAAATGAAAGCAGTCTCCTAAGAATAGGGGCTTCATGCTTGCAATGTATGGTGAATAGGGCCCACAGACATATACAGGTGCACAGAATGTTTTTAAAAGTGTGAATTGAGGTAGAAAGACCATATGATCTGCTGTTTGCCATTGACCTACCATCTTCTCTTGGGTTGTGTCTGGCCCACCTCTGATCTTGATTTCACTTTCTCCTGTAGGCATTAGGATCTGTGATCCCTGCCTTAAAGAGTAGTTACTCTGGAACTCCTTCTTTCACTCTGTTTTTCCCTTCCTCCTGCCCCATCACCCCTATTATTGTGCCTATGGCAAATGTCTCTACAAAAAGACAATAGAAGAATTCAGGTAATGTCACCTAATGTCATTTCTGAGCACAGATAAAATTTGGAAATGTAGGACTCCTATTACCTTTTTAGAGCTATGTCATGTATGTTCGAATGTTGAAGGTTTTGAAAATTCATGTGATAAAACAAAACAGCAAAACCGAACCAAAAACCAAAAAAACCCTTCTTAACTTTGCTTACCCTACCATCTCCCCAATTTAATTGACCACAAAATGCTTTGATTTTTCTTAATATCTTCAGTGTCAATTTTCTATAAAATTAGTTTTATAGATTATACATTTTAGGAAACTTCGCGTTAAAAATGGAACTGCCAGCTACAGAGGGTTAAAACTGGGCACTTTGGATATGAACTGCTTTTATGTTGATTTGTATTGGTCATTTATGTGTGGCTGGGCTGTCTAAAAATAAATATGCAATGTTAAGTTATCTAAAAATATGACTGAGCATACTTAATATTGAGGACAAGAACAAGACTGCTAGGCTACAAGCTAAAGTATCACAATGTTAATTAGAAGACCTAGGAAATTGTAGGCAGAAAAATTAAGAAAAAATTACCGTCTCCAACAGGGTGCTGCAATTTTGTTAGTGATTTGGTTCATTTTCACATCCAGCTTATGACCTCTCTCCTAAAATCAGGCAAAGGTATAATGTATTTAGCTGTCACTTATTAAATGTGTACCATGTATTCATCATGAGTCTGGAGCTCTGCTTACATCCTCATTAAAAGAACTCCAGAATAGGTATCACCCTTCTCGGTTTACATTGAGGGAAATGAGGCTCAGAGAGATCATGTAACCTATCCAAAGTCACACAGCTGTCTTAAGTCTGTGTCTTTCCAGAATGACTGCACTTCCATTATAATTATTTATTTATTTATTTTAATTGAGATGGAGTCTTGCTTTGTGGCCCAGACTGGAGTGCGAAGGTGTGATCTCAGCTCACTGCAACCTCTGCCTCCCAGGTTCAGGTGATTCTCCTGCCTCAGCCTCCTGAGTAGCTAGGATTACGGGCTCCCGCCACCATGCTAGTTTTTGTATTTTTATTAGAGACGGGGTTTCACCATGTTGGCCAGGGTGGTCTTGAACTCCTGATCTGAAGTGATCCACCCACCTCAACCTCCCAAAGTGCTGGGATTACAGGTGTGAGCCACTGTGCCCGGCCTCTGTTATAATTATTTTAAATTGTCTCCGGTTCTGTAGTGAATGATGCAGTCGTTTAACTGGGAGCAGTAGACCTATTTTTTTTAAGCTTTTATTTTAGGCTTAGGGTTACATGTGCAGGTTTGTTATACAGGTAAACTCGTGTCATGGGGGTTTGTTGTACAGATTATTCCATCACCCAGCTATTAAGCCTAGTACCCAAAAGTTTTTTTTTTTTTTGAGAAGTAGAACTTAAGGCACTCTTTCATTTTCCTTCTCTGTCTGCAAAGTCAGCCACAACCTAAGGCATGGCCACTTCTCTGCTGGCTTGATCATTGGGGACTGATGTTGCAGTGCAGGCCAAAGGTGCTATGCTGTCCATCTGTAGAACACTGCACAGGTCGGAGCCAGGGTCCTAGGCAGTCAAGCTGGCCTAAGTGGTGGGCTGTAGGTGCCTAGGACTCAGACCTGTGGGATGTGAAGAGGGACTGGAATGTTCCTTCTCTAGTGCCTCTGTTTTCTCAATTTCTGATCTCTCCTTTGGGAACCTAGGGAATGTGAGAAATAAAGGAAAAACCAGATGACAGGCAGTGAGAAGTCCTAAGAGAGGATATTTTGGAGAATCTCTGTCCTCTTGGAAGATGAGAAATTAAGGCCAAGACTTCCAAAAAGTCCTGGAAGGCTGCTTCCATAACTCTTTGACCTATCGATGCCTCTATCTCCAAAGTCATGTTCATTTATTTTTCTTTTCTTTCTCTGTCTTTTACCTTCTGGTAAATTTTGGGAAAGAAAATTTTCATTTTTATGCAGCATACTATAGCATCATTTCCAAATGAACTTATCCAGTCCATCTGTTAATTTAAACTTTGACACTAAAATAACCTATCTTGGAAAATAATGTGCCAAGAAAAATAAAGTGATTTTTTTTCATCGATCAGCATTTCATTAAGGATGGAGTTTAAAAATGTGTCTGTGAGTGTGTGAGTTTGTGTAATTACTGCAATTCTAGGTTTTATGGCTAACTTGATGTGTGCTTTGGTATTTAACCCCTGTGGATCAGTTTCTCCAGCTATGAAAACAGTTCCAAAGTCTGGTGAAAATAATTAAAAAATATTAAGTATCAACCAAAATTTTACTGAAGCCAGTCCATTTAAAGCCAATATACCAAACAATTTACTAATTGTAGTGTATGTAAGGGGACATTATATTAGAAAGTACTTCAGTGTGTGGTTCTTATTAACTACTGCCTTGTCCAAATATGATTAAGTACTTTATTCTATTCCAATAGGAATGATTTAATAATCAACTTAGGCATCTTTTATTTGGTGAGTCCAAAAGTAAATTAGACCATTTAAAAATGGCTACAAAATTTAACAGTTTAAGAGGGAATATATAGGTCTTATGGCATTGAAAAGGGATAGAATGTTTGGAGAGTTTGATTAGAATCAATGTAACTATTATACATGACTAACATATTTAGAAATATGATTAAGATAGTTGTATTAAAATGCTTTCCAATAATTTTGCACTGGCCAGGGTTTGAGCTTTCTTTCTTTCTTTTTTTTTTTTTTTTTACATCATTAGAGCCTAAACATAATTACTATTAAACTATGTCCAAAACATGTAGAAGAAATAGCAATAACTCTGGGTTAACCTTGGTTAGCTGATGAAGAGTTATTAAAAAAAAAAAAAAAAGAACACAGACAAACTCTGACCAGCCAAGGGTCGCACTCAGAAAGTTGGCAGTGATGCAAACTGCTTAGGACTTTCAGTTTGTTGACTTATTAGAAACATTCCTGCCTTTACTTACAAAATCCAGTGAAATTCAACCAAACTATTCCCGAGAGGCAATTGCAAACTAACCTCTAGAAAAAAGCTGTCAGACCTGATAAAATCATCTGCAAACTTTCATGCTTATGTTGAAGGAACTTTCAAGGAGTGTATAACCTGAATTAGAAAAGACATCTTTTTAAAGCTTTCCCTGAAGTGTCTGGTCCATCTGTTGTGGGCTGAGCTCCCTGTGTTGGAGCTGTTATCAGGTTCTGTCAGCTCTCCTATTGCTACTGTTAACAAATGGATTTGTCTCCCCAAAGTTAAGAACAACCAGATGTTTCCTTTGTTGTTCTGTATTCCAATGGCAGGTCAAAAATATGTTTAAACATCACTGGTGAAATTGAGATTTAGAAATAATCTTATTAATCTGATCAATGAGGTCATATGATTTAGGGCCATTTCAAGATTTAAACTGAATTTCATTATTTGGCCATGTACATGTATTGGATTACCCCCAAATTAATTTTTTTTTTGGTAAATGTAAACCTATGTTTTATGGGAATCATAATTTGTATGGAAGCAGCTATAAATATGGAATAAAATATTTAAACATGTCAGATCTTGTGATTCATCAATTAATTTCTTAACCAAATGTTTATTGAGCCCCTACCATGCACCTGGGAAGTGTTAGTGTCTGGGACTACAAAGATGAATGAGATGTGGTCCTTAACATTGAGGAGCTCACAACTAGCACAGAAGACAGACATGTAAATCAGCAGACCTGGTACAGCATGGCACATGCTATCCACTGTTAGGAGAATGTTATGGACTGACTTTGGGGATTGGGAGAAGGTGAGGAAACAAGGAGGACACCACAAAGAAGGTCATGTTTGAGTCAAATCCTATGGGATGAGAAGGAGTTTGTCAGGCAACTGTATTTGCAAGGGGAGGAAGGCACACAGACTCCTGTGTTGACATAATCCTATAATCAGGGTTTTACAAATAGTTTAAAATAGTTGGGGCACAGTGCATTTGGGATTAGGACAGGAGAGGGGCTAAAAATGTAGGTGGGGGTCAGAATATATATGAGGGGTCTTTCATATCACACCAAGAAAGATGTATATGATAGGTGATACGGAGTCACTAAAATAATTTAAGTAAAATAAGCAGAATTTTACATTTTAGAAAGATTCATGTGGTTTAATGGAAGGTTTGGAGCAGGGCGAGATTGGAGGCAGGGTGGCAAGAGAGAGGAGCACTTCATTAATGCGGGAAAGCAAAGAGGAAAGCTTGATAGAAGGCAGAGACTGCTGGGACACAGGGCAGTGAGGAAGGTCAGATGGACACTTAGGGTGTGGAATACACAGGATCACTTAGAGGTAGTGGTAACTGAGCAGTACTCAGAAAGATTGCTTTTTGTATACACGGAAAGAAATGTCATGATGTACACCATAAATATATATACCATTTTTATTTGTTAGTTATGCATTAATAAAGCTGAGGGATAAAAGATTGCTTTTTGTTTGTTTTATTTATTTGTTTTTGTTTAATGGAAGCCTGGGACACTATGATGCATTCATTTTGTACTTGTTGCATTTGAGGTGAGATATTTACTTGCGCCTGCCTACAATGAGCTGCTGGTGATCTGGCGGTTAAGTCAAAATACCAATCAATGTGCCAGATTGTTCTATTGTCTACTTGGTTATGTTTGGGACTATGTTTTTCAGACTCTCCCTTTCTACATAATTTCAGATTGGAGTTGGTCCAAAGGGAAGTTGTGAGTTCTGGGAGGCAGAAGGAAAGCAGCTGCCATGTTCTGAAGGTTATCAGCACCTGTTGGTGATAGAAACAGACACAGAGGTGTTAGCAGGTTCCTGTTTGTCCTCGCACCCCCCTCCCTCCTGATGGTGACCTTGTCCCAGGTCTTCTACCAGGCCTTCTACCAGATGCTTTGCTGAGAATTCACAGAGGCCGTAGACCTGAAGAACCAACAACCTTCCATAGGCTTTGAGGTCCCACTCCGGCAGCAGGACGTGCTGGCTCCCAGGAATCACTGTAAGTTCTGAGTCGTCTGTGGCTTTTCTCTACCGTTTTAACTCCACTTTTCAGAATTTTACCTTCCCTGCTCTTCCCACAATTGTGCAAGTTCCAATTCCTATAATAAATTTCTACTTCCATATCATGCATAGTGGTTTTTCTTCCCTGGTCGAATCTTTTTAAAGTGACAGCCAAAGTGTATTTTTAAACAAAATCCCTTAAACACATATTTTATACCCAAAACCTTCATTACTTGAAATTGTTTTGATTTTGACAGTCTGATTTTTTCCCTGACTTTCGGATAGTGATCACTAGTGCGGAATGATGATCTTAATATGTCCACACATGAGCAATTATCAGGAGAGCTAAAAAAAAAAAAAAACCTCAAGAAAATTCAACATTAGGTTCTTATGCTGTTGAAAGAAGTTGTGTGTGTGTATGAATGTTTTAATATATTCCAGTGTTCTAGAACTATCTAGGCTAGAGAGCCAGGCATGAAAGATTGCAGATGCCTCAGAGATAGGGAAGGAGGACCAGGGCAGACAGTGGCAGGAAAAGAGGTTTCCTCCTGCTGGCAGATGGTGTCCTTCTAGGGGAGGAGTGCATAGACTCTTGTAGAAAGAGCGGCTGTGGAACAGAGGTCCTGATGCTACTGGCTCAATGACGATCCCTCCGTAACCAAATCAAACATGGAACTGAGTAGGGGATACTGCCCAGACCCTAGAATAAGCGATTGGGTTGCTCATCTGGGTCCACTCCCACTCTGGAGAGAGGGTGGAGTTTAAGTCCAAGGCTGGTAATGAAAAGGTGTCAAACTTGTTGTTGGTATTAGGAAATGAGATTTGACCTAGAAAGGTGTGTGCTCTGGTGGTTCTTTCTTGTTTTTGTTTTGCTTTTTGCCTGCCTTCCAAAACCAGTGAAGGAGAAGCTGGGTGTTTCCTAGCCCAAGAAGAGAGGCAGTGTTGCAGCTTTGCAGGCAAAGGCAAAGGCATCGGCCTTGTCAGTCTCTTCCGTGGAGATGGCCTTCCTTCTTAAATATTTGCATGGCACACCCTGATTCCTCCTTCAGGGTCCAAGCCTAACCCTGGAAAGCTTCCACCACTGGTCCTCTCCCTGGGGAGGCTGACAGGTTGCCTCATCTGTTTTCCCACTGGCACTTCATATTCCTAATTTAGCCTATCTCACAGTGTATTACAATTAGCCATTTAAGTGGCAGCATAATCCAATAGTATATTAATTTGTGAAGTTTTTTTTTTCTCACTTCTACTTCGTGGATCAGAAAGCAGAAGGCAAAGAAAATGAGAAGCGCTGTCACTGAAGGCAGGGTGAAGTAGGAGGTCTCCCATCTCCTTTGGAGTATTGGGTATTCGGAAGGGACTGCCGTGCTGCAGATGCAAGCTGACCCAGCTCCGCATTTGCGTGGTTAGGCAGGGCACCAGAAATTACACCCTTTCAATCAGTTTGCCTGTAAACCTTGATATCTATGTATACACAAAGTTTTTGAAATTCATAAGCAAGTCTAGAAATTGGACTGTGTCCTCTGCAGACACTCTGCAGGCATATCAGGACCTGGAGGCTGTGCTCAGGGAGGAGAGCCTTCATGTGCATGGCTTGTAGATTTGCTCAGCCTCCCACTGGTTAGTTTTCTGAGGTAAACCCCCTTTATGGGCCTGATGACCCCCTGACCTTTGCTGGGTAATTAATAATCTTCTCCTTCTCCTGGGAGACAAATAGGATTAACAAACTGTGACAGTGTCTGTTATTCTTAAGGAAGTCACACTTAGCTCAGTGTCTCCTCCCAAAGGGTATATTATATATCTTACACAAAAGCAAAGTCATGCAAAATGTGCAAAATTCTTGTGACAAGTTTCTTTGTCCAGATAACATGCTCTCTAGCTGTTTTCTACTAGACAATTTAAAGGTATTCACCATTTAGTTTCTCAAATGAGGCAAGAAAATTGGGATTGGATACATCCATTAAACCTGTCGCAGATGAGGTAAAGCATGTGATTGGAGGATGCCGGTAAACCTATCTCACGGGTCTGAGGGAGGAGAGTTGTTGCCTGGATGTCACCCAGGACTTAAGTATACCTCTCCCCTTGGAGGGTTTGCTGATCATTCTCAGGGCCTTTGGCTCTAGGAGAGGGACCATCCCTTTTGCCACCCTGAGACCAAGTCAGCCATGCCTGCTAGGGCTCTTGGACTGCCCAGGCAGACAAGACTTCACATCAGCCTGTGATTGCCCTTTGGGATTCTGCAATTACTTTCTCATAATGAAAAGAAGCTAAACAAGCCTGACCTAAGAAGGATCCCTAATTTTCACAGTACTCTAAAACATGTAGCAAGGGCTTGGTTTTTGAAGGGCAGCATAATCTTTCTGGAGGAATGTTTATACTTAATGGCTGCGAAATCATATGGTCATTCCAGGTACAGGGAACAGCAAGTGCAAAGGCCTTGAGACAGGACCATGTCTGGCATCTTTGAGGATCATAAAAGAGGCCAGCATGGACAAAGAAAATAAGTGAGGGAACCAGTTTCAAATATATTTGTCATAATTATTCTAAATAAGTCAGGAGGTCTTTATTTAGTAAATGATCTTTGATAAGAGAAGTAGAAAAAAACATCATGGTAAATTCAATAATTTTTCTTTCTTGCTCTGAAAATTACCTATTTTAGCTCTAGCTCTGAAAATTTGCTAGTTAACTTACTAGGTAACTTCTGGCAAGTTACTTAACCTGTGGGCTTTTATTTCCTGCATGTAAAATGAATAATTTGGCACATGTAATATTTCATACCATATTTGGCTTTAAAAGCTGATCTTGCATTGGGTTATCTTAATACTAATTAGTACTTCCATTAGAAGGCTTGGGTCAGAGGAAGTCAAACTTAAATCAGTAAATACTGGTGCTCCTTCAACGTCTCTAGAAGGGTTGGTTAGAAGAGACTCATACCTCTAATGTTCATCTATAGATCCTAAAGTTCTTCCATGTTTATTATACTCATAGAGAAAAAGATCACAGGCTTTACCCAGGTAATGTGGTTCCCATTTGACAAAAATAAGTGAGGTTTTAATATAGCTGTGGTCATCTCAAGTGAATAATTAATACAACTTTTGGAGCTTTTAATGTACAATTATATGGCATAGCTTACCAAAAGTTGAATGAGCACTCTTAGCAATAAAGAGTTTATGGAACAACTTCTTAAAAATCATTCAACTTCAAATATACTACAGGGCTATAATAATCAAAATGGCATGGTACTTGTACAAAAACAGACACATAGACAAAGAGGACAGAATAGAGAGACCAGAAATAATGCCACACACCTACAATCATCTGATCTTCGACAAAGATGACAAAAACAAGTAATGGGGAAAAGGAGTCCCTATTCAATAAATGGTGCTGGGATAACTGGCTAGCCATATGCAGAAGATTGAAACTGAATCCCTTCCTTAAACCTTATACAAAAATTAACTCAAGATGGATTAGACTTAAATGTAAAACCTAAAACTATAAAAACCCAGGAAGATAACCTGGGAAATACCATTCTGGACATAGGAACCGGCAAAGATTTCATGGCAAAGATGCCAAAAGCAATTGCTACAAAAACAAAACATGACAAATGGTATCTAATTTAACTAAAAAGCTTCTGCACAGCAAAAGAAACTATCAACAGAGTAAATAGACAACCTATCAAATGAGATAAAATATTTGCAAACTATACTTTTGACAGAGGTCTAATGTCCAGAATATATAAGGAATTAAACAAATTTACAAGCAAAAGAAGAAAAAAACCCAACAATTCCATTAAAAAGTGGGTAAAGGACATGAACAGACACTCTTCAAAAGAAGACATACATGCAGCCCACGTGTGAAAAACTTTCAGCACCATTAATTATTAGAGAAATGGAAATCAAAACCACAATGAGATATCATCTCAGACCAGTCAGAATGGCTATTACTAAAGAATAAAAAAATAACAGATGCTGGCAAGGTTGCAGAGAAAAGAGAACACTTATACACTGCTGGCAGAAGTGTAAGTTCAGCCATTGTGGAAAGCAGTGTGGTGATTCCTCAAAGAACTTAAAACAGAATTATCATTTGACCTGGAAATCCCATTATTGGGTATAAACCCAAAGGACAATAAATTATTTTACCATAAAGACACATGCATGCATATGTTCATTGCAGCACTATTCACAATTACAAAAATATGCAATCAAACTACATGCCCATAAATGGTAGACAGTATAAAGAAAATATGATATATATAACACCATGGAATACTATGCAGCCATAAAAAAGAATGAGATCATGTCCTTTGCAGCAACATGGATGGAGGTGGAGACCATTATCTTTAACAAACTAACACAGGAACAGAAAACCAAATACTGCATGTTCTCACTTCTAAGTGGGAGCTAAATAGCAAGAACACATGGACAGAAAGAGGAGAACAGACACTGGGGCCTACTTGAGGGTGGAGGGTAGGAGGAGGGACTGGATCACAAGAAATACCTATTGAGTACTAGGCTTATTACCTGGGTGATGAAATAATCTGTACACCAAATTCCATGACACTAGTTTACCTATATAACAAACCTGCACATGTACCCCTGAACCTAAAATAAAAGTTAAAAGAAGAAATAGAATAAAATCCACTCTCAGGAGTTTGTGTCCAACACCTCTGATGGATATGTTGCAAGCTGAAACAAAGAATAGCATTTACCTTAACTTATTATCTTTCCATTCTTATCTTCTATTACTTGGCACTCTGCTTTCTACCTATGCTACTCAGTGTGTTTTAGACTTTTATGTGTCCTCTGCCTTTTCTTTCTGTTACTTGGAATTCTTCCACTACTACCCCCAACTCCCACGTAACCAGACTTTAGTTGTCAAAATCATACCCATACATCAAGATCCATACCAAATATTTCCTTACTCATGTAACTTTTCCTGATTCTCCCAAGAAACTCAATCTTCTTCTTTAAAACTCATAACATGCTATTTGTTCTTTTTCAGCTATGCCTATTTTATTCTCTTGGAAATATACCACCCCCCTTCTTTTTTTTACATTGCAAGCTTCTTGAGGGCAGGAACCACATCTTGCTCATTTTCATACCTCCTACTATAGGAGGTATGAAACAGCTAAAAACAGTAGCTGTTTTTAAAATGAATTTCATATAATAAATCTGTAGACAAAGGTCCGTAGTCTTATTAAAAAACAAACAAAACCTTTCTAATGTATATAGGAAAATGCATATATGCATTTTTCTTTAAAATACTTGCAATACTGGATGAAGCTATTTTCCACATTATCATAGATGACTATCATCCTTTCTATTTCATCTGTATTATTAGCAAAGAGACTTGCCACATTTATCACATTTTGATGACCAGAATTATTTTCTTTGTGTAAGTCATTAAAGTTAAATTTGATATTCCTTTGGAAAAGTCCTCCCACTGGACCCTCTACAACCAAACAACATAACCCAGAAGGTTAGGCTATTAGCTTTGAAATGGCTTTGATTAGCTAGCTGGCTTACAATCCTCTCTAATGTTTTGAGCATGTCAGTCCACAAGAAAGGGTGAGCCAGGTGGAAGGAAGGCACAGTTTTTCTCTTTATGAGCCTTGCCGGGATAAATGTCCTAGGAGAAATTTTCCAAAAATTTATTTTAAGTTTCTTGTGATTTTAAAAAACCAGAAGTTTTAAAAGAGTTTTTAGAATGTTGTCCTATATTAATTGCCCTTATTAAAGGGGTATAAAATGTCTATTTAAGAAGATTTTTGGAAAGATTACAGATGAAAGTCTGAGCTAAAAGTCATTGGTTCATATTTCATTACTCCTTATGCTGGTTGTCATCAGTAAACCTTACACTGGACACTTGTCCATTCCTATGAAAATAACACTCTTGCCTTTATTTCTATTTTTTAGCTTCCATTAAACCAAGGCTTAGACCTCAGTCTTTTTTAGACAAAGATCAGATTACCAGAATAAATGTAATGTTAGCAGCTAAATTGAGTTTATCTGCCTCTATAAGAGGCCACGGTTATATCTCCTGGTTTATTTGGAAAATTCCTTTGAACATATGAAATGCATATAATGAATTTCTCCAATTAATAACAGCAATGTAAAAAACCTTGGGATTTTAGATATTGTTGATATGTTTCATATTATATAAAAAAGTTAGCTGTTTGAATAGTTCATTCACATCAATTGTGTATCTTACCATCATCTTTATTATTTATTCATCACAATAACTCCAAGTTAGGTTCAGAAAATACACACAATATACATTAATATATAATTTCATTATTTTCTTCAAAGAAATCTGATATGTGCTTTCCTTTCCTGACACGTGGATTGAATAACTTTTTTTAAGCAGCTGCTTTTTTCATATTTAATCTTGAAACAAACTGCATCAAGCTTGGTGTTAAAAGTCTATCTGATGAAAATCTTTCCAATTTTATTATTATCTTTAGATTTATAGCTAGATGACACATCAGTCATTTGTAAGTTGAAGTAGCATTTCAAAATAAGGCTTTCTTTTTGTTTTAGTAAAATGGCTTTCCTTGTATTGAACATAGGATAATAATAATTTAGCAGTCTAAAAGCAGCTAAATACTCAGTTTTCAGATTAACATTGAATTTCTGGTACTGCCTGTTTGATGTTTTTATATAGCTGAAACCAAGGAAGCTCCATATTGCTCCACCGTAATGTTCATCTGGCTTCCTGCCATGTAAATGGATGTATTAATACTCAGTTCTTGAGAGTATTGTGAAGTTCAGTTAATTAACGTTTATAAAAGCTTCTTGAGATTTTCTGCTGAAAGATGTTACATGAGTTAAAGTTGAGTAAAAAGCAAACATGTAGAGCACTCTAGAAATTGTTGCTTGCAAAAGATAAAATTGCCCTGACTATCTATTTGCCATTTCTGAATCAATGACTTCTGGTTTCTTTAATTTATTACAGTGTTTTATGGCTAGTACCTAATGATGACTTAAAGGTGTTATCTCTTTTCATAGTGCAGAAGCCTTTAGGAAATTTTGATCAGAGAGGTTTACGTAAAGGATTTGTCTAGTGCTTATTCAGGCAGAACGTTCAAATCAAGGGTCTCGTAAAAGTAAAATATTAGTTGGAAGATTCACTGTTGCTCCCAAGTGAGTTCATCTTGCAGTGGACACTCTAGTTGTTCTCTAGCATCTAATGTCCATTTCTGTCTTATAGCAATAGAATGTCTAATTTTTTGCTGGGCACATGGCCATTCTGAAAAAGTCTACATTGTCCACCTTCCTTGCAGTTGAGTGTGGTCTGTGGTAACTGAGTTCTGATCAATAGGATTCAAGCAGAATTGGTTTGCGAAACTTCTAGGCCTCATCCTTAAAGGGAGGCTATGCCCTTCTTTCATCCTACTGCTTTGAAGGTAGATGTGGTGACAAGCCACCTTAAATATATTGGTAGGAAAAACAACCTGAGGATGGAGGAGCAACCAGACAAAAGGAGTTGAGTTCCCGAACAACTCACAGAACAGAGCTGCCATACCAGCCCTGTATTGCTTACCTGTGAAAGTGTTTAAGACACTATTATTTTGAATCTTGGTTATATACCACTGACTCTATCCTAACTTATGCCTATCAACAGGAAAAAAAGAAGCAATTCAGTTTTCAGATTTAATATCAAATTGCTCACTCATGGACCAAGTCTAATTGAAAATCAACCATAAATTTTATTTATGTGCTGGGTACATTAAAAAGTTTTGATTTAGGGGTGTAACTCCTCAGGCAGAAATGGATAAAGAAAAATTTCTTTAGTTGCATTTCAAACAGTCTAGAGAGCTCTAGTTTGAAATGACTTTGTCCTCTGAAAGCCCTAAAACTTTATAAAAATAGTAAAAATGCAGAAAAATATTTTGACTAAAATTATAAAATTTTAATATATTAGACAGATAAAGCATCCTGACCGACCATTGTACTCTGCCCTACTCTAACTCATTCCTGTCCTTATCAGCTGAATGTCTTAGTGGCAGTAACTGATTTCTTTAAATGATAAGACCCAACAGAGCTAACAGTACATGTTTGTTTTTGTTTTTAAAGGTGACCACTATTCTAAATTCCTTATGTGTTCAGAATTTATTCAGAGCTCAGGAAGGTGATACTACTGTAACAGATGCTCTTCAGGTATAGTTTTCATTTGCTTATTAAATATTTTTTGGTTTTATGTAAGTGGAGAATATACCTTTTACAATTTTTTGGTCAAGGATTTACATCAATGGTTCTATGCATGCAGCTAGACAAACTACAAAGTCAAACATGAATAATAAATACATTGCTGGCTTATTGCACCAAATAAAGAAAAGTTGCATGTTCGTGATGATACTTAAATTCTTCACAATTTGTGACCACTAGAAATTAATCTATTTATAAAGCATTAAGGCATTATTAATTTCTTCTACTGAAAGTAATTACTTTGGTTATCTATTGCTGTGTATCAAACCCTCTCAAAACTTAATGGCTTGAAACCATAATAATTATTTATTTCCTCACAAATCTGAAATTTGGGCAGTTTTAAGAGGGGGCAGCTCATTTCTGCTCCAAAAGACATCAGCTAGTTCAGCTCAACGAGGCTGGAGGATCTACTTCTAAAATGGCTCACTACAGTGGCTGTGAGTTGGTGCTAGCTCTGAGCTGGGATATAAACTAGTGGCTTTTGTTTATTTCCCACAATGCACTGGAGCTTCTTCCCAACATGGCAGCTAATTTCCAAGAATATATATTTGAAAAGACAGAAACAGGAAGCTGCCAGTCTTTTAAGACCTGGGCCTGAAAACTGGCACAACACCATTTCTGCCATGTTCTGTTGGTCAAGCAGTGGCAGACCTCACCTAGATCCAAGAAAAGAGGACATAAAACTCACCTTTTGATGAGAACAGTGTCAAAAATTTGTGTCTATCTTTAATCCACTTCAGTATTACACATTTTCCAACTAATATTGAAGACATAATAACAGAAAGAAAAGTAGTTAGAAAAATGAGCAGTAGCAGTCACTCTTCTTACGATTAAGTGATAGAACACCCCCCAAAAGAAGTAATAGAATGGTTTGATGATTGTTTTAGAAATATTTGAAAACTTCTATTCCTGCGGTTCTCACCTTTTTGGACTCATGGCATCCAGTTTAGTAGCAATTTTTTTTTTGACAGTATATATCAGACACTGGTTGCCTATCCAGTATTCACTCTCTCCTTCTTTCTTACTGGGAGAGCTTTGAAGTTATTTATATCAGCAATGTGCATAGGAAAAAATTCTCACGTCCCTGCATTCCTTTGCATCTAAGGATTGCCATAGGACACAGTTTTGGGCAATTCATCTTGTAAACAGAAATCATTAGGTACAGATTCTAGGAAAACACTTTAAGAGGACAAACTCAGGTGTGTTGTTGTTCTTCATTCTTCCTCTGTCGTCTTGTCTGGATTTCTAATGTGGTGTCTATGGTGCAGCAGTCTTGTGATTAACAAGTGATCACAAGGAAGAAAGCAACATGTCCAGAATCAATATGAGGAAAGGTAGAAGGCTGGGTTCTTGATGGTCTTGTGGAATTGTCATAGCAGTCTTA
Organism: Homo sapiens; assembly: GCF_000001405.40. NCBI lineage: Eukaryota > Metazoa > Chordata > Mammalia > Primates > Hominidae > Homo > Homo sapiens. The sequence goes on along the minus strand of NC_000007.14, from coordinate 116,654,148 downwards.
TACTGTCTATTCTAGATTTCTTGAAACATGATAATCCTGTATGTGGTTAAACTACAGGAATTTGGTTTCTGTTGCATAAAGTCAAATTAAGTTTTTAACTGAATTACTGTTCTAAAAAAGCAATAATTATAATCATGACCAGAGATTAAATATATATTATAGTAGTTGTAAGAGCATCTGCAGATTCTCCTCTGTTCACTATGTTTCTATAAGAATAGAGCTGGTACTTCTCTGACTGCCCTCTCTTCTATATTCATGAGGCAACGTTTTGGCATGTTCAGTAAGTGTGGGCTCTTTGTGCCAGCAGGATGTTACAACATGTTTCTTACCTCTACCTGTAGCATATTGAGTCCTGCTCTATAATGGGCAACGTGGTCCATTTAGCTCAACATTTTATCTAACAGACAGTACTACACATGGTTATACCAAAAATATATAAAAATAGAGTAGTTTACCAATGAAGTGCTTGCAGTGTATCAGTGATGGACCATTGTTATAACCCACGAAGTATGATTTTGACTAAGTTTTGAAAATATTTTATACTACATGGTTTTAACAGCTGCACCCAAGGGGTAGAGTTGTGTCAGTAAATGAAACATATATTCTGAGGAAATGATATGGATCTGGCTGCTTTAATGGAGACCACATAACAGTGGCTTAAACATAACACAGAGTTCCTTTTTCTCTCATGTAAAAGTCTGAGTTGGGACGTGGTCAGGGTGAGTTGAGGTGAGTGGATGAGTCAGTAGCTAGGCAGCTGTAGTTCACCAGGAAACCCAGATTCCTTCTATGTCATTGCTAGGCCATTGCCTAGACTTGATTATGTCCTTATCCACACGGTGAAAGCTGGCTCACAGCACCATGTTCTCATTCTAGAGTTTGGGAATAGAGAAATAAGCAATGATCAAGTAGCTTCCCATAAGAACGTGATCCAGAACTTGTCTACATTCTTTTTGCCTACATCTCATTGACCACTTGTTAACAGGCCATAATCACCTATTAGGAAATGCCTTTATTAGGAAATGTCTCTAGTTGGGACCCCATGTGCCGAGCTAAAAATGGGAAGGTTCTATCACTAAACGAGAAGGGGAAAATGATGCTAGGTAATAATTGGCTGCCTCTTTCACAATGAGTATCTCATCCACCTTCAGAGGAGGGATGGTGTGTCATGCTGATGCTGTCATGTTTCTTGGCCCTTATAAGATATGTCAGACTCAACCATTGTTCATCTGGTAGTGAAAGTCTGTGGACCTGCCCTTAATCAGTAGTGCTTTTTTCTCTCCAGTTCTCACGAATCCCAGATGGCTGACAATTACCTGCCTTTCTCTTCTTTGTTTCTGCATTCCTCACATCTGTCACCATCTCACTTTGCTGCCATCTGATTGGCACTTATTTGCTTTCAATACCCACATTGAAATACCCAGAACAATGCCAAGTTTAGCAAAAACTTTATTGAAGACGGAGGGTTGTGGTAGGGGATGAGGGATCACTACACAGAGCCTTCTGCCTTCTCAGTGGCTTCTGCTCCCCTCATCTCCCTTCTCATCCAACCTCTTCACTCACTCTTCCAAATTGCCCTGTGGCCCTCCAGATTCCTTTTCCTCTGTTAGGCAGAACTGTTTTCCTGTTCCTTACAAGCTTTCATACCAGACCTAGAGGGTTCCACTTATACCCTAAGTGTTATTACCAGCAAAAGTTGTTTTCTCCCTAGAAGGAATTCTAGCATCAGCTGTTGAATTAATAAATTTTCCCACCTCGTTGTTAAATGAAATCAACTTGTACATTTGTTGTAAAAATGTTGTTGAGGACGTTTTCCATTACATCACACAATTTCTTCTCTATAAACCTCCATATCAGAAAGCTATTTTAGATTCCAGTGCTAGAAAAAACTTCACTTCTCCTAAAGCCTGCTTCCTCCTTTCTGATAATAAGAGCTATATTACTTATCATGATTTCTGAACTGTGTAACTGGAAGCCAAATTTACAGCTCTCTCATTGAAATTATGTTAAAGATACCATTAGCATATTTCTATTTTCCTGCACTTGCTTGAGTCATTTTATATGTCTATCATATTGGTCTGCCTTTTGTTACAATTTATTTTAAATTTTTTTTAAAAAGTCAAGATAAAACTAAGTTAATAAGTAAATAAGCAGCATAGAGGTCATTTGAGGCAAGAGTATACAGTGTTTTTGACCTCCCAACTCCTTAGGCAAAAGGCACACTGTATCATTTACTCTTCTCATTCCCACTTTTCAAGGAAAGAATAACTCAGTGAAGATGTTACCTTTGGATTAAGAATGAAACATTTTAAAAATTAGTTATCACTCACTTATTTGCTAGAAGCACCCACAACTTTTGTGCCATTTTGATTCTTTCAATGTTCCTTGCTTCTAAGAGTCTTTGGTCACTTGTTTCACTCCAGCCACCCCTACAGTGACCATACCGGTGAAGGCTTCAATTGATTTTAAGAGAGCTAAACTTGACAGCACCTCTCCTTATGCCTGCCCCATGCAGTACTTGCTTTCTACCCTTGGACATCCTTGTTGATGGTGAGGAAGGAGACACTGTGGGATCTGTTTGATGCCCATATATGTGCAACCTAGAAATGAGGAGGAGCTAGCACCCTCTTGGGTGAGTCTTTGACTAGTGGGAGATGGAAATCAGTAAAGAAAATATTCGACGCCTCCCACCCCAAAAGACTGGCATTACTGTCTTGAGTTACAATCATTCATATAGATTCTCCGAAGATGGTCTTATGAAATTGAGTAATCAGTTGCACCTGTTGCCAAATGGTGGCCAGATTGGTAACATGCCCTCATATTGGCTTTCCCATCTTCCCTGCTTCTTTATCTTCCTTTTCACTACTATTTCCCTGGGATTTACTCTCTAATAAAGGAATAGCAGACAAGGTTTTAACCGAGTTTCTGCTTTCTGGAGAATCTAGGCTAGGATACATAGTTATACGCATGGACATTCTACTTATAAGATACACTCATGATGACATAAGTGGCCTAGAAAACAGAGCCTCAGGATGAGATTTTGGAGGTGAATTATTGCTATCTGAAAGCAATAGGGACCTCATTTCTGGTGGTGAGAGGAATGGGGATAACCCTTGGCATGCTGTGGCATCCCAGTGACTGATACTCACCTGTGGTTAATTGGGATGAGGTACAGGTCGAAGGTGAACTACTGGGATATAAGAAGACTGTGGCTTAACCATTGTGGGAGGAATAATCATGACAAGAATTGTGGAGTAGGTTAGCTTTTTTTAAGAGCATTGGGAGCCTCTCAAAAACACTTATAACCTCAGCATAGCCAACTAAAGACATGTTGTGAAGATAGAGGTCCTCTCTGTAGCTTTACAATACTCTTATTTTTTGTAACTGCAAGACAGAATATACTGAAAATAAATCCCAGGATCTTATTTTAAGGTTGCCTGAGTTAGTGGCATGGTATTGGTCATAGGTTGAATTGTGTCCTTCCAGAACAAGTGTTGAAAACCTAACTCCTGGCACCTTGGACTGTTACCTCAATTGGAAATTGAGTCATTGCAGATGTAATTAAAGTCATACAGGAGTAGGGCAGGCCCCTAATCCAATATGACTGGTGTCCTTATAAGAAGAGGAGAAGAGACAAAGAGACAGAGACACACAAGGAGAAAACCACGTGATAATAAAGACAGAGATTAGAGTGGGGCAGCTATAAGCCAAGGAATGCCAAATATGGCCCACAAACACCAGAAGCTAGGAAAAGGCAAGGAAGGAAACCACTCCAGGTTTCAGAGGGATCCATGGTCCTACCAAGAGTTTCATTTCAGACTTTTAGACTCCATAGCTGTGAGACAATAAATTTCTGCTGTTTTAAGTCACCTAATTTGTGGTACTTTGTTAGAGCAACCCTGTGGCAACAAATACAGAATAACACTACAACATTATGTTCCACCATCTTATGGCAAAGGAGTTGCAATAATGGGTACATGGCAAGGGGATTCACTAGTATTACCATGTACCCCATCATCTAAAAGCAGCTGGCCTAACAGAATGGCAGAATAGCCTATTAAAAGCTCAGCTAAGGGGCTAACCATGGACAACATGCTAAGGGTTATAGCACTGCCCTCCAACTTGTGACATATGTGCCAAACCAATGGTTGGTATATGGTGTGAGCCCTTAACAGTTGGAATACGCAGAGGCAGGGACCAAGGAGTGCAAGTAGGATTGACTTCCTCTCACTATCGTTTCCAGCCAGACACTTGTAGAACTTATGCTTTCTGAACCCATACTCTTAGGCTCTGATAGATTAGAAGCCCTGGTTCCCAGGGAAATTCCTTTTATCAGACAACACAGTAAGATTTAGCTGAACTTGAAACTGCAACTGCCACTTGGTTACTTTGGGCAAAGAAAGGAGTGTCTATATTGATGAGGCTAATCAACCCTGATTACCATGAGGATCTCAGAGTGCTACTGAGACATAGGGGCAGGGAGGAGTATGTTGGGAAACAGAGGATTTAATGGAACATTTCTTGGTGTTGTGTCCAGTGATCATGGTAAATGGGCAATTGTGGCAACCATGGATCACAAGATCCAGGCAATGTAAGAGCTTAGAACCCTCAGAGATAAAGGCCTGGGTCACTCACTACACAAGAAAACCAGATCAGCCAAAGTGCTAGCCAAGTATGAGGGAATCTAGACTGCACTGAAGGAGGAAGACAAGGTGGTGAATATTGATTATGGCCCTGGTTATTATGGAACCAGCAACAGATTCAGGAGCTTAAGATGGCTTCACTAATTTTCTTGCCATAGGTGTCCTGCTTTGCTGGATTGCATGCTGTAGTAAGGTAGTAGCATATAAGTTTTGCCTCTGTCTCTGCTTTCTGGGGAACCTGGTTAAGACAGTAGGATTTACAAACTGGTTCTTAGTTACATATACAAATGAAAATTTATGAACACGCACTTCATTCTCCTGTAAGAGACTAAGGAAAGATATTTGTCTTAGGCCATGAAAAGAATCCTCATTGCCTACCCATCAGTCACCACACACCATCTCTGGGAAACACTGAGCCATAAGATCATATCAAGCATTGTCTTATAGAACTTGGGAGGCTTTAGAGCTGGAGTTCTTTGGGCAATTTATATAACTTAGTTGTCTAACAACATCGGTTGATGATGGGTATTTAAAACGTACTGCAGAAATATCTAAAATTTGTAGCAGAAATTCTGAGAAGGCAGACAGCTCTGGGCTGCTATACATATGTATTTTTATATATAAGTTATTATATATAAAAATATATATTTATTTATATTTTAGAGACGGGGTTTCACTCTGTCACACAGGCTGGAGTGCAGTGACAGGATCATCGCTCACTATAACCTTGAATTCTTGCATCAATTTATCCTCCCACCTCATTCTCCCAGGTAGCTGGGACTACAGGTGTGCACCACCATGCCCAGTTAATTTTTTAAATTTTTTTTGTAGAGACAGAGTCTCATTACATTGCCCAGGCTGGCTTTGAACTCCCCGCTTCAAGCGGTCCTCCTGCCTTGGCCCCACGAAGTGCTGGGATTACAGGCATGAGCCACCGTGCCTGACCAGCATTTTTATTTCTGTTTTTTCGGGTGGTGGGGTTTGAGGGGGAGTTATCACATTGGAGTTGGGAATGACAATAGATTGGAAAGGCAGGGATAGAAGCCTGGGTTGAGTTAGTTAAGGAAAGACTGAGTGCAGCTAAGGGGAATGATCAGTATTAAGAAATCACAGAAACTTGGGTAAGAACCTGACAGGTGCTCTACTGTGAGAGCAGCAGTCAGGGTCCAGAAGGTGTGTAGCAGGCAGGCAGGGATTAGAAGTGAGGAGTATGCAAATGCACTAGCTGAGCCCATGCACCTGGTCATGGCAACAGTAAAGACTGGGACATTGGGAAATTGAAGCACAATCTCTTTTGGAAAACCAGCCTTTTATATATGCTTCCTGGATCTCTCTAGACTTCCAGGTAATTAGTGGCCCAGGATCCAAGGCTTAAAAACTGATAAAGGCCAGCAATTCCTTACATTAGGCAACATGAACATTTTAAAGAAAAAGAACTTCCTTATCTTCTGGAAAAATCGCAGTGACTTAGATTCCTATCAGAGAGATGCCAATCAGAGTCAGTGCAGACAGAGGTCTTCTTTCTCGCTTCTTCTTTGGAGGCTTTGGGTTTTTATTTCCAACTCAGTCTTTGAGGTACAGACACCCCTTTGTGTGGGGCACAACATGGACTTGAGCAATTGCTCAGCACTTTGTTAACTGACACAAACTAATTTAAGGTAAGACTGATAACATTTTGCATTATTCTTGGTTGACGTTACAAACTGTCTCCATCTGCTCCCAACAACTCCTGTTGCTAGGAAGTAACTCAAGAGAATAAATGAGAAGCATGCTACTCCTTTAGTTGATAGACTGAGCATATATAATATGTCAATTATTATTTCTTGTCAGAAGCAAAAAATATGAACATCCTTAGAATAGAAAAATGAGCTAATAACAGTTCTGCTTTTCTTATCTTGCCTCCTTTACTTGCAAGAGCTAATAATTATTGTCCTCATTTGATAAATGAGAAAGATGAGGTTCAGAGAGTTAAGCAACTCGTAGAGTTACTAAGTATAGATTTGAAGCCAGGTCTATTTGGCTCCAAAGCCTGACCTATGTCACACTATCAAGTGCCTTGATTATTTTCACAGACTGTCCACTCACAGATGACAAGAAAACCTTCATGGAGTTATCTTTTTGGAAAATCCACCTTTTTATCACCACTCTAAAATTAATGCGCACTTGATTTGGAAGTTCAGAAAACAGCAAAAAATTAACATGAGGAAATATTAGTGAAATGGTTTAAAAGTATTTAGTAACATAGATTTAAATATTAATTGCATTTAGTGAAGAAAAATAAAGTCTCTTAAAAAGGAATTTGGTTTAACAGAAAGCCACATTGTGAAAATCAAAGTCTAGCTAAAGAAATGTCTTTTTATATTGTGGGAATATTCATTAGAATAGAAAAAAGGAGAGAGCTACATGCCCAGTTTAAGGGCAAAATCATAAAGTCTTGGCAACCAGTGGCTGGAAAAGTCCGAGGGACAGTACCACTGCTGCAAGCAACTTAAACTCTTGGAAATTAAATCACAAACAGGCACTACAATTAATGGAAGCTACCATATTAGACAGCCCTTGAAGGAAAGACCAAATCAACCTCTAGAACTTCCTAAGCAAATCCAATTCTATTTTAGTATTAGAAATGTCTTAGTTAAAAGCAAAGCCTATCTGGATACTTATTGCAGCATTCTTTCTGTTCCATTAATGTCAGTGGTTTACAAATATTTTTATGTTATACTTAGTCTATCATAAAATAAGAAATAATTACATTAGATACTTTTCAATCTAAAGAGATAGGGAATTATAATAGCTAGGCAGCTGAATTTTAATGAAGTGTGGCATATTATAACAGCTGCCTCATTAATTACCTGTGTCAGAAGAATATTCTTTCTGTACCTTTAAGAGGAATATAGACCTCTATTGATAACACAGTTCTCCCTTCATGGTTTAGTCATGTTATGTATCAAATCATATCTCCAGTCACTTAAACTCCATATAAAGATATTTAATATTACACAAATCAGCTGTAAAAAATATAAAAGGATATGTATATATTATATACATGTAGAGACAGAATCTTACTACGTTGCCCAGGCTAGATTTGAGCTGCTAGACTCGAGAAATCCTCCTGTCTCATTCTCCTGAGTACTTGTGAGTACAGGCGTGTGCTTCTACGCCTGGCTTCCAAAGACTTCTCAGCAGTACCCATCCTGATGTAGGTCACATTAAAAAGTCAACTTCAAAATTGCATTATTGATTTTTTTTACTATGTCAAAAGGTAATATTTATTGCAGATTTTCACAAGGTGAATTAAATTTATAATCTAGTTTTAAACATCTATGGAAAATAATTTCAGGAAACAGAAAAATTTTATTAATACTATACCTTAATAGGGGTATTGTACAGAAATGCCTCAATTAATGGGAATATTTGGTTAATATCTATTTTGTTTATTTTTTCTTTTTAACTTAATAAATGTTTCATTTTCAATTCTTACTGAAAATCTTTAAAAAATGTATTCATAGTCTTTACTGTCACAGCACATACAGAATGTCCATTAATCTTCCTTTGGCCAATGAGAATTTCTAGTGTCTCAGATTGATTTGTCTGAATGTCAATAACCATTGTACACTCAGAGATTGGGATGAATGTGTATGACATTAGCACATAACCAGATAATTGATTATTTGAACAAATCCTCGATAAAAACTTTCTCAAGATGTGCTTCTTTTCCCTTGTCTTCAAAATAGAGTTTTAGCAATGGTTTGGGATCAGAAAGGTTGAACTGGGGGCTCTAGCTAGTTAGATATTTGTTTAGTATAATTTTACTATATTCTTGAGGACATTTCAGTGAGTATAGAAGAGTGGATTGTTGAGGCCTAGTCCATCAGCTAGCAGCGATTTGCTCGACGGTGTGTAGCTCATAGGTGGGGAATAGGTAGGTGGAAGTGACCTTTATATAGAGGTAGACATTCAGTGAGGGTCATCTGTTTAGCATTCCAACACTGTCACAACCTCTGGCTTGACTTTGGAAGCAGGTCAAATATGGTAGGACTGCTCTAACCAAGAAATCTAACCAGGTGGACAGTGGTTGGTCGGTTTTGGAAGACTTTTGTATAGTGGTGCTTGGGACTGGAGGATTCAACCTGGGGAAGGAAGGATAGAAGGAGACGTGAGGGCCCGTTGGTATTAGCTGGTTTTATACCAGGGTCCCAGTTCTAAAGAGGGACTGGAAAATTAATAGGATCCCTGAACAAGATATGAACTACACAGCAGGAAATCAAAGCAGAGACTCCCTCTAAACATGATGAAAGGAGATGATGATGGATGAATCTATCTCTTGCTCCAATACAGAAATGTTGGAAAGTGTATCCATTTTTAATAGCAAGCAGCCAAACTTGAAAGAAGGAAAGTAAAAATTCCTGGTACCAGAAATAAAGAAAGAACAAAAGACCAGATCTGCAAGTGGAAGTTACAGCCATAGAGGCTCACAGAACTTTCCCAATCAGGCTGATTTGAGGGTTGGGATGGAGTCCAGATCAGAGACAGGAGATGAAGCCTTAGATCTGTGTGAGGTAGACGCTGGGACAGTCTGCTACACAAACGGGGCCCTTATAGGAAATGGGACTACAGAAACTCTACCCTCTGGGGCAGGCCCAGGGTAGGTTGGATAAAGAAATCTGCGAGGAACTGGAAACCTAAGTCAGCACCGAGCAGGTGTGAGTCCTGAATTTACACCACTCCTGGGGTGCAGGAATCCCACACTGAGAAATTAACACCAATGCTGCACTGGAACTTATAAACCTCACAGGCCCCGGAAGAAACAAGAGTGGAACAGCACTGAAAGGATTGTTCCAAAACACAGAGAACCGTGGAATTAAAAAAAAAATTAGAAAACAAAACTCCACAAGGGAGAGAGAGCAGCTGCAGCCACCAGGAGAATTTGTACCCCCAAAACTGGGGATTATAGGATAATCTGAAACATAATAGGCACATTTAAAAGGCTTAAGGAGATAAAGAATAAAAACTATAATAAAAAAATAAACAGAGTAGTATGGGGAGAAAGCTTAGTTATAAAGCACATATAGTAAGTGAAATGAAAACTCAACAACAATGTTAAATAGCAGATAGCTCCAGCCAACGAGAGGGTTAGTGATTTGGGAGCAATTCTGAAAAAAAAAATCAATCAAAATATAGCATATAAAAATAAGGAGATATAAAGAAGTGATGAAGAGAGGTAGAGGATAGAATAGGAAGGTTCAGCCTCGGACTTCCAGAAGCATAAAACTGAGATAATGAGAAAGACCTTGTATGGTTACAAACTTCCTAGACCCCAAGCAAGACAGGAGTCTTCAGTTTGACAGAATATACTGTATGATCTGAGTGAGATAAATGGAAACAAATCCAAACCAAGCTTCCTCCAAAAGAAACAGAAAAATCTTAAAAGCTATCAGAGGGAAATGGAAGATAACCTAAAGGGAATGACAATTTGAGAGCAATTTTTTCACTCAAAAACTAGATGTCAGGAAACAATGGAATGCATTTTTAAATGTCGTAGTAAAACAACCATGAATTTAGAACTTGATAATAGGTTAAAGCATCATTCAATAGACAGAAGTTGCTAAAAGAGTAAATTTTAAGTGTTTTTGCCACAAAAAAATGATACATTATGTGAGGGGATGGATTTATTAATTACTGTGACTTAATCATTCCACATTGTAAACATATATCAAAACGTCACATTTTACCCATAAAAATATACAACTATTATTTGTTAATTAAAAACAAAAGTAAAAAGGCTGGTCATGGTGGCTCACACCTGTAATCCCAGCACTTTGGGAGGCTGAGGTGGGCAGATCACTTGAGGTCAGGAGTTTGAGACCAGCCTGGCCAACATGGTGAAACCCCATCTCTTGTAAAAATACAAAAATTAGCCAGGCATGGTGGTGCGCACCTGTAATCCCAGCTACTTGGGAGGCTGAGGCAGGAAAATCGCTTGAACCTGGGAGGCAGAGGTTACAGTGAGCCGAGATTGCACCATTGCACTCCAGCCTAGGTGACAGAGTGAGACTCCGTCTCAAAAAAAAAAAACAAAACAAAAATTAAAAATAGAATAAAAAAAGTTGGGGCCAGGTGCAGTGACTCACACATGTAATCTTAGCACTTTGGGAGGCACTTCAGCCCAGGAGCTCAAGACCTGCCTGGCAACATGGCAAAACCCCATCTCTACTAAAAATATGGAAAAAAAAATAGCAGGTGTGGTGCTGTACACCTGTACTACTTCGGAGGCTGAGGTGGGAGGATCACCTGAATCCCAGAGTTCAAGTGGCTTAAAACAACACACATTTATTATCTGACAATTCTGCAGTGAGCTGTGATTGTGCCACTGCACTCCAGCCTGGATGACAGAGGGAGATCCTGTCTCAAAAAATATAAATAAATAAATGATAAAATAAAATAAAAGTTGGGACACATTGCATTATTAGCCCCAAATTCTCCACCCCTTTTATGGGAGAACTGTGAAGTGCCATGCAATAACTCCCACAAAAATGGGTGGCGTGTTTTTCTCCACCTCTTGATTCTGGATTCAGCCACATGACTTACCATGGCCAATAGAATGAAGTGGAAATGACAGTGTGTCAATTTCAAACCTAAATCTTGAGGGTGAGTTTTCACTTGCTCTCCTGTTCTGATGCCATGGCCATGGGAAGAACATGCCTAGGTCACCCCACTGGTCCCACGAAGAGGGTGAGAGACATGAAGAGCAGAGCCATCCCCAGCTGAACATGGAGGAGATCAGCTGACCCACAGATCCAGATCCATGAGAGGAAATATTGTTTCTCAAGTCCTGGAGTTTTGCATGCATTCTTGTATTAGTTTCCTATTACTACTGTAACAGATAACCACAATTTTAGTGGCTTAAACCAACACACATTTATTCTCTTACAATTCTGGAGGCCAGAAGTCTGAAGTCAGTCACCCAGGGTGAAAATCAAGGCATTGGTAGGGCATATTTTTCTGGACGGTCTGGGGAAGAATTTGTTTGTTTGACTTTTCTAGCATCTGGGGACTGAACCCTTTCTTGTATCACTCCAATCTTAGGCTTCCACTGTCACATCTACTTCTGTAGTCCAATGTCTCCCTACCTCTCTTATAAGAACACTTGTGATTACACTTAAAGCTTACTTGGATAATCCAGGATAATCTCCTCATCTCAAAACCCTTGACTTAATCACACCTTCACAGTTCCCTTTGCCAAGTAAATGAACATTCACAGGTTCCAGGGATTAGGATGTGGACATCTTGGGAAGGGGACATTATTCAGCTGACCACACTTGGTAGGTAAAGTTTTATTTATTTATTTAAACAACAATAATTTTAGAAAAAAGAGAATCAAATTCCAATAGCATTACTAGGCACAGATCAGTATTAAAAGAACTACTAAAGGATGAAGTTAATAGATAGCATGAATATAGTGATTAAACACATGGATTGCTTAGCTGGACTGCTTTGATTTAAATATAAGCTCTGCTATTTTCTATCTGTGTGACATTGATCAGGTTACTTATCTCTCTGTGACTTAGTTTCTTCATCTGCAAAATGGGTATAATCATAATAGTAACTGCCTCATGGGTACCTTAAAAGGATTAGATAAATTAATATCAGTAAAGTGTCTGAACATTTATAAGGCACATGGTAACTCCTATATTTAAAATAATAAAATATATTAAGATATATTTTATTATTATACATAATTTATTATTTATTTAAATATTTAATTTAATTTTAAATATAGTTTATGTTTTTCATTTTATATTTTTATTCTGATGTAGTTTATTTTATTTTATTATTTTTTTGAGACAGAGTCTCTGTTGCCCAGGTTGGAATGCAGTGGCACCATCTCGGTTCACTGCAACTTCCTCCTCCCAGGTTCAAGCGATTCTCAGCCTCCCTAGTAGCTGGGATTACAGGCACCTGCCACCATGACTGGCTAAATTTTTGTATTTTCAGTAGAGACCTGGTTTCACCATGTTGGCCATGCTGGTCTTGAACTCCTGACTTCAAGTGATCATCCTGCCTCCGCCTCCCAAAGTGCTGGGATTATAGGTGTGAGCCACTGTACTCGGCCTATTTTGCTATATTTTAAATAAAGAGCCAACAACCCAGAACAAAGGATGGGATAGATGCATCATTTCACTCCCAACTAAATTACCAAAATTTAATGTATCTGGCAAGTGCTGGAGATATGGTTGGGAAATGGTAACTCTCATGAAATGAGAATAGTTGTGTAAATGGATACTACTCTAAAGCAATTTGGTAACATCTATCTGAATTGAAGTTAAGCTGATTTTACTAGGTAGCAGTTGGGATATATACTCAAGCAACCCCTTGACAAATCTGCTTAGGGATGAGCACATTTTATTTTATTTTTGAGACAGTTTCACTCTGTCACCCAGAATGGAGTGCAGTGGCACAATCATGGCTCACTGCAGCATCTACCTGCTAGGCTCAAGCCATCCTCCTGCCTTGGGCTTCTGAGTAGCTGAGACCACCATTAGCTTGGCTAATGCTTGGCTAATTTTTAAATTTTTTGTATAGACAAGATTTTGCTATGTTGCCCATGCTGGTCTCAAACTTCTGGGCTCAAGTGATCCTCCTGTCTTAGCCTCCCAAAGTGTTGGGATTACAGATGTGTGCTATGGCGCCGGTCAACATTTTATAATAGTGTTAATACTAGTGGCCTTGTCTTAGGTTGAGTTCCTTAGGAGCAGAGTCTGAGATGATTCTGGTGTATACCACTTACTGACAATACACTTTTCTGGAGAAACCTGTAAGGATCCTGCTGAGGGAAGAGGATTTGGATGAGAAATGCCAAGCAAGAGTATGGTCTCAGGTGAAGAAGCCTTATTTTGGATGGATCCATGAGAAACTTTGGAATATAAATCCCATTCAAGGGTTTCTTCCTTGAGGCAAGGAGTCTTTTTGTATCTCATACCAGTCAGTCACTCACAATGGATTGTAGGTTTCCTAAGGTGTGTATGTGGGGTGGAGAGGTGTCATGTCCAGGGCAAAGAAGCTCCTGCCAGCCAAGGGCAATGTCTGGATAAAGGGGCAGCTGTGAGCTGTCAGCAGCCAGCACTCAGAGTGACTGCTGGTGGATGCTCTGTCTGGGTAAAAGAGATCTAGGTGGGGCATTTCTAAAAACGATAACACAACAAAGTCTAATGCTCAGCAATAGGAGACTGGGTTAAAAAACATGGTAAAATTCATATGTGTACAATCCTACATAGAAGTTTAAATGAACACATTAGATTTACATGTGTTACACAGGTAAATCTTGAAAGCATAATGGTGAACTTTTAGCAAGTGCAGGAATGGTATATACAAGTGTTATCATTGTGTATATTCATAACACAACAAAAGGATATTTATCAACTGTGGGTGGGTGCACAATATATAGTAAAGATATTAACATGTGAATTCACACTGACTTCATTAGGATAGTGGTTACCTTTTAGAATAAGGAAATAGTAATGGGAGGGATACAAAGAGGACTTTGAGTATATCTGTAATATTTTATTAAGTATGGCACAATGTTAATATTTTGTTAGGCCATAAATTGAGCACATTTTAAAAATTATCCTCTATATTTCTGTATATTTGAAATATTTTATATAAAAGAAACAAAGAAAGGAAAGAAAGAAAGAAAAAAGAAAGAAAGAAAAAGAAAGAAAGAAAAAGAAATAAAGAAAGAAAGAAAAACTCAAGGAAGATAACCAGTTCTCTGAGCTGTGCCAATACGAAATTGGATTGGGTGAGTATAACTGAGGTCCTCGTATATACATAATTCTGATTCCTGGTCAAAAGGTCTGGTTGTTTATCAAAAACCTTGTGCGCACTAGGAAGTTATGTTTGGGCCTCTAATCATATTTTGGCTCTGAGAACATTAAATAAGGAACTAGAAAGGTCCAGACTTAAATAGTCAATCAGTGAATCTAGATTCAGGGAGAAAAAAAGGAGAAAGTAAAACGAGACGGAAGCTTAATAACAAAATCTCGAATAGGGAAGTTTAACAAATATTTATTGAGTTCTTAATATGCTTCATACAATGTGTTAGGCTGAGGAGTCAATGATGAATGACACTGTCCTATCTTTTTTTTTTTTCTTTTTTTTTCAAGCATCTGTTTAACAAAGCACATCTTGCACCGCCCTTAATCCATTTAACCCTGAGTTGACACAGCACATGTTTCAGAGAGCACGGGGTTGGGGGTAAGGTTATATAGATTAACAGCATCCCAAGGCAGAAGAATTTTTCTCAGTATAGAACAAAATGGAGTCTCCTATGTCTACTTCTTTCTGCACAGACACAGTAACAATCTGATCTCTTTCTTTTCCCCACATTTCCCCCTTTTCTTTTCAACAAAACCGCCATCGGCATCATGGCCCATTCTCAATGGTCGCTGTCTCTTTGGAGCTGTTGGGTACAACTGCAGAAAAGCTGTCACTTCACACTTGGAAGATTGCACAGCGGCCAGGCAGAGGCGCTCCTCACTTCCCAGACAGGGCCTGGGCAGAGGCGCTCCTCACTTTCCAGACAGGGTGGCGGCCGGGCAGAGGCGCTCCTCACATCCCAGACGATGGGCGGCCGGGCAGAGGTGCTCCTCACTTCCCAGACGGGGCGGCCGGGCAGAGGCGCTCCTCACTTCCTAGACGGGGTGGCGTCCGGGCAGAGGCGCTCCTCACTTCCTAGACAGGGTGGCGGCCGGGCAGAGGCGCTCCTCACCTCCCAGACGAAGGGCGGCGGGGCAGAGGCGCTCCTCACATCCCAGACGATGGGCGGCCGGGCAGAGGTGCTCCTCACTTCCCAGACTGGGCAGCCGGGCAGAGGGGCTCCTCACCTCCCAGACGATGGGTGGCCGGGCAGAGATGCTCCTCACTTCCTAGACAGGGTGGCGGCCGGGCAGAGGCTGTAATCTCAGCACTTTGGGAGGCCAAAGCAGGTGGCTGGGAGGTGGAGTTTGTAGCTAGCCGAGATCACGCCACTGCACTTCAGCGTGGGCAACATTGAGCATTGAGTGAGCGAGACTCCGTCTGCAATCCCAGCGCCTCGGGAGGCCGAGGCAGGCAGATCACTCGAGGTCAGGAGCTGGAGACCAGCCCGGCCAACACGGCGAAACCCGGTCTCCACCAAAAATACAAAAACCAGTCAGGCGTGGCGGCGCGTGCCTGCAATCCCAGGCACTCGGCAGGCCGAGGCAGGAGAATCACAGGAGCCTGAGGCAGGGAGGTTGCAGCGAGCCGAGATCACGGCAGTACAGTGCAGCCTCGGCAACAGAGGGAGACCGTCAAAAGAAAGAGAGAGGGAGACGGAGGGAGGGAGGGAGGGAGGGAGGGGGGGGGGAGAGAGAGAGAGAGAGAGAGAGAGAGAGAGAGAGAGAGAGAGAGAGAGAGAGAGAGAGAGACTGTCCTATCTTTAAGGAGCTGAGCATCAAGCGGAAATCTTATGAGAGAGGAGAGCCTAAAGAACTTGGGGACACATTTTCATTAGAGGCCAATAAATATATCTGTGGCAAGAACCTCTTGTTTCTGATTCAAAAAGCTCCAAATGATTTCTGTGGAACTCAAATCCCCCAAGATGTTCTGTGAAAAGGGGGTTTTATAGTCAAACATGTTACAAAATGCTTTATGCCATATTTCAGTCTTAAAGATTCATAGACAATTAATATATAAAAATTACCAAGGTGATTTACAGAAAAGAAACCTATAAGGAAGCCACATCTTTCCAAAGTATTTGCTATTAAAATGAATTTGGGAAGAGAGAAGGAGTAATGCCTTTAACAGTCCTTTAGTATTTTGTGAAATTCATTTCTTCCTCTGTACTGTATTTACATTATTATTTTTCCTAACTTCAAGTATTTCTAAAATATTTTTTGTTTTCTTAATTAAATCTTCATTTTAGTGTTTCTACTTAGGTGTTTAAATTCCAACATTGTGCTTAAAATAGGAGTACAGTTATTTTACTGAAGAGGTTTAGCAGTGTTTTGTTTGACTTTGTAGGAAGAATTAATACCATGAGGTTTTAGACAAGTCATTTTAGCTCTCCAAAATAACAGTAAGGGGAAGCATTTGTGCTTGGCATATAGACCGTTGCACTTTTTACAATCTGATTTTATGGTACCCCTTTTTTCATGTCTAGCATAACGCTCCATCTTCAGGCTTTTGAACAAACGTGTCAGTAGCCTTAAATCAAGCTACCATGCTAAAATACATTACTGTGTCAGAGCGATTTGCAACTATTCATTTAATTGCATCCTATAAAATGAACCAGGAGGTGTAAGTTTACAAACATAACATCTGAGGTGCTGGTAAGATTAGAGCTACATAACACATGTAGTTTAAATTCTCAATATAAAGTCAGGAAGGGCTGTAATTTTAATATACTGCTGACAAGGGGCATCTGAGAATTAATGGGCATTCCCAATAGATATTTTCAGCATTAAAGGACATAATATAGCTTCAGTTTCATATATAATGCTTACTCCCTTACATATATATATATATTCATCTTTTGCCAGAGCATTAGAATATTCAACTAGTATATTGTCTCAATTAAGGAAATAATAAAATACTTTACTCATTAGGGTCATTCTTGGCCCCATGACTGTTTATTTACTATGTGGTTGAAGTTTCTTTGTTTTTGATTACTCTAACCCCCTCCTCCCAGAAGTTTCAATGAAGTTAATGAGATATGGCATGGCTAATTAAATATGAAGCCAACTTTCATTCAATGAAATATTTTGTTACTTGTTTTTTTAGTTGTACAATTATCTGTTTTCATAGGTCTTTCAAGCTAGTAAAAATTTCTCTTGTATGTGTGTGACCTTGAGACTGCCATTTATAAGCTGGATGACCTTGTTTTAATTTAACCTTTTAGTGTCTCTGTTTCCTTGTCTGTAAATCAGGGATGCTAATATAGCTATTGTGGCTATTCAGTTAATTTAATATATGTAAAGTATTTAAAATACATGAAAGTGCATGGCACATAGAAGCACACCATAGGGATTAGTTATTATTGTTATTAAATATTTGATTATACACTAGAAAGACTATAAATTATTAGCAATATACAATTTCTTCCATCAAAAAATCTACAATCTCAGTTAAGCATGATCAGATACATTAGCCTAACAAAAACAAAAAGTTAGATCTTATCCATAGTTGTCTATTTGGCTCTTTTTTATAGTAAGGTTTATATAAAGAAATTGGGTAGGTGTTTAAGTTGGAGGGGAGGGAGAAGTGATTGTTGGATAGGGAGTACAGGTGCTGAAAAATGCTCCATCTTTCAGTTGGCTTTAAAATCCGTGTGCTAATTTTCAGTTTGTATCAAGAGCATGAGGCAGGGCGTGGTGGCTCAACACCTGTAATCTCCTCACTTTTGGAGGACAAGGTGGGCAGATCACTTAAGGCCAGGAGATTGAGACCAGCCTGGTCAACATGACGAAACCTCATCTCTACTAAAAATACAAGAATTAGCCAGGCATGGTGGCATATGCCTGTTATCCCAGCTACTTGGGAGGCTTGAAAATTGCTTGAACGCAGGAGGTGGAGGTTGCTGTGAGCCAAAATTACACCGCTGCACTCCAGCCTGGGCGATAGAGCAAAACCCTGTCTCAAGAGCACGAGAACCCACTTACTTACCACCCAAACTCACCTCACCTATCTAATTTTATGACTTAGCCCTGTTTCCATCTCTCCTTAACAGACTTTCCCTGATTCTTCTTTACTCCCCACCTGCAGGTGGATCAGTAGGCAAAATCAGCAAGTGTTGTAAGGTCAATGAGGGTGGTGATCCAGGCAAGGGCTGCGTGAGTGGTATGTTAGGGCCAGAGTGGAGCGGGGAGAAAAGAGGTTGCTCTCTTTCCATACCCCCGTTTAAATTTATTAATTTTTAATTTTTAATTAATTAATTAATTTGAGACAGTGTCTTGCTCTGTTGCCCACGTTGGAGGGCAATGACTCCAGCTCAGCTCACTGTGACCTCTGCCTCCCAGGTTCTGGCGATTCTCATGCTTCAGCCTCCCAAGTAGCTGGGATTACAAGCTTAGGCTACCGCGCGGGACTAACTTTTTGTATTTTTAGTGGAGACGGGGTTTTGCTATGTTGACGAGGCTTGTTTCGAACCCCTGTGCTCAAGTGATCCACCCATCTTGGCCTCCCAAAGTGCTGGGATTACAAGCATGAGCCACTGCTAAAATTAGATAGGTGAGGTGAGTTTGGGTGGTAAGTAAGTGGGTTCTCGTGCTCTTGAGACAGGGTCTCGCTCTATCACGCCTGGACTCATATCCCCAATTAAATCACTGAACTTATCAAAATGTTTCTTCATATATTTTATAGTGATCTTAAATATATAACTTTTTTTGTGTGTATTTTCCAAGGCCTTACTCTTAGGGGGAAAAAAGGCAGAGAAATTACATAACTTTGCTTGCTAAACTTTAAAATACATTAATTAAGTAGAACTATCATTCAGAAAAGTAGAGAAATGAGTAGAAATAGCAATGGCTATTTAAAAGAAGTGTAGAAAAGCTTCCTGAATTAGGAAATGGGTTGCAATGTTCAAAAATATAAAGTGAGCCATAAAAACTTTTCTTCTATATATTAGAACACATGTTCTTTCACTAAGCTGGGAAAGATGAACTACAAGTAGATTTCCACAATAGTACGTATTGGGATATATTACATGTCAAACTGTGTCTCTACCATCATAAATACTGATATATTAACTTCAGGCCACTGTTCAAGGCACAGTGCGAGTGTAGGAGGGAGCCTGGGACACAGATGAAAGGGCTGAAAAGATAAGCTGTCCTGATCCTTACATTTGCTTTCCACCTTCCATTCTAAACTCATGGAGGCAACCAGGGAAGGGCAGGAGGTATACATACTAGAAGGTAGAAAATCAAGGTGAGATTTGGAGGACCTGGTCTTAAACTCTTAAATAAAATATATTAGGATATTTAGGCTGTTTAGCAGTTTGATCAGTTAACTAAGTAATTGTAGTGACATAAGTTACCAGTTTTGAGGACAGGTTAGGGAAGTTGTTGAGTGTGCACATACACATGTGCAATATTAGAGACATATTTTGCATTTAAAGGGGAAAGTATACATTAGCAAAAATATAAATCATGGAGAAATACACAAGCTATGCTATCAGCATAAGCAACACTGACCTAGATTCTTATTTTATTCTTCATATCCCAACAGCTGACATGAACACAAAATCCTATTCAAGGTCATTGGAAACTTTGAACTTGAGTTGGCTCTGGGAGGACATTAGAAAATGCAGTAATTGCCCCCTGAGTTCCAAAAATTTAGTAAGATTCAAAACTGATAAGTATTTTTTTAAAAATAAAATCTCAACTTATTATATCCTACCATTGGGCTATCCCAAAATTCATTTTTTATAAATTGAAACAGTGACTTTACAAAAAAGAATGGAACAAAGAGGCCGCAAGTAAGAGTTTGCTCTTTAAAATCCTTGAGAAGCTAATTTCCATGCCGAAGATAATGTTTCAAAGAGATTTCTTTTCAATGTGTTTTCTTAGGAGGGCAAGATTTCAAAGAAAATTAGCAAAGCAAGGTGACTGTGATGCTGCCATCTGGAGTTTTCAATTAGCATTTCTGACTAATAAAGTTTGGCAAAATTACTCACAAATATTTCCAGAGTTGAGAAATAATCTTGCGGCACTTTCTGTTCTTATTTTTAGGACATCAAGGCGTGTAAAATAACACAAAGAGGTTTGCAAAGTCCAGCTGAAGGGAGCCGGAGCGTCCTGTTTTTACCATCACGCTTCGTTGTTCACGTTGCTTGTGTGTAAAACAGGGTACAGTATTTAGAAACGGTGAAGGAAATGACTGGCCTAAAACTCTTGTGATTCAGTGACTCAAGGATGATTGACACTGTGTAAAAACAGGCACATTAGACCAAGAGATAATTTGAAACCTTATTATTGGGTATTGTTTTTAAAAATTAAACCTATAGACATGAATAAAATGAAAAACTTTATAAGCACAGCTTGTGGAACTGAAAAGGGCCTTAGAGACCATCACTTCCAACGGCCTCATTTTACAGGAGAGAAATCTGAGGACCAGGGAAACCAAGTGACTTTTCTGGGGTCACATGGAATGTCAACAGCAGAGCTGTGAAGGCGTTCAGGTCTGCTAACCTCCCGGCTATGCTCATTCATGGAGAGTGCTTCGAAGAGTGTTTGCAACATTTAGTCACAGTTTATCTTTGGTTAATTCCACATTTACTCCTATTTTTAATGTGTGTGAAAATGGCCCAGATTCATATGATTTGTTGCAGGTCAAACAGATATTAAGAAAAACTGCCAAGCTTGCACCGCTTATGTATAGTTATTTGTTGTGTATGTGCAAGTGTTTGTATGTGTGTGAGCACATAAGCATAATCTCTTTATCTACCATTCCTACATCCAAAAAGCTCTGAAAATTAAACTTTTTCATAAATTTGTGACAAATTCCAGTGGTGCAAAATCAAATCTAGTGTGAACTTATGTGAAGATATTTATAGACTTCACCTACACCAGCCAGTGTAACCCCTTATAGATTTCATTTTAGAAATAGTAATCTGTCTGATTATAGGGTACTACCCTAGATTATCTGAATATGATATGTAACATATGATACTTAACATAGGTTCTATATAATTGATTACATTTTAAAATCCTGAATAATTCTGAATTCTGTTCCCAGTAGTTTTGGATAAGTAATCGTAGACCTTCAATTAGTCCATAATGTAATTTCATTACATTAGTTTAGGCAGTTTTGGCTTATAACCATGCAACTCAGAAAATTCTTTACATATGTGATTCCCTTGGTTTCAAAATATGTGAAACCAGGGGGATTAAATGAGATAAACAAAGTGCTGTCTATGTGGTTATAAATATATAAAAATGAGGAGCTTAGTTTCATCACTACTATTTGTGGTCAGGAAGCCCAGGGTAAATTCAGTGTTTAGTTGTGACAAGTGCCTCATTCCAAGTTTCTGATAAAATCATCTGTCTCCTTTTCCTTTTCCTCCCCCTTTTTTGTAACTTTTACTTTATAGCCTTCTTTTATGTTTTTTTAAATTCTAAGCTGTATCAAATGTTAGCACATATGTGGGGAATGAATTAAAGATTTTCTACCACAAGTCTCACAGTAACTCTGTGTTCTGTTATTTAATCCATGGTGAAATTGAGGACTAATCAGTCAACTAATGTTTATAGTTTACAGTTCAGAATGTGTATGCTGAGTAGGCTAAGTAGGTTAGAGTTTACATGGATTTGGCCAAATTTGACATGATATATTCTTTCTTTTTATTGTAACCCTTATATTTAACCAAAGTCTAGATAAATGCAATGTCCTTATAATCTGTGTTCAGTCTCAACAACATCGACTGCTGAGCCCCACAGCACTGGATTTAGTCCCAGCTGGAGTTCCAGCTTGAAGGGCAAACTCATAACAGGGCCAGGTCTTTCCTTGTTTATAGGAAACTTCACCAATTGAAAATTTTGATCTGTCATATACTGTCAGGATAAATACACACACACACACACACACACACACACACACATATATATATACACACACACACACACACACACACACACCGCAGATGGGTGAGAATTGAACATCTTGAATTTTTCATTGTCCCTAGTCAGGATACTAAGAGTATATTTTGTAGATAAAAGTCATCCTTTTTGGTGTGCATTAGTCCCATCATAATATCACATGTGTTCCTAGTTATGTAAATTCAATTTTCAGATAATCAAGTTAAATGTAAGACATTTGCTTATTGCAATATATGCAGATCTCAGTGGAGGAGGGTGTTCCCTTCTTTTGTCAATAGTCCCTATAATATGGCAGTTACTTGGATTGTATTATTTAAAGGGCATGCATGATGTAATCCAACCCTGTCTTTTTACCACCAGATCAAACAGAAAATAGTAGGATCTAATGGAAAGATACAGGACTAAGAATCAGGTCTCATCTGGCTCTGTGACCTCAGACAAGCCAAAGCTTCTCTGGGCCCCGGTTTCTTCTTTTACAAAATGAAAGGGCTGTATTAGACTACCTTTAAACCTTGTTCAGCTCTAGAATGTTACAATTCTATGAGAATGACCATTAATAAGCTCATAGTCTGTTTTGGATCTTCACTGGGAGGAGAGCTCTAAGTATGGGACAGCTTTTCTTTGCTGGAGAATACACTTTTAAGCTTGAGACTCTGAAATGACTGGTGGAAAAGGGAGAGGCTTGCACCGGTTCAAGAGAGCCTTCTTTTCCCTAAGGACACGTGCTGTAGTCTTCTGACTGTTTAATGACGCAAGGGGAGGGGCGCGTCACAGCAGCTGAGCCTGTGGCTCTGACTTGGCAACTGACTCACTGGCGTCCTGGCTTCTGAACCTTGGAAGAGCCCATAGAAGCGGTAGTGCTGAGTCCAAGAGTATAGAGAAGTGGGCGGAGTGGACACTACCTGCTTTGTGGCAGAGCAAGCTCAGGTCTAGGAGAGGTGGTAACGGTGAGGCAGTGAGCATGGAGTCAGGTAAAAGAGGACCTTGTGAAGGAAGAGGATAATAAGCTTTGCATAAGCAATGCATGGAAAATGGACCCTGAATGATTAGACAGTAGACGCCTTTAAGGAAAAACTCATTTTGTGGATTACCTCAGATGTAATGGATATTCTTTACATCATACATAAAGATGAACTGTTTGATCTGTTTATCTACTACAGTCAGAGCACTAAGGTTTACTGAGTACTGTTGGCATATACTGTGGAAAGTGCTCTATATTCATTAGGTCTTTTAATCACATAACCATAGGAAGTAGGAATCATTATTCCCATTTTACAGATAAAGAGTCCGAGGTTTAGGTGACTTACATAATGCCCAATGACACACAGTGTTTCTTCTCTCCTGTGGAGACAGTTTGAATTCACTTTGGCTAAGTGAAACTGAAGGTAGCAGTCAGTGAAACCTGTCTCTTCATATGAGTGAAACCGAAGGTAGCAGCCAGTCAAATCTGGCTCTTTAGATATAGAGAGAAATTTAAATAATTTTTTAAAAAGTTTAACTCTCTCAGCTATGCTTGACTTCAGTACTCTGGTCTTACTAGGAACTGAACATTTTTATTTTAGTAGTCAGTCACTAAACATTGATTGTTTCTCCCCCTTTTCATTTCTGCTTAAGAATTCTAATCTACTCCCAAGGCAAATGGATACCTTTGGCCAATCAAAGAGAAGGTCAAGTAAAATGAAGTGTGCAATAAAGAAGCACATAAATATATTTCAGAAAAAAATGTAAGTTACAGTTTCTACTGTTGCTGGTCTTTGCTTTCGTCTGCCTTTTAACCCTTTCATGGCACGGTTATGAAGTCTCTTAGTTATCAAACTATGATCTTCAGGTCAAATCTGGCCATCTTATTTTGTATGGCCCATGAGCTAAGAATAATTTTTACAAATAAATATTTGCAATTTATTTGATGATAGGGAACTCTAACTTTTTTTTTTTTTGAGACAGGGTTTCACTCTGTCACCCAGGCTGTTGCCATGGTGTGATCATGGCTCACTGTAGCCTTGACCTCTTGGTGCTCAGGTGATCCTCCCAACTCAGCCTCCAGAATAGCTGGGACTGTAGGTGTGTGCTCCCACACCCAGCTAATTTTTCTATTTTTTATAGAGATAAGGTTTTGTCATGTTTCTCAGGCTGGTCTCAAACTCCTGGGCTCAAGCCATCCACCCAGCTTGGCCCTGCAAAGTGCTGGGGCTACAGGCGTGAACCACTGGGCCCAGTTAGAACTGTAACTTTAAACTCCTGATTAAGTGAATTTCATTCTTTTCATTAGTAGACCTGTATTCCAAAAGAATTGTACCGAATTGTTATAATCACTATATTTTGAATTTTACCAATAAAAATGTTGTGAAAATATATTTTCTTTCTTTTTATGTAAGTGTCTATGTACTATCCTTGATTTTGCTTCTTGGTCCACAAAGTCTAAAATATTAACCATCTGGCCCTTTAAAGAAAAAGTCTGTTGACCTCTCTCCTAAGGCATGAGGCTACAGTAAGAGATTTCTCTGTGCAAAAACATGCCCTGAAGAGGCAAACTCGGTAAGGTGAACAGAGGATACTTCCCTTCTCTTCCAATAATTGGCAAGAAACAGCCTTTGTTCCCAGAGAAATTTTAGAGAAACATGAAAACAAAACAGGTTTCAAAAGTCTCTATGCTTTTTTACCTTTCTTTAAACAACTTTCTTCTAAAAAACCTAACCAGGATTGTACAGACAGACATTCACTGGGCCGGTGCTCACACTATGCTAAGGAAGTTAATGTGTGCCCAGGCTAAATCATAGTTAGAAACAAATGCAGCCAGCCAAGTCAGGCATGATTCACGTCACTTAAGTACAAATAGCTTAAAGGGCACCTGAACTAATTCACAACTAATTAAACTCTTACATTTATTATCATCTAAATCTAAAACTTAGGTGATCTCTTTGGTGGGCTGTGATTTTTTCCTAATCACTATTAATATTTTTGACTTCAGTTAGCAATCATAATACTAGATGTACTTACTTTGATTTTTTAGAAATAACTCATATTTCCTTTCATTACTCCAAATGGTGAAATGTGTTTTGTTTTCACTTTTCACATCATACATTGATCCATTTAATATATAGGTTAGTATTTAATTGTGATAATAATTGGTCTTTACTTGATGAAGTAAATTTTTTTGTTTATCCCTTTTAGGTATCATTATAATTGTTTCATGGTTAATATTGTATGGGTTGGTGGCACTGGTTTGGTGCATAAATAATAATGGAATTACTTCATCTTTAAGTTTTTGAGATTTTTACTTAGTAAATACTTGTAAAAGTTTGATTTTTTTTTCCTGCTGGGATACTTATAAACCGTTTGTGATTTATATTTCATTTTTGCTTTTTATCATTTTACTTTCTGAACATCTGTTTGATTATAACAATAATGCTATAATACCATGTCAGTCACTCCAGATTTGGCTAGTGCTCTAATGCAGGTTGGGGATGCTTCCAATACTGCAGAGAATCTCCGTTAGAGGCGTGTCAGTGGATAAAGTTGTTAAGCCTGCTCTGACATTTCCCAAGAGCTCCTCAAGGTTCTGTGCTCCCAACCTACAGAGACTACAGTTTTGATCCAAGGGGAAAAATTGACTTAACTGGTACATTTACATTTTTATGATTGTGTCTCTAAAGCTTATTACCTTAATAATTCCTCCCATATGCCCACTGCTTTTCAGAGTCAGTGCAATGCCTATATTTTGTAATCAAGTTTTCCCTTTTAGATGCCTGTCATTTTTCATGGAATTCTGAAGCCTTCTACATTAGAGGAAGATTATGCATGAAAGGAACTGAGCACAGAGCATGACACATAATAAATGCTCATTAAATGGTAGCTGTTATTGCTTGACTTTATTTTGATTAAAATCCCTAGGTAGTTTTATAGAAATTTGTGGTACTATTTTTACATTGAAATTCAAAAGCCTGGTTATAAGACTAAATGCCTATGGTTGAGAAAATGCTATATTTCTTAGAACACCTGACTAGAGAAGTCACTAATATCACCCTAAGCACAAAAGAGAGAATTGTACTGATCACTGTATTGTAAGTCCTTTGTGGAGATATTCTTGACTGGGTCTATTCTATAACAAAAATAGGTTATTTTCAAAAAGCTACTTGATTAGAATACCTATTTTTGGTCCCAAAGTTCAGCTGCTGTGATACTGTGCATTTACGCTGCATGGGTTACTGTGTATTTATGCAGTATTAATTTTAAGGCATCTCTGTGGTGTTCCTGAAAGCTGCACAGAAAGGCCCAGAAGGAGGGGCATGCTTATTCTACATGAGAGAAACTTTTCTTAAATATTGGCCAACTATTGTGAAGTCAGGACTGGAATCCCTAAAAGCCAGAATCTCAGTTAACTTCTGTAAACCATGAGTTCCCTTGCCCTTTCATCAACGTCTGGACTGTAGTTACAATGTTTTAAAAAATCACAAATTATATCACAATTTAAAAAATGTATCCTGATTAATAACACTATTTCATTAACGAAGTTACAAGGTCAAATACAAAGTTACTTCCAAGGAGTATAAAGGGTTTGATGATCTCATCATTATCCTTATGGTATTGTTGTAGGACTTTGTCCTTAGTTGAGCTAAAGATGGGGTCCTTGTCACATGGCCATGAAATATTAGGCTCACAGACACTTTGAAGGGTGAGAAAAATGGAATTTATTGGGGGAAAAGGAAAAAAAAAGAGGAAACAGGGACCCTCAGCAGAGCGAGAGTCCTGCTAGTATATGCTTCCCGCCTCGGAGATCGAATCTGAGGCTCCACCCAGGAAGAGGAGGGGACACGCTCCTCCCGGCTGCAAACAGCTCATGCTTCTGTGGCTCCACCGCAGTAGGCACTCCTCCCAGTGCACAGACCGGTTGGAGTTTTTCCAGGAACCCCTTTACACTTGGCTGTCTCACTATCAAATGCCCTAGCAGATCAAACCCAAAGAATATTTGCTAAATTCATCTATTTTGGTAAATACTTGCTTCTCTTACTTTGTCTTCCAAATGTGGTATGGCTGTGTTTGAGTCCAGGGAATACCCAGCCAGGTAGTCCTCAAGAAAAAGTCCAGCGTAGTCCTCAACAAAAATATATCCAACAGGATCAGTTTTGTCTAGGTCCACAAGAAAAGCCCACAATCAGAGTAATTTACATGAAAATAAAAAAGAATGAATGGCCATAAACATCATCAGGAAAGTGCCATTGGAAATTCCCTTTGAGATAAGATTTTCGTTAGCCCAGCGATGATCCTGTTCAGTGAACAAGTGCTCTTCTGATCTTTTTGGCAACTCATAAACTGTTACAAGAACAAATAATACATGGGTGGCTTCGCACCCATCCCTGCCACATTACTGAATGCAAATTAGCTCAAGGCCTGTGGATTTCATATATTTCTCAAACCGTGTTTTCCTTTGGGAAGTCATTTTGTTCATTGAGGCAAGCACAGGACACCATTTATTCATTTAGCAAATACTTAGTTTGCTCTGTGTCAGACGCTGTGGTAATGGTTAAGACTACAGCAGTAAATAAGTCAGACAAAAATCCCTGTTTTCATGGAGTTTACACTCTAACTGGGGAGAGAACCAACCGTGTGATAAGTGCTATGATTGGGGAGGTGCGGGTTATCCTATGACCAAATTTGTAATTGAAAAAAGGATGTGAGTGGCTGATGACTGGATCCACATGTTGGGTGGCTTGCTCTTATGGGCACTGAATTTTCCTAAGGTTGTGTTTCTGCATGTGGATGGAGATAGACTGCCCAAGAGTTTGGTGAAAAGGGAGAAGTAATGGGAGGTTGGTAGATGATAGGAACCAGAAGAGGTAGCAAAACGCCACCGGTGTCATAAGAGCAGAGGAGGTTCCCAAGGACACTGACAGCACCTCCCAGCTCAGGTTGAGAGGGTGTATGGAGAAAGCTCTGCTCTTTTTTTCATTTTTCTTTTTTTTTTAGAGACAGAGTCTCACTCTGTTGCCCAGGATGGAGTACAGTGGTGTGATCATAGCTCACTGTAGCCTTGAACTTTTGGGCTCAAGGAGTCCTCCTGTTTCAGTCTCCCAAGTAGCTGAGACTACTTGTGTGCACCACTGCAGCTGGCTAGAAAGATGGTTTTTTGGGCAGGTTAGGAGTAAGAAGGAGTGTTTAGTGAGGAGGTTGGTAAAGTTTGTTAACCATTGAGAGGTGTCCCAAGGGGCCACCCATTGAAAGCATGGGAGGGAGAAGAGCAGTGGAAAGTTGGGTCAGTGGAGAAGCAGCAAAGAATATTTTGGGGTAAGTGTGCTGGGGTGGCAGATGACTAGAAGGGCTTACATCTTGAAGTGGGACTAAGGTTTGCAGGAATATAAGGCACAAGGACATGCAGACCTCTGGAATCACTGGGGAGTCTGTTGAATCGCACTTTTGAGGGACACTTAGCCTTATTTGGGGGACTCTCACTTCTTTAAAGGGTCAGCCAAGGACTGGATGAATTGTCTGTAGGCACCGTGCATGGCTAGCAGCCTCATCCATCTTACTTCATGTGATAAGGACTTTGAGAGCATTGAGGTTCCTCCATGATAGTGTGAAGGGTGGGGATGAAAGTTCATCAAATAATGTCTAAGCCTTGCTGATGCGGTGAAGTTCAATCTGAAAAGACCACCACGGCTTATGCTTTTCTTATTGTGCCTTTCTTCAAACTGGTTTAGGGGAATTTTACTAAATCACTTCAAGATTCTCTAAAAGAGTGATCTATTAAGAAATAATTAAGGGTGTAGGGGAGAGTCAGTAAAGCAAACACTGGGGAGAAGGAAGATATGGATAAAAAGCTGTGAAGGGAATAGGAAAATACTGGCAAAATCACCAGAAAGCTTGGAGAGTAGTAAGCAAACTGCAGGCTACTGTGATCAGTCATCTCCTGTGAAAAAGCACTTAAGGGTCTTCACATTGGTATCAAACTCCGGAGGAAACGGAGGATTAGGGCAAATCTGTTTAGTCCCAAAGCCTCCACACCCCTCCCCAACACTGCCTTTCAGGTTCATGTACCACATTTTGCACTGTCTTTAGAACATCCCTGGGAGTGCTGTCGGCACAAGCAGAATTTCTCAGGATTGCTTCAGTCTCTGTGTCCTGAGCTGAATTTTTTATGTTTCCATCCTTTCTTTCTTAGGTTTTTGTGAAAGGGAAGAAAGCATTCCCTGATACTCAATTGCTAGTGCCAATATTGGCATGTTGAGGTGAATGAAATCCTCCCTGGCACCGCTTTGCCCCTCCCCTCACCCCAGGACTTGACTTGGCCTTTCGGTGGTCTGCAAACCTCTCATCCAGCAGCCATGGGTGTGGCAGGCTACAAAGAAGTGACTGGATTTCCTGGGCAATTGTTTAAGGTATATGCATACTTACCAGTCAGCACATATTTTCTGGGCACAGTATTGATACTACTACTAATAGTGGTAATTACTTCTTACATGCTCCATGTGCAAGATGCTGTTCTAAGCATTTTACTACAATATAAGGCATATGAGGATAGTGCTTTTTGCCTGTTTTATTCACTGTTGTATCCCAAGTACTTAGAACTGTGCCTGGTACGCAGAGGCAATCAATAAATATTTTTTGAGTGAAATTATTTATTAACTTGTCACCACAATCATCTTATGTAGGTACTATTATTATCTCCATTTTACAGATGAGAAAACTGAGTGTTTCAGTGATTTGCTATGATTGCACAGCTAAAAAGTAGCAGAGTCAAGTTTTGAACCAGTGGGACAGTTGTTTTGCAAAAATGGCAAAGCAGTTTACATAATAATAACGAAAACAAATTTGTCTGAATGCAAAATGAAATGCACTTGGATAACCTCACTTTTGGATAACTGAGGATTGAATCATTTACCATATTCTTGGCACATACGAAGTTAACAAATAGCTGTAGTTGTTATTTTTTCTTTGTAAGTAACTTACATTTTCTACACTAACATCTTATGAATTGTTAGCTATTTTTTGGCCCTTAAGAACACACCTCATTTTGTTGGTCCAGATGGCATTTCTTGAGGCTGCCAAAAAAAAAAAACCACAAACAACGTAAAAATATTAACATCTAAATTTTAAGGGAAAAATAATAGCTCTTCTTCTGAAAACCAATAATTCAAATTCTGGAAGCCTAAAAATGTCAATCATCAGCAACATCACTTATTGGTCATCAGAGAGCTGTGTCCTTTTAAGGTATCATATTCCAAAACACGCACTTGATTTCCAAAAATGTAGAGAGTGAGAAATTCTATGATTTTCCATATTTAGAAAATTCCAAAAAGTACATCCCAGCAGATGTTATAAGTAGCATTTAAAAGATGAAGTAATTAAATGGTCCTTCTTTGTAGCAGAAATTAAAGATGAGTTTACTATGATCTTAGAAAGATGAAAGACTGGCAACTCCTTTCTGGCATCTCAGGTAACAATGTATCTTTCTAGGTACTCTTGCTGTCAGATTTATTTGTAGCCACTTAAAGGAATTAGTAAAATGGTTTAAATGAACATGGAAATACTCAAGAACAATCTGCAGTTCTTAGCTCTGGGATGTAGAGATGAGAAATACCTTCCCTGTCCTTCAAGTAACTCATAATATAGAAGGGAAAATGGAAAAGAAAGATGAACAGGAACATAAAACCCAAATTATAATAAAACACAATGCAGGCACTGCAGCTGCGGCAGGCATGGGATATGCACTCCTTCACTGGGGAGCATGCTTGAAGGTTTCCTGGTGGAGCTGTCACTTGAACTGAGTTTTGAAAGACACATCTAGGTATTTCTAGATGAGACAGCAAAAAGTACAAGGCAAGAGAGAAGAAAGTGGCAAGAACTCCAGTGTGCCTATAACAAAGACTGTGGAGGGAGTGAATCTGGAGAACTCATCGGGACCCACGTTGTGAAGGACTTTGCTTGGATGCAAGGAGATTACACTTTGCTCTAGGGAAAACTGAGAAAGAATCAAAGGTGAGAAGCAGGGGAGTGAAAAATTGAATTTGCATTTGTGGAGAGATAGTATATTGAACATCTGGCTGGATAATATCACATTGGTGCAAAAGTAATTGTGGTTTTTGCAATTACTTTCAATGGCAAAACTGCAATTACTTTTGCACCAACCTGATAGTCTGAGATATTAGCTGACGTTGTTTCTTTCTTTCTTCTTGCAATTCTCTTTCTCTACCGCTTGCCTGCCTTATGCTGCCAAATTCAGACCCCTGGCTCTGTGTTCATTGGCTTAGAGTTGCAGCAAGAAACAGGGTCACCAAAACCAGAGAGATTGTGTCTCTGAAACCTAAACACTTTATGGAGAGTTTTTCCACCAAAACTGGTGGAAAAGTAAAAGAAGGGATTTAAGATTTCTTTCAGACTAACGAGATTCTGACCCTGTATGAGTTAAGAATTTCTGTTTTGTGCTCTATGCATTTTCTCCCTTTCTCCGTTTCTAGAAGGTGGTCAGGATTTTGTGTTTCTTTGCCTAAGGGAGTTTGGGGTCTTAACATTTAAAAGCTGAGTTGCCAGAAGAAACAAATCTTTTCTGAGGGAGCCCTTATATTGTTAAGGGAAGGGGAGAGAAGAGAAGCAAGAGATTTTCCAACCTAGCAAAGGGAGTAGAAGTCTTTAGGATGAATGCAGACCTCACTCCATTCCCTTATACAGTAGTCCCCCCTTTATCTGTGGGGGATAAGTTCCAAGGCCCCTAGTGGGTGTCTGAAACCGTGGATAGTGCCACCTGTCTACACTATGTTTTTTTTTTCTATACATACCTACCTACGATAAAGTTTAATTTATAAATTAGGTACAGTAAGAGATGAACAACAGTAACTAATAAAATAGAAGAATTATAATGATATACTGTAATAAAAATTGTGTGCATGTGGCCTCTCTCTCTTTCTGTCTCAAAATATCTTGTTATACTATACTTAACCATTTTTCTTCTCGTGACTGTGCGAGGTGATAAAATGCTCACATGTTGAGAGGAAGTGAGCTGAATGACGTAGGCATTGTGACATAAATGGAAATTTTCAGAAATAAACAACTGTTAAGTTTTAAATTGCACACCATTCTGAGTACCAATGATGAAATCTTGCTCCACCCTGGTCTGTCCTGCACGGATTGCCATTAGTCACTTAGTAGCCATCTTGGGTGTAGATTCACTGTCATGGTATCACAGTACCTGCATTCAAGTCAACCTTATTTTACTTAATGATGCCCTCAAAGGGCAAGAGTAGTCACGTAATATTTTCAGACTGCACTTGACTGCAGGTAACTGAAACTGCAAAAAACAAAACCATGGATAAGGGGGACTATTGCAGTGCCCCAGGAAGCTGGCACCATTTAGGCTGAGCTCATGCTTCTGGGTCTACCAGTCTCAGCAAAGATCCCTATGCTTAGGGAGAACTCACTGGGCCACCAACCTTCAAGATATAGGGTTTTAATTGACATAAACCTTTTGGGACTGTCATATAATCCTGGAGAAAGAGAGTTGGGGAGACTAGAAGAAACTCAATAATAACCAAGAATAAAAATTTCTGCTCAGAGTTAGATTTAACTAGGCTTTAGAAAAAAATGATTTGACTTTTCATCCATCCTCAAGTTAGTAGATCAAAATTCACACCCATTGCACATTATAGAATCATTTATGTGGTGTGTTGAGGAGGAAGTACTAGAAAACATCTGAACTGGAGATAGGCAATTGGTTAGGAGGCTTATACCAAAAGTCAAACTAAGAATGACAAGAGTCTAAACTCAGGCAGGAGCTCTGGGACTGGGGCAAAGTTGGTGGACAGGAGAGATGCTCAGGAGGTGAAATTCAAAAGGGGAAGGGTTTCAGTCAGGGCCTAGTCAGGAGACGGAAGCCACACAGTGATTAAACAGGGAAAGTTTAATAATACAATCATATTAATCAGTAGCACAGGATTAAGTACTAAGAGGTAAAGAGAGCTAAAAAAAATAAAGGCATAGAAGACATGAGAAGGAGCCATTGCCCCTGAGAATGAGGCAGAACAGTCAAGGAAGGAACACATTTGGAAAAGCTCCTACCTACAAGGCTGAGATTCAGATCTTGATAGGGAGGATGTTTCTGTATCCACTGGTTGGTGAAGAGGTTTGCTGAGGTGTTGCAGCCTGAGGCTGGCAAGCAGGAAATCACCTGCTAGGATGCTGACCGCACCTGCCATCAAGCTGGCCTCTGGGTTCTGGTGAAATTTGTTGGGAGGCTACCTGTAGGGTTGCTGCTGAACATGCCAGGAAGCCACTTTCCAGCCCTTCTGGCTGGGAAGCTGGCTGTGGCACCAGTGGCACTGTCTGGGAAGCTGTCCATGGGGAGGCTGCTGAGCACCACTGTGTGTCCTTTATACTGGACAAGCACCACAGGAGCAAGAAGAGAGAAAAGAAAACTGGAACCAAGAAGAGAAGCCCCTTCCTTCTTCAGTCTCCACTTATCTTCACTGACAAAGCTTCACTTTGGGCTGGCTGGCAGAGGAGAAATATTTATAAGATCCAGCTCCAGGATCATCAGCAGGCAATGAAGGGTAGGTTTGGAGCTCAGAGGCAATAGATTGATAGCTGGTGTGCCATTGGGGGGCCTCTAAGGTGACTGCAGTGGTCTGAATGTTTATGTCCCTCCCAAATTCATAGGTTGAAATCCTAACCCTCAAAATCATGTTATCATGAAGCGAGGTTTTGGAAAGGTGATAATATCCCTCATGAATGAGATCACTGTCCGTATAAAAGAGGCCCCAGGGAGCTCCCTGTTCCTTCCATCATGTGAGAACACAGTGAGAAGGAGCCATCTATGCACCAGGAAATAGACCCTCACCAGACATGGAATCAGTTGGCCTCTTGATTGTAGACTTCCCAGTCTACAGAACTGTGAGAAATAAATTTTTGTTGTTTTTAAGCTACCTCATTCATTGTATTTTGTTATAGGAGCCAAAATGGACTAAAAATGATTTATAGGTTTTTAGCTTGAGTGACAGGATTTTGGGAAGAATTTGATGGATTTGGGTCACATTTTTTGAGTCCATAAGATTGCATGTAGAATGAAAATGGGACATGACTGATAAGGGAAACATGGGAATACCAATATTTTAAGGGTAGGTAAAAAAGACACCTCTGAAATAAATCAAGAGGAAGGAAAGTTCTAGGGGGTAAAGTTAGGAAGGAGTGGTGTTATGGAAGCCAATAGAAGAGAGATTTAAAGAGAGAAAGGAGTAGTGAATAGTGCGAAGTGCTGCAGAGAGGCCAAGTAAAACTAGGAACTGAAATTGCAATACAATTTAGGAGCTGGGAGATCACGTACAGAACCTTATTCCGTAAAGCACAAGTGTTAAAAGTGAATAAAGGAGTAAGAGGATTGGACCATGCAGGTTTAGCAAGTTATTGCTCTAAAGTTTTGTAAGATGAAGTGAGGTATAAGGTGCTATGACTATTTTCAGGGTGGGGGCTTGTTTTAGAGTTTGAAGAAAGGCATATAATACAAATAATTGTAATACAAGTATACTGCAGTGAACGTTGTATGAAACTACAAATGAAGTGTAATTGGAACATGAGGATGGAAGAGCTTATCTCAGGCAGAAGGCATCATAAGAGGTCTGTGGTAGGAGGATGCATTGAAGTAGGGCTTTGCAAGATAGGCAGAGTACAGGAGGCACAGAATAGAAAAACTGAAAACACTGAGGGGGAAAAGTATAGGACAGGTGGGATGATTGTGAAGTTTGACCTCTGTGTGATATGTCAAATGGCAAATATTCAGAGTACTATTGGAAGTGGAAGTGCAAAGAAAGGAATTTTTATATAACTGTTGACAATTTAACAAGTACTCTATAGACAATGCCTAGAAAGTCCAATGTATGCTGTCAGGACTTGACTAGCACTGTGTCTAGTGAGAGTGCTGAGGACAGTTACACGGGGGGCTGATTGGATGAATGAGAAACTGGGAAGAAATATGCCAAGTCAGGGGATTACTGAGGTGGTACTGGTCCAGCCCAGGAATCAAAAGCTTTAATTGGAGAGTAGCTGAGAAAATAGCTCAGAGGGGAGGTAAAGGTGTTCTGCAAATTAAGTGACAAGAAATAGTATTGAGATGTTGAAATCTAGCAGACAGGGAAGTATACGCATTAGTTTACACAGATTGCTTTAGAGATGATGATGCCAATTAGCAGAGATGGAGAAGAATATGGATAGTTTTGGCTTGGGCAGAGTTTTAGTTTTGGACAAACTAAGTAATCTTAGGAGATTAGAAAATTTTGATTCTCATCTCTCCCATCTTTCACACAGTGGCTACAATATACTGGGTGCTCAATATATGTGAGTCACTATGTGAAGAACTTGAAGAATAGGCTCTCATCTGGGTCTCAAGACTACTTCTGAGGTTCTTTCTGTTTTACATGTAAGGAAGTAGAACCTAAAAGAAGAAGTCGTATGATAGATATCCTATAGCCAGTAAGTGTCAGAGCCAGGATACAAGGCCAGGTTTCTCTGAATCCAGGCCCAGGCTTACCTAATACATATGGCTATACTTTTGTGTATGTTGTTCCCTTAATCAACTAACTTGTAATTCCTGGTGACCAGGAGTCACATCTTGTACTGCTTGATGCAAATCACTAAGCTCTCAAATCACTAAGTACTAGACTGTCTGCATTTAAGTATTCAATCAGAATCTGTTGAACAAGTGAATGCTGAAGTCCACTTAATGGTCTCTGAGGGGCTTGGAGAAGTCGAAACTCCCATATTTACCAAATAAATATGTTCTTGTACTTAAGAAAATACAGCTGCTTAACTCAGTTGGTTCGAGCGTGATATGAATGAGGCCAAGGTCATAGGTGTAATTCCCTTGTGGGCTGTTTCACTTGGGACACTTTTTATGCTCTCAATCTTAAATAGAGTTTCTGGCAAATGCAAATACATACAATTTTCCCCAAGGGAACCAGGGAAGAAAAGAAGAAAGAAAGAATCGGTGCCAATTCATCACTACTGCTGGAAAAACAACTTGAATAATATTACCTACTCCTGGTAGGTCACTGGTGTGCTTTATGTTTACATATGAAGAATTGTTCATAATTATGATGTGCTGTGCTTGAATTTGTTATACTAAAATACAAATTAGGACACGCACATTAAATAGAAGAGCATATATTAATTTAAACAAAACATTAAAATTATTTCTTGAAGACTTTATAGCAGAAGAAAATATCCTTGATTCTCTTAAAAATGAATTTGATTTATTCATAAGAATACCTTTACTAAATTAGGTGATATATTCCTGAAGAGTTCTCTAGTCATTGCGTTATAAGACATTTGCTTTTGGAAGAGAGAAAAGGAAGAAAGAAACTTAGCATATAATGTATTGTGCTGGAAAGGTTATGATGGTTCAGGACAGATGTTCCCTTAATATACAGCTTACTTTCTGTGTGATCCAGGATGATTTATTTAGTCTTTCTGTGCCTCAGTATTTTACCTGTTAGAATATCCTGTGGACCCTACAGGGTTGTTCTGAGGGTCTAGTGAAATGATCTGAGTGAAGCACTTCACACACAGGTGGTCTTTTAAAAAAAAGTTCCCTCCCCTCTTTATGTCTCAAAACACTTCCGAGTTTATTTCTCTGAATTGTAAGTGGTGTGAATAATTAGGAAAATTGTTGTGAAAAAAGTGGTATCATTTAAAAAATACCTGTGTTATGTTAACATCAAATATATCTTTTAAATGGTTGACATTTGTTCCCAAGAAATTTTTATTTTGGTTGGTTCTCCATATGGGCAATTTTTGTTTTAGAAATAAGAAAGTATAACTTCCTGTAATGATTTTGCCTTTCCTTTTGGCAAAGGTGAAT
Organism: Homo sapiens; assembly: GCF_000001405.40. NCBI lineage: Eukaryota > Metazoa > Chordata > Mammalia > Primates > Hominidae > Homo > Homo sapiens. The sequence goes on along the minus strand of NC_000007.14, from coordinate 116,617,060 downwards.
TTTAGTTTTTTTCTGATGTAATGTAAATGACATTGTAATGCAAACAGTAGGCTCTTTGAAGAACAATAACTTCTCAAAATGGGCTTTGGAATGCAGAGGTTTTCATGGCACTAGCTGCTGGAACAATCATCTTTGTGAGTCATTCTACAGAGTAGAGTGTAGTTCATCTCCTTATCTGTAAAGAATAGGCTTCAAGATCAGGCATTATGTGTCTGCTTGGGTCAACTACCCTCTGTGTAACACCAATATTGTTCTCTTCAGCAAACAGGCAAATTGGCATCTTTGGAAAATTAGATTAATTGCAAACTCCAAAGGAAAACGGATTGACTAATGCAAGACTCAGTGCTTGCCAAATAAGGTATTTGGAAACGTTCATAGAAAAGAAGGACTCAGCCCACATCAACCTCTGGGCACCCAACTCTTTTTCTTTCCAATGATTCCATTCTTCAGCACAGAGCTTACATTGTGCTGAGCCTCTGTCCTCTGAGTGGTATCTATTAATCTCTGTTACTCATATTCTCATTTTTCTGACTAATGTTGCTCTAAGAAAATTTAGCAGAGGAAAAAATAAAAATATAGCCTGTGAGGGGAGTGATAAGGACAAATATATGAAATAGATGGAAGAATCAGAAAAAAATTCAGAGTGGAAGCATTAAGATGAAGAATTTAGGCAGTACAATTTGTCATGAGTTGTATTAACCAATAAAGAAAATGAGAAGTTTGTGGATTAATATTTTAAACTCATATCCTGAATTAGAAGCCAGCAAATCAATGCCAGGAATGAGCACATGTACTCTCAATTAGCAGGAGGGGGAAAAAAAGTGAGTTAGTTAATCTGCTTTAGAACCTACCTTGGTTCAATTTTGCATTCTGATCAAACAATTTCAAACTAGTTGTCATTTACTCTTAAATTGCTGGTACAAGAGGTTTGCTGTAAATAGAAGTACTAATTGCACAGACTTGAGCCAAGCACACATACTGTATGCTGGGTATATTTGTCTTTTGCTGTATAGCTCTGCCAACGAACCTGCTCCTGCTGTTTCTACCCTTTCCATTCTTGGGCACAGCATACTCATTTACTAAGCTCTCTGGTGTGCATGTAGGTGTGAAGGTATGTGTGTGTGTGCATGTGGTATGTGTGTGTAGATTCTTATAAATAAATAATAGCATGAGCATTCAAAACAATTACCTTTCATTTGTTCTTGGGACTTCAAATCCCATTTCTCCAAATGGGGAAGCCTACTGTGCTAGCCTAATGAGCCACGGATGTCCTGTTGTCATTTTCACTCTTTCAAGATGGCTTTTGTCTCTCTTCAGTTTCACTACTTTCCATAAAAAGTACAAAGGGATTGGCTATTATATTGCTCTCTATTCCCACCTCTCTCAAGCTACTGCTTGTCACTGAGCAATAACTGAGAGAACTCTTTATGCGAACTAGATGGAATTACTGATAATCGGGGGTTGGGGGTCAGGTCTCAGGTTGGGGCAAGACTCAAAGCTGTGCTGAAACTGAAAAGGGCATAACCACCTAAATCTAACTGCATACATCCTTCCAGGAAATTCTTGGAATGTGAATTTTATAAGTTATGAAAGGAATTGTAAAGAAATGATTTACACATGCCGTATACCAATTGGCAGGAGATGATGTAGTGTTCTTTTCTTATTTCTTAAAAAATCCAGCTTACTAAAAATATTTTCATAATGTAGATTCACTGCAGATCGTCAAGGATGAGCAAGTACATGGATGAATTGACACTGAACCCTGTTTTGACAATTTCCAGGGGGAGGCATCCTCATGCCCGTTCCCTCCATCAGGGGAGAGGTTAAACTTCCAAAGCCAGTGCATTAGTGACTGTTTACCTCAAAAGTATTTTGTTTTATTATGACATGCAGTATTCATCACCTAGACAACCAGCTCCTTGGGAAGGGCGTGCCAATCAAAGAAAGTCAAGATAAAGCTCAGAAGTCAACATTGAAAGTACAGGATTCAAATCAAATTAAAGAAACACTACTGAGATTGCTAACCATTTGACTTGTCTATTGTGTAGGTCTCAGACACCAGGAAACATGACTTTGCAGATATTTCCTCCTTAAATGAACCATCTGTGTATTTACTGGGTCCAGAATTAGCGTCTTTCCAAGTTGTTAATAAACTGAAATCTTTGACGCTACCTTCATCATGTAAATGTATTGTTTTCTGTAGTCAACTCTAAGGTCACAGAGGAGACTCCTAACAAATGAATTCTGTCTGGACACAAAGGAAAAATCGGAATTGGCAGATACTCTCTCGGTTACTCCCTGGTTGCAGTTAATGAGCAGCCTGTTCGCCTGCAGCCTTTAGACAGGGAACAAGGGGCACAGCTTTTCCCACTTTATTGGTTACTGACTGGGAAAGAAGGATTCCACTAGCACTGCTTGGCTATCAAAGCTGGGCAATGTGATCCTCTAAGCCACATGTTTAGGTAAGTGCAATAGGTCTTTATACAATTTCCTTGTTTAATTGGAACTGTTTAGGTAATCCTTTTTCATGTCCCTGTCTCTACTCTAAATAAAGATGATCTTAGAGAATCAGAACTCTCCCCATCTAAACTTCACATGAAATTTGAACATGAACTCAGTCACTGGACATGGAAGGGATGGCTGGCATCCGTCCCATCAGAGGCACCACTATTTATTAAGGGTCTTCTGGCTTATGTATTTAGTTGCACTTGAGATGCCAGCATTTTGGGAAATTTGAAACTACAAAGGAGAAGGGCAGGGTTTTGTTTGTTTTTTTAAGCAGGTATTTCAGGAATACTGTGTTTCGTGACTCAAATCAGAAGTTAACTTTGAAAAGTAAAATTGCTTTCCCCCCAGCCATTCACATTTGTGATCAACGGATGCAGTTTTATCAGAACTATCATCTCTTAAAGGGAAGACTCTCTGTATAGACAAACACTCAAGAGATCGTCTGGGTTTCCCTTCATTTTGTAGAGTTGGTTTCACATTGATGTTCTTAAATGTCCAAACCCAGACTGTGTATAATTGAGTGAATTAGCAACCTGTACTTTTAACAAGTCAAAGCACTTAATTTTACTCCTTTTTATTCTTCCTTTCAAAGATTATAAATAATAATTTTCTAAATTACCTAGCACTTTTAAATAATCCCACTTAAAATCTTCATTCAGCTAGTAGTTCTTCCATTGCTATCCATTAGCTTTTAATACATAACATATTTTTTGCTCATCACCATGTACTGACATATAGAAAATACTTAATAGTTAAAAGTCTTTTCTACTTGCTCAGGTCCTATGACCTTTGTAGCATTTGACACAGTGAACAGCCACCCTCTGCTTATCCTACCATTATATTCTCCCTCCTGTGGTCGTGTAGACACTTGGCTCTTTCCTTAGTCTTCCTTTGTAATTCTTTCATTATTTTTTTCCGTTTTACTTATCTGCTGTACTTCTTTACTTGACACACAAGTCCACAGTGGAGGGGAGCAGTGAGGTGGAAGGTGCTGGATGGCCACAGAGCCTTATCAAAGTCCTTTCCGTGGTAGAGTGATCATTGCCTAGAGCCTTTTGGGATTAGGAATCTGATAACCTTAGCTTCAGAAATTGATCATACATTCTTTATCCTTATGGAAAATTTTACCAGAAATGGGTTCTTTCAGCTGGATTAAATTACATTCAATGGCAGTGAGATATAGAGGAGCCAAGGGAGCTGGATATTCCTGTCTTCTGGTCAATGCATTCTGTCTTTGAGGCAAGGGTAGGGAAGCCACGTTTTACCATTAGCAGGCTGCATAGTGAGCACGGGACAGGAAAATGAGGAGCAGCCTATGCAATTTATTTTCACAATAAGGATGTGTACTCTTTTTTAATTTTTAATTTTTTTTTTTTATTTTTTGAGACAGAGTTTTGCTCTTTTTGCCCAGGCTGGAGGGCAATGGCACGACCTCAGCTCACTGCAACCTCCGCCTCCCGGGTTCAAGAGATTCCCCTGCCTCAGCCTCCCAAGTAGCTGGGATTACAGGCATGCACCATCATGCCTGACTAATTTTTTGTATTTAGTAGAGACGGGGTTTCACCATGTTGGTCAGGCTGGTCTTGAACTCCTGACCCCAGGTGATCACCCTTCTCGGCCTCCCGAAGTGCCAGGATTACAGGCATGAGTACCATGCCCCGCCAGGATGTGTATTCTTGATATGAATTGGAAAGGGTGAGTTTTGAGGCCCGTGTTTCTTCTACCCATGGGTAGTGCTTGGAGCTTGGATGAGCACTGCCACTATTCACCTCTGCAATGTTCTTTCATCTCTGCTTCATTAGCTGATTCCCATGATGCCATGTCCTACTTTATGCCCCGCTTGCACCTTGCTCATATCCCCACACCCTCATTATTCCTTAAGAATGGTCTTTCTTTAGGGTGTAGTCGTATTTTAACGGGTATAGGGACTCTTCTATCCTCTGAGTGATCAGAAGCAGATTACATAAAGGATAATTAATTTAATTTGTGTAATTCTCACTTATATTTCCATGATTTCCAAAGAAAATAATGCTTACTGTAAGTACCCCTTTGCCTTCTTTCTTTGTGCTTTTTGTCAGGCAACGTTGTATGGTCAAAGGATTTTACAAAATTTCAGAGGCAGATCTCTCTGCCTCTGGGTGGCTATAGATTTGGGGCAAGTTATTTTTACTAATTGAGCTTCAGTTTTTCATTAACAAAATAGATCATAGTAATACCTATGCTTAAATGACTTCAGCAATGCGGCTCATTCCCAGGGTCTCATCTGTATCCATATTATTCTTCTTAGGTCCAGACTGGTTACCAGTTGCTTACTAGAAAACCTCACCTGATGTTTCACTAGCAAATTAAACTCAAAATGTTCTTAAAGTGAATCTTCTCTCCCTTTAACACCGTGATGCTTCTTCTCTGGAACAGAGTATTGGGTGTTGAGTGGGATTTATTTCAAAATTGTGATTCAGGCTCAAAGCTGCGAACAAAAAATGCTAAATATTGCCCACATTTTATTTATTTATTTTTTTGAGATGGAGTCTCATTCCATCGTGCAGGCTGGAGTGCAATGGTGCTATCTTGGCTCACTGCAACCTCCACCTCCCGGGTTCAAGCAATTCTCCTGCATCAGCTTCCTGAGTAGCTGAGTTTACAGGTGTGTGCCACCACGCCCAGATAATTTTTGTATTTTTAGTAGAGACGGGGTTTTGCCATGTTGGCCACACGGGTGTGGATCTCCTGACCTCAGGTGATCCACGGTCCTTGGCCTCCCAAAGTGCTGGGATTACAGGCATGAGCCACTGCGACAAGCCAATAACCCACATTTTAAATGCATGGAGCATACCATTAGGAGTTGGGCACTTTCCCTGAGGGTTTGATGAACTGTTTCAGTTGAGTCAGCTGTGTTCCAAGCCTTTCCCACCTCCCCAATTTTTCACTTGCCTCCATCTCTCTCCACCTTTTTTGCCATCCTTGTCCCAGCAGCAACAGGAAATTATAGAATTTGATTTGGAACCATTGAGTAAAAATACTTCTGCCTCCTCTGTCCTTCCTTGTCACCTTTAGACCAGAAGGGAAGCACTGGCAAAGGTGGGGTAGGTGTAGCAGTTGTGTGTGAAAGAGTTCAGGCCCCCAACCTCTACTCCAAGCTATTAGAACTGCAGGCCTAAGATGCGATTGTGAGAAAAGGGTGTTTGAAAGAGAGATTTAAATTCACGTGATACTGAGATTTCTAAATTACCAGGACTGAATTTAAGGAAACAGAATGAGATTGTTCTGAGAGTAAAAAACGTTAGAAGAAAGTCAGACACCAAAGGGAAAGAATGTGAAGCAACAGTGTCTTCAATACTTTGCTAGAGGGAAGTAAATTGATTAAGGATTTTGGGATTATTTTGTAATGTTGAAGATACTCAGACCCTATGAGCCAGCAATTCTACTCCTAGATATGTAGTCAAGATAAGCTCATAATTACACACACAGGCCACAGGTACAAAAATGTATCTAGCAACACTGTTTGTAGCAGTAAAAACAATGAAAAAAACATGATAACAGAAATGTTCATGGAAAAAAGAGAAAATGAATACATAAATAAATGACTGTGGATCACAAAATGAAATATTATACAGCAGTGAAAAATGAATGAACCATAGCTATATTCAAAAATAGGGATGAATAGTAATAATATGATATTGAGTTAAAAAATCCATCCCTAGAAGTTTATACATAAGTTGATCGCTTTGTCTTAAACCAACATTTGTGATCAATTATTATTTAAAATCAAGAGAATGATAAACATATTTTGGGGTAATTGTCATGGTAGGTAAGAGGACGCCAAAGATGGAATGGGGAGGCAAACATAGATAGATGTAAGTTTTTTTCACTATTCTAATTATTTGATTGGGTAATTGATTTATGAGTATTGATTATATTACTAATAAATGTAAAATAAATAAAAAGAGGGCCATGAATGATGCCAATATATAATGAAACATGTATGCTGCTTTATCCAATGTTGTGCTCTTGAAGTAAATGAAGAAAGTAAATAGAAAAAAAAGTTATGAAGTCAAATGGGGAGGAGATGATTGATGGAGCATAGCTGAAGGCAGTTACTGGAAAAAATTAAGCTGTTGTCCCAATAAGTTGAGGCTTCTCAATGAAATATTTCCCAATGCATGAAACTGCCATTCTCTCAATTGCCCCGATTTAAAACTGAGTCATCTTCTTTATCGCATTATCCAGTCCAGTGTTTTTAAACCACAGGTCATGACCCAGTAGATGAGGAAATTGGTTTAGTGGTTTAACCTCAGTTTTTAAGTAAAAAAAAGAAAGGGAATTAAACAATAGAAAACATTAGTGTGCATTACACATAGTAAGGGAAGCGTTTTTGTGAAATGTTTGTTTCACTGATGTATGCAAATGTGTATGTGTTGAATTATAATGTAATTAGAGGTTTGCCTTAGTCCATTTAGTTTTGCTAAAAAGGAATACCTGGGTCTCGGTAGTTTATAAAGAAAAAAGGGTTATTTGACTCACGTTTCTGTAGGCTGTACAAGAAGCATGGCACTGGTATCTGCTGGGCTTCTGGCGAGGATTTTTCTGCCGTGTCAAAACATGGTGGAGAAGGTCAAAGGTGAAGTGGGAATGTGGGAAGGGGGACTAAATAGCAGGAGGAAGTTTGCTTTATAACAATCCGCTCTCTTGGGAACTAATCCATTCTCTCAAGAACTAATTCCTTCTCGCCAGAAGGAGAACTCACTACTACAAGAACAGTGCTGAATCTTTATGAAGGATCTGCTCCCAGTTCTCAAAAACAAACACCTCCCACTAGGCCCAATCTGCCACTTTGGGGATCACGTTTGAACATGAGTTTTGGCGGGCATGAACAATCCATATCCAAACCATATCCAGATTACTTGTAAGGAAGTAGTTTTTGGTCACATATATAGGTCTGTCTGTATTGAATCTATTCCCTCCTTTCCTTCTTTCTGCCCCACCTGTAAGCAGGGTCTCCATTAATCCTCACCTGAGGATAATGTCCTTTTAACTGGCATCTTAATTCTAGCCTGACCTGTTTTCAAACTGCCACAATCCCTGGAAGAAGCTAGCTGAAACACCATTCTCATCATCACCTTTCTGCTCATAATCTTACATTTTCTATTGAAGTCAATAAAAACACCATCCCCCACTGTTAAAAACCCTCTGCAATATAGTCTGCAATATTGTCCAAACTTACTTTTTAAAACTTATCTACTGACACTCTTTCCGAAGCCTCTTTAAATACTTCACAGTTTCCTGTCATTCTTGCAGCACTTGTACATCTTACAGTAGTAATTTACATATATCTTGTCCTACCATTGGATTTCAAGCTCCTTGACATCAGTGCCTAGAATGGCACTTTGCATGTAGTTGCTGTCCAATACATATTTGTTCATGTGAGGAATGGAACTTGCAATATGGTCTTGGACTTCTTTCTATTTATTTTTAATACAAGAGCTTTTTTTAAAAAAATGTATACTGTAAGTTCTGGGGTACATGTGCAGAACATGCAGTTTTGTTACATAGGTATACACGTGCCATGGTGGTTTGCTGCACCCATCAACTCATCATCTACATTAGGTATTTCTCCTAATGCTATCCCTCCCCTAACTCCTCACCCCCTGACAGGCCCCGGTGTACGATGTTCCCCTCCCTGTGTCCATGTGTTCTCATTGTTCAACTCCCACTTATGAGTGAGAACATGCGGTGTTTGATTTTCTGTTCTAATACAAGAACATTTATAGCAGCTTTAATAATAACCAAACATAAGCCAGATATCCATCAATAGGAGAATGTATAAACAAACCGTGGTACATTCATACAATGAAATGCTTCTCAGTAGCAAAATGGAGTAAACAATATATGCAACAACATGGATGAGTCTCAAATACATTATGCTGGATGAAAGAAGCCAGACACAAAGAGTCCATATGGTAGGATTCTATATTTATGAGTTTATTGAATAAGCAAAGCTAATCTATGGAGGAGAAGAAATCATATCAGTGGTTCTTCTTAGGGAGTGGTGAGACAAGGATTGACTGAGAAATAACTTGGGAGAACTCTGGGGTAATGTAAATATCCTATTGGTAAAGTTCAGGTCACACAGATGAATGCACTTATCAAAACTCATTGACTATTGCATTTAAGATTTGGTGATTTCATTGTATAAAATTATCCTCAAAAAGATCTATAAATGTATATTAAATTCTAATTAGTAATGCATATTCTGAAGTACTTAGGAAGGAGGGTATTAATGTCGACAATTGACTTTGAAATGCATCAAAAAGGCCAAGCATGGTGGCTCATGCCTGTAATTCCAGCACTTTGGCAGGCCAAGGCGGGCAGATCACCTGAGTTCGGGAGTTCGAGACCAGCCTGGCCAACCTGGAGAAACCCTGTCTCTACTAAAAATACAAAAGTAGCCGGGCGTGGTGGCACATGCCTGTAATCTCAGCTACTTGGGAGGCTGAGGCAGGAGAATTGCCTGAACCTGGGAGATGGAGGTTGTGGTGAGCCAAGATCACACCATTGCACTCCAGCCTGGGCGATAAGAGCAAAACTCTATCTCAAAAAAAAAAAAAAAAAAAAAAGCATCAAAAAGTAAGATGGCTGATAGATGAGTAGAAGGATACATGGGGTGAAGAGAGAACAGATAAAGTACGTGTAAGAAAATGTTAATGACAGAATCTAGGTTATATGGGTGTCAACCCATAACAATTTTCAAATTTTCTGTAGTTTGAAAATTTTTATAATGAAATGTTGGGTGGAAGAAGACAGGTAGAACAATTTAAATTGCCTCCTGATTTATGATTCCTGATGAGTAATTGATTTTTTCTCTCTCTGTGATGAAAAAGTCAGTCTTCCCTTATGGCTCCAGGGATGACTGGAGGATGGGATATAAGGAAAGTCCTTTCAGAGAGTTAGGGGGTAGCAGGAGTTTGACTAAGACAAAGAGGGGAATGGGTGGGAGGCAGATGGTGGGAGCGTGGGGGAATATACCAGTCAGGGTTCACCCAGAGAAACAGAACCAGTAGGAGATATATAATAAGAGATTTACCACAAGGAATTGACTCAGGCAATTATGGGGGCGGGTAGGCAAGTCTGAAATCAGTAGGGCAGGTCTTTGGGAAAGGAAGGCTGAAAGCTCTCAAGCAGGAGCTGAAACTGCAGTCTATGGGCAGAATTTCTTTTTCTTTGGTCTTAGATTTCTTAATGACCCTAATTTTGAGTTAATTATTGGGAGCAGTAGGAAATCTTTAAATGAGTTTGCACTATTATAAATTCTCAAATTTGCCTTTATAGAATTATATTAAATGGCTTGAATGCAAATGTCATCTGACTTTTCCCAATTATTGATAATTCACATTATATATAGCTAAAGTTATTAAAAGTGAGAAAAACTAAACATTTTTATAATTAAGGTTATACTCACATAGGGAAAATATAGAATTAAGACAAAATTAGAAAAAAAATACAAGCACTAGAATATTTTAGGTGACATAGCATTTATATTGATGAATTTGTTTCTTTTTACCTTATCCTGATTGATTATTTGATTAAGTTATTTAAAATTCACTTTCCTTATTTTTCCTTAGGAAAACAGCTAAGATTTTCCATTTTACAGCTATTACAAATGACTCCAACTTTTTTTTTTTTCTCAGCAAACCATAATAGAATAGTGAAATCACATAAAATAGAGAATCCAGAACCCATGTTAGTCTGTGGTTTGGACTTTTCCAATCAAACAACTAAGGAAAATTGAGCAGAATAATTTGAGCTAGATCTTCTCTTGCACAACTTACCCAAACTCAGTGGTTGAGATGAAAAGCAGCAAAATGGCTGAAATGCAGCCAAAGGAAAAAGATTTCAGAAAAACAAGGTCCTGGAAAAATCTATGATTTGGATTATCAATTCCTGAATCACCAAGAATTGGCTGTATTGAAACCCTATCAATTTTTAGTTTTAAAAAATTAACCATATTGTCTACTTGTTTTTATAAATCAGTTCTAGTCATTTTAAGTAAGATTTTGCAGTTTACGTGGTGAAGTTTCAAAGGATTTTTATTTTGGTTTATATAAAAATTTTCTGAATGGTTTCTGGGCACCAGGTTTTTCAGTTAGATAAGAAATTATTTAGCTACCCAGTCTTTGTTGTGTCTTTGAAGAAAAATAAACATTATTGAAGTCTTTGGCAGGTATTTTTATGCAGACATTAAAATTTTTTCCAATTCTGTTTTATAGGCCAGCTATAAGTCAAGCTATTTCACCTAATGAAATTTGCTTTGATCAGACGAGGCCAATCATCCTTCAAAGCATTGTTGTGTTTTGAGATGCAAGCAAGCACCTAATAAATTGTGGGTGCTGCAGTAGCAACAGATCAAAATAGAGGATGATGTTTCATTAGATCATAATACCTGACAAAGAATGACTGCGAATCAATGGGGGAGAGCCGTTACTACGTGGGTCAGAGTAGGCGGAAGGCCCACTTTCTCCTTCCTCTCCTTCATTCCCTTCCTCTTTCTCTCCTTTCTTCTATCCCTTTCTTCTTTTCTCCCCTCCTTAATTTGTTTCCCAGTTTTGCCAAAGTATTTTAGATTACAGAATAATGACTTAAGCCCAAATATTCCTCATCTTTCACTAGGCTTTTACAGTGCTAAGTATTACAGGGGGTTATAGGACAATAAGTCAGTAAACGGAACACTTTAAAAATAAATAATACATTTTAAGGTTTATAGAAAGCCTTTCATAACAACCCCCAAATAAATATGTATTTTTTTCTCTTGAGAAAAGGGTCTTCAAATAAGCTTTTTCAAAAGATGCAGATTCCTCATAGAAAATTTAAAATGTGGCTTTTGTAGTAAACTGTACAGATGGTACCTTAGAATGGTTTGACTTAACATTTTTTGACTTTACAAATGGAAGGAAAGCAGCATGCATTCAGTGGAAAGCGTTCTTTGAGTACCCATGCAACCATTCTGTTTTTCACTTTTGGTACAGTATTAAATCAATTACACACGATATTCAACACTTTATTATAAAATAGGTTTTGTGTTAGATCATTTTGCCTGACTGTGGGCTAGTGTGTGTTCTGAGCAGGTTTAAAGTAGGCTAGGCTAAGCTATGATGTTACGTGGATTAGGTGTATTACACGCATTTTCGACTTAAAGATATTTTTAATTTACAATGGGTTTATTGGGATGCAAACCCACAGAGGAGCATATGTTTATTTTCTCATTCCAAATAATGTCAAAGCCAGGTGCGGTGGCTCATGCTGTAGTCTCAGCATGTTGGGAGGCCGTAGCGGGCAGATCACCTGAGGTCAAGAGTTCAAGACCAGCCTGACCAACATGGTAAAACCCCAACATGGTAAAATTACAAAAACTAGCCAGGCATGGTGGCATACACCTGTAATCCCAGCTACTTGGGAGGCTGAGGCAGGAGAATTGCTTGAACCTGAGGGGCAGAGGTTGCAGTGAGCCGAGATCACACCACTGCACTCCAGCCTGGGAGACAGAGCTGGACTCCATCTCAAAAAAAAAAAAAAAAAAAAAAAAAAAACCCCATAAAGAAAAACATAAGAAAACATTTAAAAAGGTTAAATGATTGGGGAAAACTCATATTTTATATCATCAGTAGGAATTTTCTATGTTTCTTTTTTCTGATTACCAGAAATACAGATTACCTCACAAATTACAGACCAAACTCCTACTTAGAGCTACCCATCTCTGCCTCTGAGCTTGATTCAGCCAATTAATTCGCCATTATTTTTTGTTTCCAACAACCAATTCTTTTTCAACAACAACCAATTCTCTAACTCTCTGACACCAATTGGGTGTCCTACAATTCAATGCAATTCTGATGCTAACTACCTGGATCTAGTACAGACCCCACAAGTTAAGGGCTCAGTCCCATGCTCAATCCCTCACTCTCCACACTAGCTGCAAATGGGGCCCCAGGCTACCTACACTTTTGCCTAACTCATTACAAATTTGAGGGTTCCCACGACCGCCCCTCTCAGGTTCTATAATTCACTAGGATGATTCACACAACTCAGGAAAGCACTATACGTATAATTACAGTTATATTCTATAGGGTACAACTCAAGAACAGCAAAGTGGAAGAGATATATAGGGTGAGGTACGGAGGGTAGTGATGGTGGTGGTGGTATATCTCTGCTGATGGTACCACCCTGTCAATACATTGGTCTGTTCCCTGAATCTCATTTTTCAACAGTTTTTATCAATATTTCATTATGTTGATTAAATCACTGGTCTCTCTGATTGAACTCATCTCAGCCCCTTCCCTTCCCCACAGGTGGAGAAGTGGGGCTGGAAGCTCCAACCTAATTATGTGCTTGGTAGTATTTGATGATTCTGGAAACCATCTCCCATCCTAAGCTATCTAAGGACCCCAACACGAGTCACCTTATTAGCATAAACTCAAGTGTGGTAGAAAGGGGCTGTTTATGAGTAACAAAAGACACTCCTATCACCCAGGAAATTCCAAAGGTTTTAGGATCTCTGTGCCAGGAACTGGGGACAAAGATCAAAAATTCCTTTTTTTGTTATACCACAGGCAGGCACTCTGATGTAGGGTCCTGGTGTTATTTTCTATCTTAAATGTTAAGGCCTATTCCCTTAACTGGCACCACTTGCGATCAGTTCCATGTATTTACAGGAAACAAGGTTAAAATGGCCTGAGACACAAGGTCACTGTGAGGAGCAGACGTGATACCAGTACTTTCCTCAAAGGGTTCTTCTGAGTATTAATGAGCTATACATGTGAATTGCTCAGAACAGTGTCTGGCAGATAGTGACTGCTATATGTGCAGGCTATTATTATTATTTTTGTTGTTATTAGTATCATCACCACCGTCTTCATTTTGCACAGGAGAATACTGAAGCTTAGAGAGGTGAGATGACTTCTGTAAGGCCTCCACAGCCCTTAAATACCTGAAGCCAAGGTATAAACTCTACTTCCTAGATAAGAATTGGACATGACACTTTTAAGAGCTAGATTTGATTTGGGGGCCTCATTTTGGCCATGTTCTAATCAGCCGTAGAAACCTACATTGCATAGCACTTATTAGGCATGACATGCAGAGAGCTATCTAATAAATGCCTCTTGATGATGATTATGATGGGCTGTTACAGCTGCTCTCTGTGCGTACGATGCATTGAAGTAGCATAATCACTGTGTCTGTAGCTCGGAAATGGAACAAGAATTTTCCTGCATCACCTATTAGAGTCTTATAGTATAATGTAACTTGGACTGTGATGAAAATGAGTCTGTGGTGTAGTAATTTAATGGGATAGTTACACTGGAAGCCAAGTTCCGTTTTAGTTGCCTTAAATTTTACCTTTATTGTCTTATTGCTTTTTGCATCTGAGCTTGGCAGTTAATGGTCTCTGTAATAAATTCAAAGAGAGTTTAGAACAATGGAGGCTGAATTTTCCTTTTTTGTGTCTACGTAAGACATGACATTATTATTTGGGTTTTGCCCTAGCATTTTAAAAATCAACTTGATGCTTTTATCTTTCTGGCTATATAATTAATAATTTGTTAATTAAAATGTGGATTGGGTGCTGATAGCAGATAGCAATTTACACTTAAGAATTTGAACTGGGCCAGACGCAGTGGCTCATGCCTGTAATCCCAGCACTTTGGGAGGCTGGGGCGGGCAGATCCCTTCAGGTCAGGAGTTCGAGACCAGCCTGGCCAACATAGTGAAACCTCATATCTACTAAAAATATAAAATTTAGCTAGGCATGGTGGCAGTTGCCTGTAATCCCATTTACTCAGGAGGCTGAAGGGAGAATCACTTGAACCCAGAAGGCAGAGGTTGCAGTGAGCTGAGATGACACCACTGCACTCTGGCCTGAGTCACAGAGCAAGACTCTGTCTCAAAAAATAAAAAATAAAAGAATTTGAACTGAAGTCCCCAGCTCTGTTTCCCGTTTTGTTGCTACTTCTCTTTACCAACTTGTTAAAATTAGAAAAATACAAGTAAGTGAGAGACCCATATCTGCAACCTCTTATTTTGTTATGATTAAACTGAACTTCAAGCTCATTGCAAGTGTTGAAAAATGGAAGTGGCCTTGGAAACATTTTTGCCTGATTAAGAATGCTTTAAAACTACCACTCTGGTCAAGATAAATTGAAGAAAAGATATTCATTATGCTTGTGCTAAAAATCACAGCAGAGCTGTGTTCAGCCTGCAAACTTCTACCTCTTGCTTCAATCCTTTGCTTGATTTCTTTTATGCACAGTAGTACATAGAGTTGGAAGGAGCATCTTGGTGCATACAGCCTCCTTCTGTCTGCTTTGATACCATCTCCAGACCTCTGAGAAGATCTGGGTAGCATCTTTCTAGTTTCTAGATCTAGATAACTTCAAATGCCCCTCCCACTTTCCTTACTCTCTCCCTTCTCTCCATCTTCTCTCTGTCACTCAGGGAAAATGCAGTAGACATTCCAGTTTCTTTTTTATCATCACCTCAAATATTGACAAAATAATAGTCCCAGTTAAAGAAAAAAGCTATGATACAATTTACCGAAAGTAAAGACAGTTGTAGCCTTTGTCTCAGGTTACCTTTAACGCACTCCATTCGCAGTAAAATCACTGCAACGTTTTGTCTTTATTGGACTTCTACTTGTAAATAATTGATGAAAAATTACCTGCTAAGCATGAAACAAAGTGTTCAAAATGTTTAGAATTCATTGGGAGAAAGATGCTCTATAAATCAAATCAGTCATTGCTACTACAGGTAACATAATTCTGAAACTGAAAGTTGGTCCAACCACTGAAGGTGGCATTAAACCTCCATTACCTCAAGAGACAATTACTAAGCAGCCATCACACGCACCGGGGCCCTGGAAGTGTCACTGTGGGTGGCATGAGGAACCATAAACATAATCTCTGCTCTGAAGGGCTTAGCTGGGGAGACACAAGAAAGCTTTAATCATAACACATAAATCATGCAAGAATTAACATGAAGATGCCAAAAATGTTCTAAGTAGGGTACAAGATTTACTGGAGGCAGGCAGAGACTGAAGGCAGGCAGAGACTGGAAAATACCTTAAGCAAAAAATATTAGTGAGAACACGAGTTTCAAAAGCTACAATTTTTCTGTGTCAGCCAAGGTACATGGTTGCAAGCACCTCTGTTCACCATGAACAGAAGGAAGTTCACTGGATGAGAAGGGTGGGTGTTGTAAAATTTAAGATGTGTTTTTATGATGCCAGTCTGCGTGGATGGTCTGTAGCTTTTATCTTTAGGGCTATCATTTTGTCAATATTTGAGGGATGTATCAACTTGCAGAATAACACAGGACTAAAGGGGCAGGCTTGGAGAGGAAGAAACATAGGAATTTGGAGGTCTGTGTTGAAAAAAACCATAGTGTACTGAACAAGTTTATCTATCTATCTATTATCTATCTATCTATCTATCTATCTATCATCTATCATCTATCTATCTATCTATCTATGTATCATCTATTATCTATCTATCTATCATCTATCTATCTATCTATCTATCTATCTATCTATCTATCTATCTATCTATCATCTATCATCTATCTATTGATTTATTTTAAGGAATTGACAAACAATTGTGGAGGTTGGCAATTCCAAAATCTGAGGAGTAGGTAAACTGGAAGACTAGAGACCCTGGGAAGAGTTGATGTTACAGCTTGAATCTGAAGGCAGTCTGCTGGAAGAATCCCCTCTTTCTTGTAGAAGGTGAGTGTTTTCTCTATTAAGGCCTTCAACGGGTTGGGTGAAGCCCATCCACATTGTGGAGGGTAATCTGTTGTACTCAAAGTCTACTATCTTAAATGTTAATCTCATCTAAAAAATACGTTTACAGGCTGGGTGTGGCAGCTCACACTTGTAATCTTAGCATTTTGGGAGACTGAGGTGGGTGGATTACCTGAGGTCAGGAGTTCAAGACCAGCCTGGCCAACATGGCAAAACCCTGTCTCTACTAAAAATACAACAAAAACAAAAACAAAAACAAAAACAACAACAACAAAAAAACATTAGCCAGGCATGGTGGCAGGCACCTGTAACCCTAGCTACCTGGGAGGCTGAGGTAGGAGAATCACTAGAACCCTGGGGGATAGAGGTTACAGTGAGCTGAGATCGCACCATTGCACTCTAGCCTGGGTGACAGAGTGAGACTCTGTCTCAAAATATATATATATATATGTTCACAGAAACATCTAGAATAATTTTTATCCAAATATCTGGGTACCATGGCCCAGCCAAGTTGACACATACAGTTAACCCTCACTCATCGCAAGGTCCTCTTTGCAAGCCTGGGCTGGTTCGCCTGCCATCATTGACACCTGTGGGAAATCTGTCCATCAAGAATCAAAGTCCTGACTGGCCACATCTCAGTTATATGCCCACTTCCCCGCTACAGCTGGGTGAGGAGACAGAGGCTCTAGTCCTTTGGTTTTCATAGTTGGAGACTGGCAATATCTCCACCAGGAGGCTTCCTTTGAAGGGAGACAAGGTTGCTCAGGAAAAGGAAGGTGGAGTTCTGGACAGATGAAAAGCAAATGTCCACGCCACTTCCTTTCTTTGTGACCATATATTGCAAAAGTTCCTTATGTCTAAGCTATTTCTTCATTGAATCCTCCAGGCTGCAGATCTTGCTACTTATTTACTTGTTTATCATTTAACTATCTGTGCTAGAAGGTAAGTTTAATGTGGGTAAGGATCTTGTTTCTTTCGTTTATCGCCATTGTCTGCAGTTCCTAGAATCATGCCTCACACATAGTAGGTGTTCAGTATATATTTTCTTCATAGATAAGTACATGAATAAGTGTTTGACTATGGACAGTAGACAGTATGTAAATAAATATATAGATTAAATTTCCTGCCAGGCTTTAACTGCTTGCTACTATGATTTGAAAAATGATAAAAATGAGGCTATCAAAAAATTTCATACTTAGGTTTTTACTTGACAGAACCAAGAGATTTAGCAGTAGAAGTTCATTCATAACCATAAATACACACACACACACACACACACACACACACACACACACAAACCACCTGTGACATATAATACACAGATACATGTTAAACAAACAAGAATTTTCTGGTTTTATTTTTAAAATGTAGGTCTTTATGATGAGCAAGTTATGCATGTTTCTTTGCTTACACTTTATAGATTAATCTTTTCCACTATTTGGACAGTTTCTCATCTCTGCACTGTTATCTGTATAAAGGGGGCTATTTATTAAAAGTTCTGAATATAATCGAGACCTAAGAGAAAACTGTTTTGGCTTCATAAGAAATGAAAAACATCAGTAAGGTACCGATAAAGCGTTTTCCAGATGATCAGTGTTTTTCACTAAAGAAATGTTTTTCTATTTTCCATGGCAGAGAATTCCACATCCAAATGTTCCACTGTTGTCAGTAAAGGTTTCCCAGCCCAGAATGAACAATACTCAGTTAACAATAACCCAGTCATGTGTATATTGAGTTCTCAGCCAAAAATTATAATGTGAGAGACTCTTGCACTTGGATGATGTATGTGGCAGAATGCATTTGCCAGCATTTTGATGCTGTTTGCTGAGAATGACCAAAACCCTTGCTTTCAGGGTTTTCAGTCTCCTGGCCCCCCTGTTGAATTTCTCCCAGGTTATCTGTTGCTACATGACAAGTCACACCAAACCGACTGGGAGTGAAACAGCAGCCGTCTTATTGTTCTCACTGGTTCTGTGGGTCAGGAATTCAGACAGAGCACAAGCAGGGATGACTTCTCTATTCTTAGGTTTCTGGGACCTCAGCTAGGAAGACTCAAAAAGCCGAAGGTGGCTGGAAGGACTAGGGAATTGGAATCATCTGGAAGATCCACGTCTAGGGCTGGTAACATCTGAAAGGTCCATAGCTGGGGCTAGAACCATCCAAAGGGTTCACATTTGAGGACTGGAACCATCAGGGAGGCTTATGTGTGGGTTCATGGCTGGAATCCCCCAGACGGTCCACAAGTGGACCCTGGCCTAGGCTGACTGAGAGGCTGGACTGTGGACCACAGTGCCTCCTCGTGGCCTCTCCGTGTGCTTGGGCTTCTCCCAGCATGCTGGCTGGGTTTCCAGAGCGTTCCACATTCTGAACCTCAGAGAATCATTTTCTTTGAGAAACATGACATAGTGGAATCAGACATGGGTTTGAATCTCCACTGTCCACTAATTTGTTTAAAGAACTTGTGTGTGTTTTTTCTTTTCTCCTTCTCCTCCTCTTCCTTCTTGGTTAAAAACTTCTGTGTACTTCCTTTTTTTTTATATGTGTAAGGAGAATCTGGCAAAAAGGAAGGTAAACTTTTTTCCCCTACTGTAAGATGAACTATTAACTGTTTGGGAATAGCGTAGGTAATTTTGCTTAAGGAGCCCAGAAAACTTCTGGGAGGGCAGGGACAAAGAGTACTCACTGCCCAGTGAAATTTCCATCTTCCTACGATTCTAAGTTAGAAAACCTATCAGGGTGGACCACTGTTGCCTTGAGAAAGGCCTAGCGACAGGCGTAAATGATATGACTCCTAAAATAACATAATGATGAGTGTAGAAAGAGAGGAGCAGTGGGCTGGTCGCAACAACTGGTTGGGGAGCACGTTTTTGCCTTGGCAAAATTTCTACATGAACCACTTGAAAGGGCTGTAAGGTCGAGCTGGGATACTTGGGCTTGGACCCACTTTGACCAAACTTTGTGCTAGGGGAGAAGAGAGCAGATACCTTCTGCTCTTCCTTGACAGAGCTTGAGGATGGGGTGTATAGTTGTGGCAGAAATATAACTGTGGATAAAACAGGGCTGATGCTCTCTAGCCGTGGAAGAGCAGCTCTTCCAGCTGCCCGCTTTCTGGTTGTTCAGTGGCCTGCCACTTTCGAGGCACTACCAGGAGCACTGGCTAGCTCTGGAGCAGCATGCTTCTGGTATCAGTTATGAGATTTCCCCACGTGCTTCTGGCATCAGTTATGAGATTTCCCAGCCTTGAAATGGCACTTCTATGTTGTAGCTCCAGGAAAATCAATAGGTCTGGGCCTTTAAATATTTTAGATACTAGCAGAAAACTTTGAGCGTCTCAGGGAAGGGAGACTGAGGTTGGATGGAAAGTGACAGGTGGTGTTAGAGTCACGTGCTGGGGACCCTCCAACTTCCATAGGAAACTGCACGGATGGAAAGCAGAACAAAAATACCAACCTTACCTGTTGTTGTAAGGACTAAATAATACAAATAAATACGTATGTAAAGCGCCTAGCATAGAACTTGGCCTGTGTAAGGATCTCAATTAATATTATGTTCCTTTTCCATCCTTTTCCCTTTCTCATCTCTCCCTTCTTCCTTATGGGGGAAAGATCTCTGGGATCAGACAGACCTGGTTTTTGAACTCTGGTTCTTTTATTTGGTAGTTGTGAACTTGGGCCAGTCTCTTAACCTTTCTGAGGCTTAGTTTGGTCATTAGTGAATAGTTTAAAAATAGTTTTTTCATTTGTTTAGTAAAATTAAAATACAGCTTTAAAATGGAATAAAATAACATTTCCATCCCTTTTCTAAATCTTTCTCTTATCTTCTCTTTTCTACACAGAACAAAAATCCATGGTTGTTTTGTAGTTCCAGTTTCCAGGGGAATTTCACATACATTCTCCTCTACCTTTCCTGATTGGCACTGTCCTTGACAAGCACTTCTTTGGGACGCCTATGTTTCCTAGACTGAATTCCCCCAAATCTTCTTGACTGAACACCCAAGAGGCCATACTCACTTCCTTCCTTGATCCAGGAAAAAAAATCAGCTCCTGTCAATTTTGGAATGCATCCATTTGAGGCCCACTCTGCCTTTGTGTTCATCATTTAACTTCTACCTCAGAGGAACTAGATAAGCTACATGATTAAACTTAGGTATTTCACCTAGATGGCCAAGGTATATTACCTTCAGGGACACTAAAACAATTACCTATCCTACATGAAGCACCCAAGTTCTCAGCATATGTCATGGGTAGCGTTAATTGGGTGACCAGGAGCTGAAGGGGTCCCTGTGGTGAAAGCACATAAGCACAAAAGCTCAGTCTAGCCTTAGTGTATACCTGGCCCCAAACCCAACACTCAAGCATTTCCTTGAACTAGGAGCAACTCCACTCCAGAATCAGTGCCCCATACTGGTAGAAATTCCACTCTGATGTTCAAATTCTCTATCTGAAACCCTTGAGTAGTTGTAGGGATTTCCATAGCTACCCTGCCATTGGATCAGGTTTGTTTCATATCATGTAATTGATACTAATGGGAAATCAACCTGGTGCCTTCATTCTAACTCCCTCCCGAATGCTATTCTCCTGAGATAGAGCAAATTACTGACTTTTCCAAGCAGTTCCTCTTCCTTTTATTTTGTTGTTGACCTCAAGGAAGAGTCTTCTAAGTATTCAAATGAAAAGTTGTGGTGCACAGAATATATTACAATGGCATTGATATGGCAGACACTGCCTTGCATGTGAATAGATGATTTTATTATCTGAGACTATTATCTAGATTCCTCTTATAATGACAGAGCTCAAATAAAGGAAAGACAAACTTTACACACACACACACACACACACACACACACACACACACACACACACACCCCTTGGACAGAAACCAGCAGGTGGGAAGAAACCTGCCCACTCTCTCCAGTTCCTTCTTATTCTACCATTATGAATTGAAGAAGGCTTTCCCACTGACACAAGGGGCACATGCTTTGAGGTCAATACCCCCACTTCAGGGTGTTCTGGAACTCCCATGTGTTAGTAATAATGATTAGCAGAAGGTAATTTAGGACTAAATGGCTCTGTGATTTTTAACTCTCCAAAGGGAATTAGAACAGTAATACCCAGGTGATATTGATTAATAGATTGCCAACCCCTGAAAGATAAGTTTCAGGTGGTATCTGCATATTTTGTCCTTTGTCTGGATCTCAGGAAAATAAACAGGGAGACATTGGACAAGAGAATCAGGAATTTAAAAGGTACTGACAGCCCTGATGAGCCAAGTCTTTTCAGATGAAAGGAGATGGTCATAAATGTAAAAATCTGTACTTGGGCTCAAAAACCCAATTCTAAGGGGATTGAATTGGGAAGACGTATCTTAGCAATGGCGTGTGCGAGGAAGTCTTTTGTGTCAAAAGGATGATAACGTTGTAGCTATGTAGAAAGTAAATAGCAGAAGGGAATGGTTCCGATTTACCCTGAATTGGTCACATGATACCTGTGATACCTGTGATACTCATCACAAACTCAGAGAAGCACAGGGACAGGCAAGTTGCAGCCAGCTCGGAAGAGAGTGACTAAGATGTTGACAGGGCTTGGTATCATGTCATGAAAACAGTCAAATAAACTAACGTAGCTTGGGCTGGAAAGGGAAGACGCACGCACATGTTAGTGTCCCAGTTGAGAGGCTGTTAATATGGAGGTTTAATTTGAGTTGTTTTGCTTGGCCTCACATGGGTGATAATGAACAATGCATAGGGCTTCAGGGCAATAGATACTTGGTTTACTTTAAGAAAGAGTGTTTCCTAACGAGATCATGAATGGTCTGAGATGTGGTCAATTTTCTGACATTGTCAAATTTTGTCTTGAAATTGGCCATAGTGGGAGTATTTACACCGGGAACCAGTGGCAAACACTACTTATCAGGGCTTTTTGTACTCTCTGGAGAGCTGGTTCTTAAACATTTACCAGTGGAACCATTTTAAAATATAGATATACTTTTATATGAACTGCAGTAAAACCAATTGAGCTGAAAAGCCAATTAGAGTAGGCATTTAGGCCTAGGAAGTGTGGTGAGACTAATGAGTTCTAAGCTTCCATTGAAGCTGGAAATCCTGAATATATGCTTCTAACATTTACATGTCTAATTTAATATTTGTTTGTTACTGGTAAGACACAATCATCATGATGAGGAAGGCCCAAACCCATTTTTGCATATGAGATTTAAATGTAGATCTGGGTAATTTAGTAGTTTGGAATAGGTAATGGAATTGCATTTTACTGTGGTCGTTCTGAGTTCCAGTTCTTTCCATCCACTAAGGAGTGGTACAGGAGTGTGCTGGAACTCCTCACAAATGCAGGTGAGAGCTGAGAGTTGACTTTGCACATCTTTTCCCAACTTTGCCTTCAGAGACTTCACATCGGCAGCTTCAAATTGGCCGTAGTGGGCTGGGCATGGTGGCTCACGCCTGTAATCCCAGCACTTTGGTAGGCTGAAGGGAGCAGATCACCTCAGGTCAAGAGTTCAAGACCAGCCTGGCCAACATGGTGAAGCCCTGTCTCTACTAAAAATACAGAAATTAGCCAGGCATGGTGGTGGGCTCCTGTAATCCCAGCTACTCAGGAGGCTGAGGCAGAGAATCACTTGAACTCGGGAGGCGAGTGTTAAAGTGAGCAGAGATCACACCACTGCACTCCAGCCTAGGCAACAGAATGAGACTCTGTCTCAAAAAAATAAATAAATAATTTAAAAAAAGAAATTGGCCACAGTGGGAGGGAGTATTCACACCATGAACTAGTGATAAACACTACAGATCAGGGCTTTTTGTACTCTCTGGAGAGCTGGTTGTTAAACATTTACCAGTGGAATCATTTTAAAATGTAGATATACTTTAATATGAACTGCAGTATATAAAACAGATAGAAGAAGAATGAAGCTAGCAGAACGTGCCCTAAGCCATACTCACTTAGCTTCCTCCCTTGCCACTGCATGTCCTTGCCCCTTGAAAGGCTCTGAGGCACCTCTGCAGCACCCTGTAACACCATGGGATTTAAAACCTCCGGAAAAATAATCCTTTCAGCTCACGCCGGGACTGTATTCTTTTAACTGGTATTTCCCTTTTCCTAGATTTGGGAATACAGACATAAAACAGCAGGGTTTCCCTCAGTTTTATGAGATTGTTTTTCAATAGAATGCCAGAGGGATCAGTTTGAGAACATTGGAAATCTGATTCCTCTAAATACAAGAAAAAATGGTCATAGGAAACAGTGAGTTTCCTCACTTTGTCAATGCTCTTGAAGCAATTGTGAGTTTTCTCTTGTTGAGATGCAAGGCCAGCCCTGGGTGAAGCCAGAAGTTTATGCGTTATAAGGGCACCCCAGACCTTTCCATTAGCATATTACCTTTCTTTCTTGGTTAGACTAGGAACCTGATGCTCCGAGGGAGTAAGATTTGGTGGAATGTTGTAAAGTATTCGGGGGTAGGAGGTAAGAAAAGGAAACTTTATATGATCCACAGATTTTTGGATAGGTTCCTAAAAAAAGGGTGTTGGGGGATTAAAAAGTGGCTGCCTGAGAGGACACTTTGTCTACTTGCTTTTTTGAACTGCAAGGCCTGTTCCGTGAAGTGCCTGAAAATGGCTATAGGAGGATCACAGAGGCTGTCAGGCAGCCGGAACGTAAGTCCAGGCAGCTTGTGTGAAAATCTTGAGGTAACCCTGATGTTTCCAGGGGCCCCCAGTGTTCCTAAGCTGGAGAATAGGAGCATGAATGCCATGACTGCTGCAAAACTTATCAAGCAAAATCGACAATTGTCACTGCTTGTGGAATTCCCTTTCTGTTAAAAATGAACGTGATTTCATGGGCACATATTTTGGTGTAATATTTTCATGGGAATTCTTCTTGTGCTCTGAATTCTGATTTCTTTTAATCTTACCCTTCCCATTTTCCCCAGAATGACAATGGATTCATTTTCCCTTCAAGGTCTTCTAAATCTATCACCTCTTTCCTTGACTTTGTCGCCTGATTTCCCTTCTATAAAGTTCTCTTCTTCAGAGGGAGGGGCAGAGTCACGGCTGGCTAGATTGCGGTCCTTATCTCTGCCCACACTCCTTCCTGTTCCCTTCTCTTGCCAAGCTTCCCTCTTCACTCTGCCCTTAGCTCCAGACCTGGCTTTGGGCTATGAGCCTGTTCTGCCGTGTGTCCCTCAAGCCAGTCCCGTCTCCTGATCAGCAGTGCCCCAGATTCGCTCTTTCCTCCGACTAAACCCATCCCCTTATCTCCCTCCTCTTCAACCTGCTACGTTGCTTGACAATACAGGGGTTAAATCTTTATTTCTTGCCTTTCATTTGCATCCTTTCCTTAAATTATCTAAGGCAAAGACTTTTTAATATTTGTACTGGAGCTGTGTCACAGTAGCGATGTTAAGCACACATCAGAAGATGAAGTATAATGCCACTTTAAGTCTCTTTAAGAGACTTAAGAGGTTAAGGAGAATTGAACATTTTGGCTTCTTCTCAAATGCAGAGAACAATTAAAAGTGTCCCCAAATAATTAACAGAAATTAATTTAGACTTATGAAAAATAAATATTATTCTCTTCTTAGAAGAAAATCAGAAGAGATCAGAAGCAGGGACTTAACTGATTATATAGCTTCAGTTCCTGAGGACGACCAAGTCAATCAAAATTATCATGCCATGCCATTTTGCAATGGATTTAATTATTTCTAATCAAATAATGGATTTATTTGCAATGGATTTGATTATTTTTAATCAAGCAGAAAATCTCCGAGTTCATCAGGTTTAGCTTTTCAAATCTGATGATCTGACACCTAGTGTTAATTTTGAGTACTGCTAAATATTTCACATAAAGTATACAGTACATTGAGTCTCCGTTTTTTATTCCTTTTCGTTTCTTCATATAACTTGAGAGATGTAGTCAGGTTACCATATAGTCTCAGGATAGATGTAGCTTACTTACTGGTGTTCAGAATGCGCAATGCGACCTGAAGTCAGGAAGCTGGGTCCTATCGTTGTGGGCCAACTGTTCCTATGACCTTGGGCAAGTTACTTTCCTCTTTTAGTCTGTGTGCCCTCAGTGGTAAGATGAGAATGACGGAACATATGGAATATATGATTTATCTCTAGGTCTTTTCCAATTCTGGAACCCTGTGTGTTATCTTTTTAAAGCAATAGTTATGTATGCCAGCTCTATTTTGAAGCTTGGAATATGTTCACCCAATAAACCAGAAAATGAAACAGTTGTTACTTGGAGGTGTATGGCTATTCTTTCACTATGTGAAATTCCTTCAAAACATGTTATAACAAAGAATTGAGACAAGATTTTGATGATTTTTAGTAACGCCATCTAATGGAGCTTTGGTTATCATAAAAATATTCTAGCTCTGTGCCGTCCACTCCTTAACCACTAGCCACATGTGGCTACTGAGCACTTGAAATGTAGCTAGTGAGACTGAAGAACTAAATTTTAATTTTGTCTAATGAAAGATTCATTTAAATGTAAGTAGCCACATGTGTCTAGAGGCTGCAGTCTTAGATAATATAGATTTATAGTGTATGGAAACATGAAAATTTCTTGATGAATTTGGGGGTGGTATTCACCAATATACTTAATTTACTTTCTTTACTGATTGGCTGTATATTAATCTTGTTATTTCACATTGACCATTTCCATTTTTGCCTGAATTCACCATACAAGTGCTTTGGGATTGATTCCATAATTGTGTTTTCTCTCAGGGTTTCAGCTATGTAGGTCTGGTTTAATTGAATTTAAATAAAGATGCTTTTTCTAGTTCACAAACAAAGATTGAAACATGCAAAACATTGAGAACATGCTGTCATGCTTAGTAAGATAAATTTCAAAGCCTAACCCCTGCAGTTATTTTTCTAAGCTAATTCTCTGTATTTGAGAGTTCAGGTTTAAACAAAAGCTAGGAGTGTCATGAGATATAAAAATATGTTATTTCCTATTTGTTATGGTGTCTAAAAAAGATAAAATACTTAGACAATTTCCTTAAATTTTATTTAACTTAACAAGTTAGCTTTCTTGTTAATGGGTACCAAAACATAGTTAGATAGGAAGAATAAGTTCTAGTGTTTAATAGCAGAGTAGGGTGACTATAGTTAACAATAATTTATTGTATATTTCAAAATAGCTAGAAGATTTGGAATATTCCCAACACAGAGAAATAATAAGTGTTTGAGTGATAGATATCCCAATTGCCCTGATTTTATCATTACACATTGTATGCATTTATCAAAGTTTCACATGTACCCCAGAAATATGTATGGTCATTATGTATCAATAAAAAATTTAGCTTTCTTAAAATACAGACTTTCTTTTTTTTTTCTTTGTTAAAAGGATAATGGTCTCATTCAAGGATTTTAATAGAAACCTCATCCCAGTTGACTAATTCCAAATTATTTATCATTCGCTATGTTTTCTTGTGTGCTCTTGCAGCTAAAATAAACTCCACTCATTTAACTCTTTCATTAGCATATACTCTGTCGTGATTTCTTCTGTTGCCTTCATTGAAGAGACTAATTCCTTCTGATAAACAACTTCTCTAACACACACACACACACACACCCCTCTAAGACTTAAGGCTTAAGGCGACTGGGAGCAATTTATTACATTGTTGTTGAAAGCATCTTTCTTAGTACGATGCATATGCATGGAAGGGAGGTCTGGCCTAAAATAAGTAAAATGACATGTGATTTATAAAGGTTGGGTGTAATATCTATAATTAATTTTATCTTTTTTACACCTAAGCCCACTCTGCCCCCAAACTTCTGCCTTATTATCAAATTACTGTGCAAAAAAAGAATATCACTCCCATATGTACGTCAAATATTCAGAACTAGTTACTTTGTACATTTTAAAATGTAAAATCCATATGGTTTTCTACCATCCAATTAAGGGATAACCCTTATGTATCCAGAAGAAAAACAGGTAGAAATGTCACCTAAGTAAGTGTTTAATAGTATTATACAAAAATAATTAATATGTTAAATAATGGCCACAACACACTATAAAACCCTGCACTGCCTTCTGAAATGAATATTAAATTTTATTTATGAGAAGTTCAGCATTGTGGATGTGATTGAGTTAAATTTCTTAAAAACTGCTGAAGTTCTGTAACTGTACATGATAGTATGCTCATAATTTTTTTCAGAATATATGATTAGACAGAATATCCTAAGGGAAGTCTCATATACCTACTTTAATTCCACCACCTGAAGGACAATATGAGTTGCCTCTTCTCCCTGGTCGTATTAAGGAACCACAATTTGAAAATGATTTTATCAGCATGAATGCTGTGATTCTGCATTCATTAGAGTGACAAACATTACTCTGCAGATGAAAATACAAATTCTTTAGTAACAAGAAATTCCAGACAGGAATATTGTTGTGCCTGCATATTATACTTATTTATTCCATTAATCTATCCAGATACTTATCTTTTTTCTAAAGAGTAATGTCATTAGTATTGTCTTCTACAGAGTCTTCAGTGATTAAATACACTTATTTCTATGCAGCTTAGTTTTATATCATAAATGTCCAGTAGATGGCAGTGCATGCACTAGAATTCACAGAATATCCTCTCAAACCCTAACCACAGCTATTTTTTAAATCTGCATTTTGGAAACATTGATAAGGTCTCACACAATAAGATTAAAAGTCAGCATTAAGCACTGGCTTCTTATTTTTAGCCTCAGACAACCAATGGAAATGAAACCTGTATCTACATGTTTTATTTCATTGTGTTTGAACAAGATTTTGGCACAATAAAAAAAAAGGGAAATCATTAACTTAAAACATCCTCAAACCCTGAAATGATAAATGCAATAAACCAATATTCTGTAAGTTTTCTTGAATTGTCAGAGGGGGGCAGACTGGAGGGTGTGATTTGCGGATAGGATGCTGCCCTTTAATATGAGTAGCAAAGTCCTGGATAATGCTTGTCCTAGAAACTGTCCTTGTGTGTTGAAGACATAACTTGTAGATGATGTAGGGAGGGTTATTGTTAAATACTGAAAAGTGGCTGTCATACAGGCTTCCAGTCTGATTTGTCAACGTGAAAAACTTGGAGGGCAGTGGGGAGGCTTCGGGAGGGAGGGAGGGAGGGAGAGAGAGAGAATTGATTTTGTTTTCCCCTAAAGGAGAGGAAGTGTCCAGGGAAGCTCTGCCTTTGTGGTTTTTCTTGTGTGCCTCAAAACACTTAGGCAAGATAAAGAACCTCTCTCACTCTACTGGGTAGTAGAGAGGAAGAATCATTGTTTCCAAGAGTCGATGCACTGAGAGCATCCACTAGGCGTTTTGTCAGGCCAGAAATAAGCAAGTGCTAGGCAGCAGGATGTGGTGAGGCCACTGGGTCAGGGGAAGGTTGGGGAGAGCCTGCTCATAATGAAATGACTGGGAATGTACCAGCTGAAGTCCCTGACTCTGTTTGAAACCAGGATGCATACAGCATGGTGTAAAAGAGCATGGAGTACAAACACAGGGAGAGTGAGAGGAGATTAAGCAAGTGTAAGCCAAATCTCCACACCCACACTCACTGGACCCTGAATGCTCTTCTCCTCCTCTAGTTTTCACAAGGCCATCATCTTCTTGGTCTTCAGGTCTCAGACTTACAGTAAATATTTCTCCAATAAGTGAATGAATGGATGATAATGCAGAGAAAATTAACATTCCAATCCCAAGAGTTTGAACGTACAAAAGAGGCAGGAACTACTGCCACGATAATGGTAGCAGGAGGAGAGAGCTCCTCTGTGGGGAGGGTGGCTCTGTGTCCCACTGTACAGAGGCACGGTAGTCAGGATGAGAACCTAAGAAGAGCTCAAGACAACCTTACTTCTGGGTGAAGACTCAAAAGAATTGAAATCAGGGCCTTGAAGAGATATCTGTACCCTCGTGTTCATAGCAGCATTATTCACAACAGCCAGAAGGGGAAAGCCACCCAAATGTCCGTGGATGAATGAATGAATAAACAACATGCAGTATATACATAGAATGGAATATTAGCCTCTAAAAGGACATATGTATTAGTCTGTTTTCACGCTGCTGATAAAGACATACCCAAGACTGGACTGGGCAATTTACAAAAGAAAGAGATTTGCTGCACCCATCAACCCATCATCTAAGTTTTAAACCCTGCATGCATTAGGTATTTGTCCTAATGCTCTCCCTTGCCCCCCACCCTCAACAGGCCCCGGTGTGCAATGTTCCCCTCCCTGTGTCCATGTTTTCTCATGGTTCAGCTCCCACTTATAAGTGAGAACATGCGTTGTTTGGTTTTCTGTTCCTGTGTAAGTTTGCAGAGAATTATGGTTTCCAGCTTCATCCATGTCCCCACAAAGGACATGAACTCATCCTTTTTTATGGCTGCCTAGTATTCCATGGTACATATATGCTATATTTTCTTTATCCAGTCAATTATTGATGGGCATTTGGGTTGGTTCCAACTCTGTGCTATTGTATATAGTGCTGCAATAAACATACATGTGCATGTATACCTATGTAACAAACCTGCACGTTCTGCACATGTATCCCAGAAGTTAAAGTAAAATAAAAAAAAAGAAAAGGCAATTAGAACCAAAAAAAAAAAAAAAAGAAAGAGGTTTAATAGGCTTACAGTTCCACGTGGCTAGGGAGGCCTCATAATCGCGGTGGAAGGTGAAAGGTACTTCTTACATGGCTGCGGCAAGAGCAAGCTTGTGTAGGAGAACTCTCCCTTGTAGAACCATCAGATCTCACGAGACTTACTCACTATCGTGAGAATAGTACAGGAAAGACCTGCCGCTATGATTTAATTACCTCCCACTGGGCCCCTCCCACGACACGTAGAAATTGTGGGAGTTACAATTCAAGATGAGATTTCGGTGGGGACAGAGCCAAACCATATCAATATATATTCTGATACATGCTACGACATGGGTGAACCTTGAGGACATTGTGCTAAGTGAAATAAGCCAGTCACAAAAAGACAAATACTGCTTGATTCCACTTGTATGAGGTATCTAGGGTAGATAAGCTTATAGAAACAGAAATTAGAATGGCGACTGCTAGGGACTCAGAAGAAAGAAATGGGGAATTGTCCAATGAATAGAGTTTCAGTTTTGAAAGATTAAAAAGGTTCTGGAAATTGCTTAACAATGTGAATATACTTTACTAACTGTACACTTAACATGGTTGAGAAGGTAAATATGTTATGTGTATATTTACCACAATTAAAAAAATGTTAAACAGGAAAAAAGAGGTCAAGAGTAGATCATGCAGGGCAGAGTACGTTAGCCAGCATCTCTTTGGGGCTGAGGTTTCTTCCTATATAGTTCAGCTTTGTTTAAGTCTTAGGGATTTATGCATTTTTAGCTCAACACTCGTGCCACCTATGCTAACTGGGCCTTGACCTTACAATACTGCCATCTTGCCAGTTTTGTTAACGGAGGTGCTGCATCTCTTAAAAGGCGCTGGCCTGTTGCCTGTAGGGCTGGGGTCCTGCCTTGTTCTTGCAGTTCCTTTTCTTCTTTCACTTTATCCTTGTGTAGCGGTGGAGTCTAACCTCGAGACCCTGACTTCCTGTTCATTGACTTTCCTAAAGATAACCCCTGCCTGCACTGATTTCCTGGACTATCTGTTCCAATTACAGTGACCAGCTGCCCTGGATTACTGAGGCTGTCCTGATTTTAGCTCTCCAAGTCCTGTAACCTGGGAAATACCTCAGTCCTGGGGCAGTTTAGGGCAGTGGGTCACCCTCTCTGTTACCACCCTCTGTCAGTGTTTCCTCGGTGTTTGACCCTTCAAGTCCTGTCCAGGGGCCCTCAGTGGCAAGGGTGATCCTGGCCAGGGTGCCAACTACACAGCCTGGAGTACTAGGCTGTCCCCAGAGCATACCTAGAGCAACTGATACAGGCAGGGAGGATGAGGAAAAGCTAAGGATGTGGAAGGCATTGAAATTCAAACATGGGAAGTCAAGAAGAGGAAACTCGGTGCTAAGAACTAACATTTAAGAACTGTGCTGATATTTTTATGTGAATGAACTCATTTAATCCTTGCAATCTTATAAATTAGAGACTATAATGATCACCATTTACAGGTGAGAAAACTGAGACAGACAGAGAAGAGGTAATTGTTTATACTGGACTTCGAACTCAGATCATCTGATATGAACTCAGTGGCCCTGGGAGCTTGAGAACAGACTGATATCTGGTCCCACGCCTAGAAAACCTAATGTAGTTGGCTTAGGATATGGCCTGGGTATTGGGATTTTTATAAAATCCCCAGGTGATTTTACTGTGTACCTAGGGTTTTGGAACCATCACAGTTTATAAACCTGGCTTTCTAATAGCTCCTCAATTCTACCTTCCATAAAGGTGAAGGTTCAGAAGACAGGCAGAGCTGGGGAAGTCAGGAACTAAAGGTAGGGCTGGAAGCAATGAGAAAAGTTTCTCCGGTGGTTTCCGTGAATACAGCTGCATGCTGTTGCTTCCTTCTTTTGGCTACTGACCATGGGTAAATCAGACAGGTTTAGATATACCTGGTCAGGACAAATGCCACTGGACCGTCTGTTATCTCTTGACGTCTTTTCCAGTTGTCGTGTCCTACGTGCACATGGGGCCGGGTGTGCCTGACTTTGTACCTTCCCTTTGCATCTGGGCTAGATTAACATCAAACCCTGGCCCCTTCCAGAATTCCTGTCTTCTAAAAGTTACCCTGCCTTAAGAAAAAGACCTTTCTCATCCAACTCCATGACTTTACCCTGTGAAAAGAGCCAGAACCAGGATGTAGATTTTGAGGTTTTACTTGAGATGGGAAGAGTTTACCATGTCCTTGGAAAAATGTATTAGTTATGCATGCCTACACGAGTTATTTATAAGCCTGTGTACCATTCTTAAGTAGCTAATTCCTTTTGTTATTTATCCAGAGAACCTCTCCAAGGTACTAAGAAAGTAGAAACATCCACACTTTGGATGGTTAACTCAACATTGACATTGATTTTTGAGACATTGACATTAACATTGATTTTTAGGCAAAATAATGGAAACTACCAGGCCCCTAGTGCCACAGACTCTTCTCACAACCCTGGGTTTGAGTACTTCCTACAAACCAAATATTGTATAGTAGTCCTGGAACATGGCCTATCTATAATCAAGAAAACCAGGTGTTACAAAGGTCTAATTTCCGATACATTGAGTAAGAATCCAATTCCTGTCAGTGGATGCAGGAGTTTCAAGAAACTTCATTCTTCTTTTGGGGTCAAACTTAAAAGAAGTTTGAAAATGCAATCAATTTCAGATTTCCAGTCACTTTGTTTCCTAAAAAGTTAGAGTTTGTTTTGATAATCCTGTGGTACTGATAGAAATACAGGGATAGATTAATTTTTTTCTTTCTTGGTCTTTTTGGGCCAGGAGAAGTTTTTTGAGACAGCTTGCTGGGATGGGGGTGGAGGTGGCTCTGGTCATAGGACAGGGTGAAGCCCTGGGTGGTATTTGTGAGCCAGTATCAGCAACACTAGTACTGGCCAGTAGTAAGTGAAATGTTAGCAAATCACAGTCACAGGATAAATTCAGCCCACTGCCTATTTTTCCCCCAATAAAACAGTTTAATTGGAACACAGCCATGCCCATTCATTCACCTATTATCTCTGGTTGCTTTAGTGCCAAAATGGCAATGTTCACTCATTGTGACAAAGACCATATGACCTGCAAAGCCTAAAAAATATTTGCTATCTGGTCTAGAAAAAGTTTGTTAAACTCTGTAGTAAGCTATTCACAGAATTAGAAGAGAATTGGTTGAAAAATATTCAACATGTCTATATCAACTTTTGGGAGTCAAGACCTAACTCAAAGAGGCCACCTGTTGGCTTGAAAGTGGCACCCCTGCAATTTGGAGTCAGTTCCTCAAAGGTTAACAGCAGTGAGACACATGCTGGTCTCCAGTTAGCACTTACAGTTTCAGTTTCAAAAACTCATTGTAAAAATAGGCTTATGTTTTTCAGAACTCGATGGAAATTATGAACTAGTATTTGGTACAATTTAGAATTTTGTGCTAGCAAAAAATTGCTCATTGGAGACCTCCTAGAAAATATTGGAGACCTCCTAGAAAATGTTTCCAGGACTGTTGTCTTTTTATTCAGCCTACAGGAATGCTTGACCCTTTCTTTCTTTCTTTCTTTCTTTCTTTCTTTCTTTCTTTCTTTCTTTCTTTCTTTCTTGCTTTCTTGCTTTCTTGCTTTCTTGCTTTCTTGCTTTCTTTCTTGCTTTCTTTCTTCTTTCTTTTTTCTTTCTTTTTTTTTTGGAACTCTGTTGTCCCCTTGGGTCTCATCGTTCTCAGATTTTTTTTTAAACTAGTGAGTCAGACCCCTGTTACAATGAGAAAAATGTTCAGTCTCACAGTCTCTTGCTATCGTGAGAGATGGCACTGAGGCGCAAAGATGTCACTGGATGAACTAAATATAGTCCCAGCAATGCACTGGCTCCCAGGCCCATCCACTCTCTGTAGAGAAGGGCTGCCACATGTCACAAGCCTCCTCCTCTTTCTTTGCCCTGTGCTTTTTACATTGCTCTGAGGAATCTTTCCCCTCAGGGTAGAGCTGATGAAAGAAACATTCCTAAATTCCCTGAAGACATGCTAGACTCGAGAGCTGCATGAACCCTTTTCTGGAGGAAACTCACTGATTGTGGTGACCAAGCAGCATTGGGAGCCTCAAGAAGCCTAGTTAGAGCTTGTTTTCTTTCCTGTCTTTAACAAATTCGCTATGCATTTGGGTGGCTGCACTTAGCCCTGTGACACCACAGGGTGGAACTTTGCAATTTGCTTCTTGGTACCAATGAGTTGGGCAATGTAGTTTACAGGTTAAATGATGGGAATGGGCAGTTCTAATGACATTAAAAATATTGATGGGATAAAATCACATGGGAGAGGGATGAAACAATACTATATTTAAACCAAAAAAGGATTGTCCAGCTGATTTAAAATCTCCTCACTTGTGTGCGGCTGGTGTGCTTAGTCTTCTCAGTGGTTTCCATGAGAAGGTAGGATCCTGAGTTGATGACCCTTCTCCTTACTGACCCCCTCCTTCCTAGGAATGGAGCTTAGACCCCATCCTGCAGGAAGACAGCTGCCCCAGCAGAGGGAGGATGAAAATTATGGCTTTTCCTCTGACTCACTGTGCGACCATGGAAAATTCCTGATTACAAAACATGGAAGAGTCAAAGCTTTTCCCTTGAGAAACATCTCCTGTGTCTCCCACCCTTCTACTCACCCACGTATCTCAAACTGTCTCCTTGGGCAGTATGGAGAGCTGGGACCTCCACAACTGTGAGAGGGGAGCAAGCTACAGACAGCTGGGGTCACTTACTTGGCTGGGAGCCTAGCTTTGGTCGTGGGTGACTGTGTTGGATAATGTAAGTCCAGCTGCTATAACAGATAAACCTTCAAATATTAGTGGCTCACACAATGGAAATTTCTTACGCATGGAAAAGTCCATTAGTGCTGGAGGGTGGGGTAGGCTGTGGGCTGTGGGGGATGGTACTTTCCTATGTGTAGTCTTTTTTTTTTTTTTTTCAGACAGGGTCTTGCTCTGTCCCCCAGGCTGGAGTACAGTGGCACGATCTTGGCTCACAACAACCTATGCTTCCCGGGTTTAAGTGATCCTCATTCCTCAGCCTACCGAGTAGCTGGGATTATAGGCATGAGCCACCATGCTCGGCCTCTGTGTAGCCTTTTGAGGACCCAAGCTGAGAGATGTTGTGTCCTTTCAACATGGGGTTTTCATGGATGCCCTTGGTCTAGATATCCAGCTGACATATAGAGGAAGAGTGTAGAATCACACATGAGATTTTTATCATCCAGGTCCAGAAATGGAGCACACAATTTCTGCTCAGATTCTAGTGCCAGATCTTAGGCACATGGTCACTGCAAGAAAGGCTGGGAAGTGTTGTCTAGCTGTGTGCCCAGGAGGAAAGGTAAAAGATTTTCATGCATAAACTAGCCAGTCTCTGCCTCAGTGGCCAAAGTCCACTTCTCAGCTTGGCTGGTATTAATGTCAAGACCCTGCTATGTCAAGCACAGGTGCTTTTCTTCCAGGAATTGGGAGTCTTGAAGTCAGATGATGAGTTGTACCTGCTTCTAGGAGAGTCTCTTTAGTTTGAAGAGGCCAGTGGCAGAGACATTGAGAATAGGGTTCAGTCTTCTGGGCATTACTTGGAAGAACCAGGCAGTGTTGCAGGATAGGAAGGTCACAGCCAAATGATCTGGGCCCAAACAGGTTCTGATCCTGGGATAAGCCAGAGAGATCTCAGCAACTCCAAGGCAGAAACTAGGTCATGATTCCTTGGCTAATAAAATCAACTGAGAGAGAAGCTGTAGTCTGGGCTCTGGATAAGTGCTCAGGGACAAATGATCTGGATGTGATGTGTACAGTCAAATTCTAGGCCATACCACCTGACGGAGGGGAATCTCTGTGCTCTGCCAGACTTGGTGGAACTAAGCCTCCACTTTCTTCAACTGTTTGGGGTTGAGGAATGCAGAGTCATACACACCTGTTTTCTTTTTCCTTGAATCTGGTAGACATAGTGGTTGAGTCCCTAAGCCAGAAGTCAGAGAGATCTCAGGAACTTTGTGGCCTGTTCCACCACAGATCTAAACCTGTCTTGGTAATTCCATCACATTTGCTTGGTGAGGTAACTTGGCAACCCGTGAGCCATGAGCCCCAGGTGAATCTGTAATTCTATGATTGTTAAGGAAGTGTGGCTCTACCAGTCCCCTGGTAGATCCCTGGAATTGCTCTACATCTATAAGTAACATCTCCCTTAGGTGGGGCATTTACCCGCACAGGATGTGAAGATGCATTAGATTTGACCATCTCAGCTCAGTGAATCCAAGTAACCATAGATCTTTGGCAGATTTTCTTCCCTGTCATGGTGTCAGGGGCCCAGGGAGCAGGACTGATACAACTCAGTTTCCCTTGCCGGGGCAGAAGTGAGAGGAAGGGTCTAAAGCTGTGGGAATGGCAGTCAGCTGTCCCCTTCCCTTCAGCTTCAGGAAATATGAGGCCAGAAGAGGGAAAGTTCAGAAACTGTGCAGGCACTCATGGCACTGCAGAATTTCAGCCTCACTGCTAAATCTGGGAGGGACAAGAAGCAGGCAAAGTTGGATTATGTGGCTAATAGCATAGAGCCAGGGAAACTAACTTGAGGGGCTTCAAATCTGCTAAAATTAGAATTTTCCTTTTAGATCTGTGCAGACTTTGTTCTTATTACAAAGTGGTGGACATTTTGGAACAACCAAGAAAATTTTATGTGCTCTTCACTTGCTACCAAAACTAGTACTAAAACAATACCTGCTTTTCACCCTCAGATACATCTGGGTCTTTAGTCCAGGAAAGAATCACCTCCAAGGTGAGTGTGAGTGGACAAGGATGTAGAGGATGCCCCCAGCCTTTTGGAGGAGTCTCTGTAGGATCAGGCCACCTGAATAGATGCCCTGAGTGCTCTGTTTATTACCTTTGTTCTTTTCAGTATCTGCATGGTGGGGCCCATAGTCTTTTTTCTCTCTGCAGAACAGTGAAAATTTCTCTGTCTTGCTCTGCCCAGGAGCAGGTAGGCCAGAAGTGCCAGAGAATTAACACTCACCATCTTCACCCCCTGCCCCGGCAGCAGCCTTCAACCAACTTGCCACTTGGAAATAAATACTTGTTCTCTTGCCCCTTGGATGGGATAATTCTGCAGCAGGTGCTGTTTCCCCAAGTTTTCCCACCAACATAACCTGACCATGGTAGCAGACTTAATAGTAACCTTATAGCTCCCTTCCCTTCCTTGTATTGCTTTCCTAGTTCCCGCTGATGATACTCCCTATTCTTCTCAAATTAACTGCTTGTGTGCAAATCCTTGCCTTAGGGCCTACTTCTATGACAAGGCTAACTAGGATGTCACTTTTCCAGAAAATAGCCTGGGCTGCATGAGGGAGTCATTCTGATACTTTAAAAATAATGTTTCCCCAGGCAGATGTTTTGGGATCATGATAACATTTACTCTCAACCTTCCTCCCAAGCTATTCTTGATAGACACATGGAAATTTTCAGAAAACCAAATACCTCATGTTCTCACTTATATGTAGGAGCTAAATGATGAGAACACATGGACACATAAAGGGGAACAACACACACTGAGGCCTTTTGGAGGGCAGGAGGTGGGAGGAGGAAGAGGATCAGGAAAAATGTACTAATGGGTACTAGGCTTAATACCAGGCTGATGAAATAACCTGTAAAACAAACCTCCATGACACAAGTTTACCAACGTAACAAACCTGCAGTTGTAACTGTGAACTTAAAATAAAAGTTAAAAAAAATTGCATTAGAACTTTCTTTTACTTTATTTGAGATCCAAAGAAAATTTATCTCCAAATAAATTGTGGTAGTGGTTTATATATTTTTCAAATATTATTTTTTACTAAGAAATATGCTTTACATTGCAACTCAGTATACATACTCTCATAAACATGAAATGTCTTATTAAACTCATCTGATTACCCTTGCTCTCTGTGATCTATATGTTTCTTTCTCCTCTCTTCTCTTTTATTCTTTTCCATTCTATTCAGTTATATTTTTGTTAATAAATGAAAGCCAATTTCACAATTCTAGAATAGGTGCTATGGTCAAAATGTTTGTGTCCCCCTCAGATTCATATGTTGAACTCCTAACCCCCAAGGTGATGATATTAGGAGGTGGGCACTTTGTGAGAAGATTAGTCATGAGGGTAGAACTCTCCTGAATGGGATTAGTGTCCTTATAAAAAAGGCCTTTCTTGTACCCCTTCCTACCACATGAGGACACAGCAGAAAGACCACCTTCTATGAAGAGGCCCATCGCCAGACACTGAATCTGCTGGTGCCTTGATCTTGGACTTCCCAGCCTCCAGAGCTGTGAGCAATGAAGGTCTGCTGTTTATAAGCCAACCAGCTTGTGATATTTTTGTTATAGTAGTTCAAACAGACTAAGACACTAGGTCAGCACTCACAGTTTGAGCAACACTAGATGAAGGAGACACATATTTCACAACAGGTCCGCCAAACAGGATTCTTAAGGAAAGAATGTTCAAAGAGGAGATTTGCAAAACTATTATTTGTTGTCCTTCACAGCTATCATTGCATAGGGCTGATAGCTATGCAGTGACCTTTGTTGTTAGCAACACAATTTATTACCATCCTCTGCTTCTAGAAGAAAGAAAAAAATCGATACATTGCGGGTACTAGGATGTTTAGGCCTCATGTGTGGATTTCTCCAGGTGTCCCCATTCCAGGGAGTAGAAATGCTGTGGGGTCAAATGGAGCAATGAGGTAATTAGAAGATGGGAGGATCTTGAAGGTTTGAAACAGCACTCCGGGGTTTGCACTTGCTGTTAAGAATGGCTCACGTATGTTTTGGTAGTCTGGGAAGACCAGGAGCAGGCTACGCATAAGCGGTGTGCGCACTACAATTTCACACATGTGTGGTTATCTGTAGCTGGCTCTATGGGTTCACCAGAGCCTTATTTGTTTGGCAGACTTAGAGGAAAGACAATGAAGGAATACACTGGACTCTAAGGTTCAGCCCTATATCTGACAAAAGGCAAGAGTTCAAACCTCTTGGCCATCTGGGGGAGAACTCTTCTGAAGAGAAAACAGTATTATTGTATTTTCAAGTAAATTATTTCATATCCTCTAACACTAATAAAGAAATGTGTGTTTGTGTTTTGGAGGACGTCTTAGCGGTGGATAGTTAACTTGTGAAATAGTCGGCTAGGGAATTCATACTTAGGGATCCTCAGCCAGCATTTGAACGACCCTAATCAGCTGTCCTATTATAGCTTTATCTCCAATGAACACAAAAAAGCCTGTTAGTTAGCATAGGGGATGCTAAAATAAGTTTCCATGGATGAAACGAGTGGTGATTAAGATATGTGAATATGCTGGAAATATTATGTAAGCAATTCCTTCCTTCTGTAAACAACAGGGAGTAAGAATCTGGAGAGAGCTCCACAGCCTACCCTCTTCATAGGGCTCTTCTCGGACCAGGGCTTCATTCAATAGCTCAACAGAGAATCCTGTGGCTCAACTTCTGATCAGAAGTTTAGCTGAAACTTTCACCAGAATACTGATACATCTGCTTTGAGTGGCCGTTTCGCGCATGCTGTTGCCTGGGATTTCACTGCTCTTATTGTGTCAGGTTAGCTAGTTGATTTGAGTATTTGAACATGTGGCATCTTTGGTCAAATGTGCTTTCAATATAACTCATCACCCAGTAATGAGATTGTTGGGGAGGAGGATTATAGTTCTCACCTGTTCCTAGCTGCTGGTGGTGATCAATATCTGCCAGAGTAACTTAAAACTCGTGAACAGCCAAATTTGCTTAAGTCAGGTCTATTCACTTGATCTGAGGTAATTGCTTGAGGGTTAGTTAAGGAGAAACACTGGTTTTTGAACACAACCCTGTGAGTGTAACTGGACTTGTCTCCTACTCAGCCCTCGCAGTTCTATGGGGGTGGGGGCTGTGATAAAGGGTGAGTCACAAAGTCACACAGACCTCCCTATGGTCTGTGTAAAAAATGTGGCATGGAAGGCAGCCCTGCACAGTTATTAAGTGGGCAGGATGATTTTTCTTTCAAACACAGGATGTGAGTAATATTACATTTCTTTCCTTTCTCTAAATAAATTTAATATGCTCCAAGCCTCCAATCGGCCTCACTGGTGCGAAGGTCAAGCTTTGTCTGGATGGTTCTCCTCTTGGTGCCATGTGAATGCCCTGTTATTTGATCCCCAAAGATCATAGCTGACATGCTCAGTGTTCAAAGCTGTACTATTCTTTAAGGATGGAGGCTCTGCTGGTGCTGCCATTGTGGGGCACTAGGGTTATTGCCAAGTCTAGGAGCCCAGTGCTCATGTTCCAGCCTCTTTAGGAACACTAGGTGGCTGTTTCTTGCTGAGATCCCATCACATCTTAGGGCGCTGGAAGGGATCAGAGCACAGGCTCCTAGTGCTGTGGAGTCCCCCTACTTTGGTGTCTTATCAATCTTGGATGCTCTCCAAATTACTTTCTGGTCTTGCTTTTTCCATTCCTTCTATTTCTGAAAGAATCCCATATAATCACTCTTCAGGAAGTGATTTAGAAACACAATGTGAACTCTTCTCCTTGGAGTGGTGGCTGGAAAAATAACATGCCAACACTAGCTACAAACACAGTCCCTACAATGTAACCTACTTATGCTGACAGCCACATTCAGTGAGATAGGTGAGAGGAATCGTTGTAGAATTGTCACTGGAAACTGCCCAGTAAGCGAGATATGACCTTCTGAGATATGAAGTGGCAGAGAGAAAAAATGGAAATCTTCTTAGAGTGGAAGAAAATAATTTTTTGGGCACGTGTATGTCTTTAACTGTGCAAGAAAACATATATTCAATTATTTGTTAATAACAGCACCATTACTATGATAATAGTTATTTAAAATAATTTGAAGTAACGTATTTTAATAATAATCTGTATTTGCTTAGCATTAGATGTTTTCATGCCAGTTATCTCATTTGCTTTTGACAACATCCTGGTAAGGAGGCATGGCACATAGGATTTCCCCATTTTGCCACTAAGAAAAGTCAAGCACTTTGCATGTTAATTGAACCTCAAAGCCAATCAGTTAGTAGACAGTTGAGTGTAGCTAGTACCCAAGTCCATTGGTTTTCCACTTGACTACTCTGCCCTAAGCAGTAAGATGTGGAGTGAAAATATGGCTTATAGATGACTTAATCTTAAGTGGTTACTTTGAAGTACATCTTTCAAGTTAGCCATAAAAGACTTTCCTCACAATATCCAATGAATGACCGAATTGCTTTTCCTGTAGACTACCTATTTAAACTCAACTTGGCCAAGTAAATATTGCATGCTTGCAGCACTCTGCAGCTGAAAGCAGTTTGGCGGGAAGTAGGTTTGTGGAGGGATTAGGTATGTGTAGTCATTCATTCATTTATTCATTCATAAACATTAAAATAGCAACTACTGAAAGCCACACATCAGCCTAGATTCCAGTGCTACTCTTTTTTTTTTTTTTGAGATGGGGTCTCGCTCTGTTTCCCACACTGGAGTGCTGTGGTGCGATCATGGCTCACTAGCCTCGACCTCCCAGACCCGGGTGATCCTCCACAGGCCTGTGCCATCACACCTGGATAATTTACTTTTTTTTTTTTTGTAGAAACTGGGTCTTTCTACATTGCCCAGGCTGGTCTTGAAATCTTGGGCTCAAGTGATCCTC
This sequence comes from Homo sapiens, assembly GCF_000001405.40. Classification (NCBI taxonomy): domain Eukaryota; kingdom Metazoa; phylum Chordata; class Mammalia; order Primates; family Hominidae; genus Homo; species Homo sapiens. The sequence goes on along the minus strand of NC_000007.14, from coordinate 116,575,487 downwards.
CCGTCTTGGCCTTCCAAAATGTTGGGATTATGGGCGTGAGCCACCACACTTGGCGTCCAGTGCTGCTCTGTCTGACATAGTAGCCATGAGCTACAAGGGGTGATTTTAATTGAAATTAAATCAGAAATGCATTTTTTCACCTCACTAGCCATATTTCAAGCACTCAATTGCCGCAAGTGGCCAATGGCTCTTATTGAATAGTGTTTACATAGACTCTTAAAGGAAGAACATTTCTTTAAGAACTTTCCTTTTCCTAGAACAGAAATAAAGCATTTCCCTTATTGCAGAAAGTTCTGTTGGATAGCAGAGCTGCAGAGTTATAAAGATACAAAGGACTAGACTTGGTCCCTCCATTTTGAGAACTTACAATTATTGCATGCCTATGACAGAACTTAGAATACATCATGGAAATTCTATAACAGGGTATCAGTTTTAGTTTAGCAGATTTTTATTATGCCAGTCACTATGCTAAATCCTATAGATACAATGAAAGCTAAAAATTGGTCTCTGAACCCCAGTAGTTTACAGTTCAGTGGAGATAAGAAAAAAGTGCCTCAAGGCCTTAGGGACCAGAGTAATTCTGCCTGGGAAAGTTACAAGAGGAAAACACAGTCATAAGTATTTCTTCTGCCTTCTCTACCAATGTACATGCCTTGTTTTTTTTTTTTTTGAACAACACAGAAAATACTTTAACAACTGTATCATGTAATAAGTAATTATTATAATTTTGCATTGGCATTCTCAAAGCACTGGGCTCCCTTTGCTCTATTTTATAAATGAGCCTGGACCATAGGATGAGAACTGTGACAACTTCTGAATTCACTTGGCAACATTAATCATAGGGCAGGCAATTAGACCTCATGCCAGTGATGTTTCTCAGTGCAGCCTCACTCCCTACCATGGGCAAAGTGAAGAAGACATTTAAATCTCCTAATGGTCCCACAGTTATAAGGGTGCCCAGTAGTGATCTTTTATTGAAACTTCTGGCAGCAGCTGTTTTGTATTGCTTCTACCTTTAGCATATTTCATTTTAATTGCAAAGATAATAAAATAGTTATATCCTTTACAGTAAGATAACTTATTTAATTTGTGAGTAGTGGTTGTATATTAACTGTGTTTTCTGAAACTTGTATGAAAGGGACATCTATTTATTGACTGAATTACGGGGGTGGGGTTCTGTATTGCTATCTGGGGCTGGGGCCAAGGATTTAACCCTCAGGTTCCTTCCTTGCTGGCATTAATGTTGCTGTATAGGCAGGAAGTTGCCCAGGAGTGAAAGCACAATGCTGCTGAGACAGAAGTCTATTTTAAGCTGGTTTATTTCCTCACTTGAGTGACCTTGGATAGATCTGTCTTCTCCCTGTGCCTCTGTCTTTGTCTCTACAATTGATTCAGATGCAGTATTTATTGTGCATGCGATATGGTTTGAAATTTTTGCAGTCTTAATTGTTAACAGGAGACCAGGCAGTCTAAGCTCTCAATTCGGATTTATTTCTTGTTTCACCAGTGGCTCATTAAGTGACCCTAATGGAGGGACCAGTATTCCTGGCACTTTATTCTTCCCATCTGTAAAATGGGGTTATGAGCATGCCTCCCTTCCTATCTCAGGGGAATACAAGAGCATACATATGTGGGAGAATTTGGGGGATTGGAATTTTATGAATATTTAGATTGTAAACAGACATGTTTATTGGTCTGCCTGTCACAATCCTGTCTCAGATTAACTTCCTCTTCCTTCCACAGCCCCTTGACTGGGCAAACTTCAAACAAGTGACTGAGCTCCCTTAGCTGCCACTGATTGGACCAGGATGGACAACAAATGTAGGAGGAGTTCATCTGGATCTAGCCTGAGCCAGTCAGATATCCCCTTTGAATCCATGCCTATAGAAATACAAAAAAATGGAAGCCAGAGGATGATGGATCCTTGAAGTAATAAGTCAGGTAGATCTTGAAAATTTTTGACTCAATCCATATTGATGAACACAAGAATAATTCTGGTCTACAAAGAGAGGCAAGAGAAAGACTTGGGGTGTATTAAGAAAAACAGGTAAGTGACCCTGGGTCACTAGAAAGAGTGAGACAGGGTGATGGAATGAGTGGCTGCCTGAAACTTTCTAATGCATTCAAGGCCTGACTCTGTTTTAGGCATTCTTCACATTTTCATTCACACCACACTCTAATGAGGTAGGAAACGTTATAGCTGCTGGTTTAGAGAATGCAGTCCGGCTATGGGACTTATCCAAGGTCACACAACTGTTTTTAAGTTGGCTGAGGATTTGATTATAGATTTCTACTTCTAAGTTTAAAGTTTTTTCTGCTACACAATGGCCTATTATTTAAGGTTGAAGCTTGAAAGAGAAATAAGAAGATCTAAAGAAACTGTTCTGGTCCAATGAAGATACCAAAGGCTGATATTTTACTTGAATGTGATTGAGTAATATTAGACATCATCCCTGATATTAGTCCCAATGCCAGTAACCTCACCATTAAATTCATCTCTTCCTCTGGAATTGAATGACACTACCACTTTTTTTCCTACTCATCCCACTCAAGTAATTTTTCATTTCTGTTGGACCAAGAGTGTGAGAGTTTACAAGGCTATCATATATTTTAATTGGTATTTACTCATGTTTCTGATAGATATTTTCTGTTTGGTCATCTGCTCTGTGAAGCCTGCATCTTCAAAAGTTATTATTAGAACACATTTTAGTGATAATTACAAAAGCAAGCATCAACATTTCATTTAAGATCTAAGTTGGTATAAAGTATGTATTTATTTCACCAAGTCAATCAAAGGTTTTCAAATTTTCTTTGTGATAGAACTGCTTAGTCAAACAAAATGTTATGCTGAAAATTAACATGAAAAGAAATTAAAACAGAACTTGTGTGTTTGAGGGAAAGTGGTAGACACCATTTCACAGACCTCTGTCCCTAATCCACCTCTGTTATCTTAGGGGAGCTGGTCAATACCTCGGGATTCAATAAGGTACAGTTTTAAAGCCACTGTATTAAACTGTACAATTGATTGTCAATAATTTTTATTTTACAAAAAGTTATTTTCTCAACAGAAAAAGAGCAAAATATTAATTTCATCTTGGAGTTGCCTTTGTAGGGGCTTCACTGAGCTTCCATGAAGACAAAGACCTTTGTCTTGCTTATCTTTTTAATCCCTGTGATACCAAATAGTTGCTCCATAAATGCCTGTTGAAGCAGTAACATGAACAATTATTAACAGAAACTTAGACTAGAGAATACATTATTTGCATGGCTTTTAATCATTCACTCTTCTTTTTTTCCCATTGATGACACACAATGCTATTGTAATACTGTCAAATGGTGTCACACGCGCTTTCTCCCAAGCACATAGTGAGTTTCTCTATAAGAATAGCTTTGAAGCTAATAGTCGTGGGTATTAAACTCATTGGGCAACCTGGAGTTGGTTATTTAACCATTCTAAACTTCTATTTCTTGATCTCTAAAACAGAGCAATAGTATCTACTTGACCTAGATAATAATACATAGCACATAGGGCTGTTGTCAGTAATATTTGCAAAATGCTTAGCACATTCTCTTGTATGTGGTATGTGCTCAATAAATAAAGGCTATTATTATTTAGCAGGCAATATGAAAGGCAACGAGACAAACAACACAATCACTGTAAAAATGCAAAGTCACTCTGAAGCCAATTTATATTAATCAAAGTGCATATTGTGCTATGTACTTTACTGAGTGCTTACTTGTGTCATACAGTCAACAGAACTTTCTGTCTCAGAGTTGGCAGGTAATTAAATCTCACCTTTTCCAAGAGGTTGTGCAATGTGATGGGGAATTTAAGAAACATCCTCTCAAAAAGACGTTGACTGTTGCCTGGGATAGTTATTATCTCATTAATGGTTGGCATTATATTAATACAACTGAAGGAGAGGAGTAGGTTTCTTTCTTGGCCATTTGTAGAGTGGCTCAAACTGGCAGCTGTTGCTTTTTTAAAAAAATGACTGCATTTTTCTCGTTGCAAATACCCCACCTTTTATGCCAGTTTCCACATGCTTTTCAGTTGTGTTGTTAAAGTACTAGGCAAGTGTATAGTTTTATCTTTTTGACACGCAAATTACTCAACTTTCTATGGAATCAAATCTCTCATTCTAGTTGATTTTATTCACTTTCTCCCTGTCTAACTCTTCCCACTCCTCTCTCATCACAATAAAAAAATCCCTACTTCCTTACTTGCAACTTTCTTTTTTTTTTTTTCTTTTCTAGCTCTGTGGAAGTTTGAGTGACTCATTGCAGAGAGGAATTGATGAAGTCAACAGCTGCTGGAAAAACTTCTTTTTCCTTAATAGCTGTATCAACATGTGGTTGCTATTATTCAAGTAAGAAAAATATGTATATCAAACATCCATGGTAGTCCTTGCTAAAATTTTCATTAGAGAGACTCATGTTTTGACATTAAAAAAAGTTCAAATGGGTACCTTAGAGGATGTTTTGTTGGAGAACAAAATCATGGAGAAATAAAGTCTAAAAAGAAAAATAAATGGCAAGCATGTTGTTAATAATGCTGTAATTTATTTCAGAGTGGGTTGGGTGATTTTCTTCATGGCATTATTAGTGGCACTGCAGAAATTTGGCACCTCATGCATTCATAGTCTCCAGGATGGTCTGACCATTCATCCAACAAATATTAATTGCTCTCATGGTAAAATCTCTGCCTCATGGAGTTTAAATCCTAAAAGTGGTGAAAAACTAAACACTGTGAACAGTTAATTACTCAATATGGTATGTACTGTGAAGGAAGTAGGCAAGAAGCTAAGATAGAGATTAAGATAAAAGGACTTGCTTCACTTAGGGAAGACATGGGAGACCTCTCTGAGGGTTGACATTGAGGCTGAGACCTAAAGAATGAGAAGGAGGTAGCAAAGTAGAGAGAATGGTGTAAGATCATCTTGGTCAGAAGGAGCAGCTGTGCAAAGTCCTCTGACTTTGAGAGGGACCATAGCATGTTCTTGGGACTGAAGGAACATCAGTGTGTCTAGAGCACAGATCATGAGGAGGTTGTGGTATGCAATTAGATTGGAGAGATAGGCAGGAGCTGAATCAGATAACTTTGTAGGCCTTGGTAAAGAGATGTGATTTTATGAATGCATTTTACTGAATGCAGTGAGAAAATACTAGAGGATTTTAAGTTCTGTGTGTGTGTATGTGTGTGTACCTCTGTGAAAATATGTGTTGCTGTAGAGCAAAGTGGCCAAATGAGTTGGGTGGGGTTAAGGGTGGAAACAGGTAGACTGCCTAAAGTAGACCAGGATTTAAATTATGGCTGCTCATACTGAGGTTGTGGCAGTGGAATCGAGGCAGGGGTGCAAAAGCAAGATATATTTTGAAGAAGGAACTGATAGAATCTGGTAATGAATTGGCTATAGGTCTTGAGGAAAAGAAAAGTCTCTGGGGACTCATAGGTTTTAAGCTTGGGTAGCTATGTGGATGATTGAACAATTAAAAATGATGTAGAATATTTGGCAGGGTGGAGGAAGCATGAGTAATACAGTTTTTATCTATGAGACAGCCACGGAAGATGAGAGAATCTGGAGAGAACATGCACAGAGAGACAAGAAGAGGGCTTAGGATGGAGCCTTGGGCTATTTCTTCATTTATGGGTTGGGTAGAGGACATCTGAGGAGTAAACGATCTCAAAAGCAGAATAACAAACTGGATGACGAACACCCCTGGGAGCAGATATATTAGAACAAAAGGACCAATAATTTATATCTTCTTAAATAAACATCCTAATTGAGAAAAAGAAATGTATTAGCAACATGAACCAAGACAAGAAATTCCCCCCACAAAAAAAAGCCATGTAAAATATCAGGATAAAAATGTAGACTTGAAGGAACCTAATAGGTGGGATAAATAGTGACATAGCTACAGCTAAAGAATGATGGAGTTGAAAGACCAGATGGAAGAATGCTTCTAGAATGATAGAAAATGTAAAAGTTCATAGCCAGAGATAATAGAAGTACCAGGTTTTAGATACTTAGAGTCCCTGAAGGAAAAATTATAAAAATTAAAAGAGGAAAATATTTAAAGAAATGTGAAGAACATTTTCAAAAGAAAGAACAGCTACAGATTGAAATGGTCTTTAGAGAACCACTTCATGGGAAATATATATTAAAAATATTAAGTAAATATATATTTTAAAAATTCACACACAGGTCCATTATATTGAGATTTAAGAATATCATAGGCAAAGAGAAAATGATAAATGACACAAATGACATCGGAGTTTTCAATAAATGCAGAATTCCAGAGGCAATGGAGTAATTTTTAAAAAATACTTAAGAAAATAAATTTGAAGGTAGAATTTTACAATTAATAAATTTGTATTTCAAACATGTGATGACAATAAAAATATTCTCAGGCATACAAGTCCTTTTTACCATAAAAAGGACTACCATTGAAAAGATATTTTAACATAAGTGCTCCAAAAGAGAAAGAGAAGAAAAAATATCAAGAAAAAAAAGAACTATATCCAAAATACCACAGAATTAAAGCTCTATATGGTGTCAATATGATTGGCAACCCTGGTGGGGGGAAGACCAAAAGTAATGAACATATACTAAAAATCTTGTCTAGTTAGAGGGTGTATATACACAAACATATATATATATATATATATAATATACTGTATATATATTAATTACTTTAAATAAGAAAGTATTAAAAAGAAACAAAAAATAGAATACTTGCAATAAAATGTAAGAAAATAGAAGAAAAGAAAAATGTATCAACAATCACCATGAATATAAATAGACCCAATGTGCCAGTTAAAGAATAGACCATCAGATTGGATAAAAAACAAAATCCAACCCTGTGCTGTTTATAAAAGACTCTCATAAAGCATAAGAACATGGAAACCTTATAGGCATACAGTCTAAGAGATACCATTCACATGACAGTCTCTCTAAATGGCATTACCTAGAGCTGGGTAGTGTACTGCTGATATTGCTAGTGCATGACAGCCCTCAGAGTAAAAGATTGGACCTAAATACATCAGGAAGATGTTTATCTTTTATTTTATTTTATTTTATTTTTTTGAGATGGAGTCTTGTGATCTCGGCTCACTGCAACCTCTGCCTCCCGGGTTCAAGCGATTCTCTTGCCTCAGCTTCCCCAGTAGCTGGGATTACAGGTGCCCACCACCATGTCTGGCTAATTTTTTTAGTTTTAGTAGAGACAGGGTTTTACCATGTTGTCCAGGCTGGTCTCGAACTCCTGACCTCAGGTGATCCACCTGCCTCGACCTCCCAAAGTGCTGGGATTACAGGCGTGAGCACCGCGCCCAGCCAGGAAAGTGCTTAAGTAAGCAGGTATGACTGTGTAAGTTTTTAGCAAAATAAACTTTATGACAAAACAATAATTAAAGATAGGAAGACTCACTACCTAACCATAAAAGGTATGTAGAACCAACATATCTGTAAGATAGAATATTTCTAAACAGGTATGCACTGAATAGAGTAGCTTGAAATGTATATAAAGCAAACAATTATAAATCCATTAGGAGGGACCGATAGTCTAGTCTTCTCATTTAAGAAACGGACTAGACAAAAAAGTCATTAAAATATTGAAAATCTGAACAACAAAACATAAGGCTGATATAATAGACATATATTGAATTCTGCATCTAAAAATTAGAGGATGCTTATTCCTCTGAAGCATACATTAAATATTTATAAAAATTTATCATGGACCTGACCATAAAATGTCTTAATACATTTCAAAAACAAGTATATTTAGATCATATTTTATCCAAAAATAGAGCTAGAAATTAAAACGAAAACTAATTTAAGAAATTTTATATATTTGGCAATTAAAAAACGTAACATTTGTCAAAAGTCATTGAACTGTAGTTAGGATATATGTATTTCACTTTAATGTTAATTATGCCTCAATATTAAGTCAATTGCTTGTCTAAAGACAGTCAACAATTAGCAAATATGTACTAAAATAGTCACTAGGCATAATAATTATCATACTTAGAATAAATAAATCATAAAACATGAAAAAACTCTACATAGAACATTATGAAACTTTACTGAAAATGCTTATAAAGAAATAAATGAAATTTTACTTCCATGTTTAGAGCTAGGAAGCCTTGGTATCATACACATGCCAATTTTCCAACTTGATCTAAAGATTCAATTCAATTCCAATTGATATTCCAAGTGAGTTTTTATTAAAAATGGATGAGACAATTTTAAGTTTTTCTGGAAAATTAAATGGCAAAAACAAACAAACAAACAAACAAACAAAACCAAGGCCCTTAGAAAGTAAGGAGCAAAGAAAACAGGAAATTAAAACTTGTCTTACAAGATTTGGAGACTCACTTTAAAATGCTATATGAGTACAGGAAAAACAAACTGACCAGTGGGCTAGAATAGAGAGTTCAGAAATCAATCCAAGTATGAATGGAACTTCAATAAATAACAGAGGTGGCATTATAGTTTAAAGGAGAAAGGAGGACATTTTCAATTAATGAAACTAGCATAAATGGTTGTCTTATTCAGAAAAAAATGAAATTGGATTCCTACATCATGCAACACAAACAAATCAACTCCATGTAACTGGATTAAGGACTTAAATGTTAAAAGCAAATATTTAATGTGATTGAACATATTGCAAAATATTTTTATGCTAGAAAAACCTAAGATATTTAAACTCTTAAACCACAGTAATGCTAGTTAAAATACAATAAATATCTTACTGATCTTGGCAGGAAAATATCTCTTTGACATTATAAAAAGTACTAAAAATAAAAAATGGATAAATATGAACACTAAAGTCAAAATACTTGTGTTCACTAATAGACATTTTAATAATGAAAGTGAAAATAAGGATACAAATTGAGAAAAATATTTGAAACATATGTAAAAATAAAATGAAAACATTAAGAATCGGTAAGAATTCCTATGACTCAGTGAAAAAAAAAATCATTTTTAAAAAACCCTTGCTGAATGACATGTCATTTCACAGAAGAAGCTCATATGACCAAAAACCAGTGAAGGGACGCTTAACCTCATTGGTAATCAGAAAGGTATAAATCAAGACTAAAATAAGATACTATTTCACACCCACTTGATTAGCAAAATTGAAGAAGTTTGACAGTTCAAAATGCTGGTGGCAGTGTAAATTGCTATTATTAATTTGAAAAGCCATTGGTCATATCTAGAAAAGCTGGGGGTGTATCATTTTTTGGGACTGAACAATTCAGTCCTAATGATAATCCCTAGAGGAATTTATGCCCACAAACCCTCCCAGTGGACATGCAGAAGTATGATTATAGCAGCACCATTGGCATACCATGTCCCCCTCAAGAGGCAGCTGGATAAAAATGGATATGTTCATGGAACAGACAAATATATAGCACTGAAAATGAATGACTTAGAGCTATATTCAACAATATGAATGAATCTTAAGTGAAAAAAAAAAAAATCAAACACCAGAACGATCCATTCTGCATGGTACTCCTTAGAAATATTTTAAAAAGAACTAAAACTAAATAGGTTTTTTTTTTCCCCTGGGAGATTGTATTTAAAATTTTTTAATAGGCAAAAAGATAATAAATAACAAAATTTAAGAGAATGGTTACCTCATATGGATGCAGGGGTACAGGTGGATGGGAAAGAGAAGGAACAAATGTGTAGTTGTTAGTTCTAGTTCTTTGATTTGATGATGAATTCATAGGTGTTAATTAATGATCATTAAATAATAAAATAAATAAAATCAAATAGAAGAGAGCCCCTCATGGACCAATGATGACATTAACTATTGAGCATGCCTATGCTTACGTCTGGGTACCAGAAATAAAAATTGTTTAAAAAACCTGTTCAGCTGGGCGCCGTTGTATGTGCCTGTAGCTTCAGCTTCTCAGGAGGCTGAGGTGAGTGGATTGCTTGAGCCCCTGTGTTCAAGACCAGATGGGGCAACTTATCAAGACTCAGAAAAAAAAAAAACAAACCCAAAAACCCCAAAACCTCTTTGGCTTAAAAGTATAATTATAGGTAGGGTAATTTAATAGTGTTTAGACAATGTATATAAATAATTCTTTTGTTAATTTTGGCTGTAAAAGAAAGGAGAAAAAATATTGATGGTTGGAGGAGGTTACAAGGTTAAGGGAGGGAATGTGTTTTTTTAAAATTATAAAGTTATACGCGATGTTTGGAGGGTAATGAGAGCAATTCAGAGCAAAGGGAGAGATAGATAGTAAAAGAGTTAAACAAGATGACAAATGGAGCAAAGATCTTGTGAAAATAAGAAAGGATGAGATTCAGAGCGCATGTGATGGGAATGGCTTTTGCTCAGAGTAGGGAATCATCCATTTTAGTGAAAGAGAAAAATAAGATGAGAGCAAGTATTAGTAGGATTGGTGTGCATTGGGGAAGTGGAGAGAGTTTGCATTGATGGTAAGTTGAGTAATGCACAACGTCTTGAGATTCATTATTACTAAAGCAACTGGCAGATCTGAGAATGAATATGAAAGTCAAATAAATGAATGGAGAGTCCTAAAGAAAAAAAATCTTGAATCTTAATGGTAAAATGGTTCTATCAGTTACTTGATAGAACCTAATCTGAGTCCATGGAGATTATTTAATATTTGTCAAATAATATAAATATTAGAGTTTATTTCAAAAAGTGTGTTTCTTTCCATCATTAAAATCTCTGTCTTGCAGTCTGTACATCAACTTATCACTTAGTCATTTTATGGTCTTGAAAGTCACTAAACTAAAATGTGACTGAATATATCCTATTATGAAACATTTTTTATGTCGTAAAAACTTATATGTAAATGCTTAAATAAAAGATTTTGTTAAATTTTTGGGAGCAGTTTTAATTTTATATTTTAGACTTAAAATGTTTTAATTTGCATTTTAATTGTCTCCCATATTGTTGACCATTACTTGTTCTCAGTAGAGACACAACTTGCTTTCTGTTTTGCGGGATTCCCTCTAACTATATGATTTGGTGCCATAGTTAAGCTCCTAGATTCTGGAGCCAGACTCCATGGGTTCATAATCCTGACTTAGTTACTAGCTGTGTGACTCTGAGCGAGTTATTTGACTCTTCTGTGCCTCGATTTCTTACTCTGTAAAATTGGAATGATAATGATAATACATACCATATAGGGTTATTGCAAATATTACATAAACTAATACATTTATAAAGGATACACTTGACATACGAAGTTGAATACAAGTTTTAACTATTACTTAACTTCTGCTAATATTTACTCCAGTTCTGCTCACATTACTTGCTTATTATACATTTCAGAGTGGATGAAATAATTCTGCAAGCCAGTGGGAACAGGAAGCTTCATGAAGAGGAGAAAGGCTTAGGGCTCAGAAACCGCACAGAGCAGGAGGATAGATGAATGTAAGGAACAGAGCTTTGAGGACAGACACCCCTGGATTAGACAATAGCTCCAAAACTTATTAATGATGGTGAATGGGTGACTTTCTAAAACCCTTTAAACCTTATTTGTAAAATGGGACCATCAATATCTATTTTGAAATCTTGTATAAATTTGCAATAATGTCTGTAAAGTATCTGACAGGAGCTCAGAAATGACACAATTCTTTAAATCCACTCACACCCAACTTTTAAACAAAAAGTAGCAGTATATCCTACACACGATTTTTAAATTTTACTATTTAAGTTAACATCATGCTATGAACATATTTCCATGTCATTAAATATTCTATTCCATCCAATATTTAAAAGCTAATAGAAGTCTGTTAAATGCATATGCCATAATTTATTTAACCAATTCGGTTGTTTTAATATTTATGTTGTTTCCAATATATTATGCTATTGACAATAAAATGATGAACATTTATGATGATGAACCTTGGTATTGCCTCTATTATTTTTATTTAGTAAGAGGAATTGCGGGATATATCATGTGTACATTTAATTGTCTTCCAAATGGTTTATACCAGTTACCCTCACAGATGCAATAAATGAGTGTGCCCACTCGCCTGCATCTTCACCAGCATGGACATTACTTTTGTTTACCGTCTCTGCAGACTTAAGTGAAAATGATGTCTCATTGCTTTAACTCTTACTACTTCTTTACTAATGAGTATAAGTTTTTGCATAATTGTTGTGTACTTCTTTTTGTGAACTATCTTGGCTTATTATTCATCTTTTTCTTAATTTATGAAAGCTCTGTTTATTTTTAGGTATATTATAATGCTATGCATTCAAATGCTTTCTGTTATCAGTCTTTATCATTTGTTTGTATTTGTTTCTACTGTTTTTGACATATAGAAGTTTGATATTTTGTGTGTTTATTGCCATGACCTTTTTATTTTATGATTTCAGCCTTCTGTGTTAAGAGTGTCTCTCTTTACTTCTCCCCTCCACCCAATGTTAAAAATATGGATTATAAATTAAAACATAGAATGCTTGACCATTAGCACCCACATCAGGGAAGGTATGAGACCTACCTTCCTTCCTTCCTTCCTTCCTTCCTTCCTTCCTTCCTTCCTTCCTTCCTCTTTCTTTCTCTTCCTTCCTCTTCCTTCCTTCCTCTTTCTCTTCCTTCCTCTTTCTTTCTCTCTTTTCTTTCTTTTTCTTTCTTTCTTTCTCTCTTTCTTTCTTCCTTTCTTTCTTTCTTTTCTTTCTTTCTTTTTCTTTCTTTCTTTCTTCCTTTCCTTTCTTTCCTTTCCTTTCTTTTCTTTTTTCTGATGGTCTCACTACGTTGTCAAGGCTGGTCTGAACTCCTGGCCTCAATTGATCCCCCAGTCTCAGCCTTGGGCTTCCAAACTGCTAGGACTACAGGCTAAATGTGTGATGTATGAAGCTATTTATTACCAATATGGAATAAAAGTTGTCCAAAGCCATATAGTTATTTTTGTAGATGGAACTGGAAGCTGTGATGATTGACTTTTTGTGTCAACTTGACTGGGTCATGGGGTGTCCATATGTTTGGTCACATATTATTCTGAACGTTTCTTTGAGGGTGCTTTTGGATAAGATTAACATTTAAACTGATAGACGGAGTAAGGCAGATTGCCCTCCCTAATCTGGGTGGGCCTCATCTAATCAGTTGAAGGCTTGCATAGAATAAGCTGACCCTGACCCTGACCACCAACTAAGAGAGAATTCCTTCTGCTTGACTGCCTTCAAACTGGAACATTGAATTTTTTTCCTGCCTTTGGACTTGGTCTAAAATAGCAGCTTTTCCTGGCTCTTGAGCCTGCTGATGTTGGACTGGAACTACATCATCAGCTCTCCTGGGTTCCCAGCTTGCTGACTCACCCTGCAGATTTGGGAACTTGTCAGCCTCCATAATCGTGTAAGCCAGTTCCTTGTAATAAAGCTCTTGCTCTGTATCTCTATCATCTCCATCTATCTCTATCTCTACCCCTGTCATCTCCATCTATATCTTTATCCCTCCATCTACCTCTTTCTCATCATCTCCATCTATCTCTATCTGTAGCTCCATCTCTATATATCTCTATTTCTATCTGTCTCTATATATCTCTATCTCTATCTCCATCTATCTCTATCTCTATTTCTATCTCTGTGTCTATCTGTCCCTATATATCTCTATCTCCATCTCTCTCTCTATATATATATTTTCATCTCTCTATCTCCATCTCCATGTCCATCTCTATCTCTATCTTCATCTCTCTATCTTTATCATCTCTATTCTATCTATCTATGTATCTATCATCTATCTATCATCTATCTATCATCTGTCTATCTATCTATCTATCTATCATCTATCTATCTATCATCTATCATCTATCTATCTATCTCCAACTATCTCCTATTGGTTTTGTTTCTCTGGAGAACCCTAATATAGGAGTCCTGAAGGTAAACTTAGCCAAGCAACAAACATAAATTGAGACTGCAATATACCTCTTTAAAACCCAGTTAAGGCATGGCAAAGTTGAAGGCATTGGCCCCGAATGCAAATTGTGTCTTTCGCTAAGTTAAGAGTATTAATATCCATCACACAAGCTTGCTGGGGGCTCAAATTAGATGACATATAAAACATTGGGCAAATTGCTAAAAAAACTTTGTTATTAATTATAACTTTTATCTGAAGCAACTCATAAATGGTGATGACCTTAGCAGAAATATCCTAAGTGACTTTGTAATAATTTTAAAGTGGGAGACCATTACCCCCCACAAACACATACAAACACATACACACACTATGCACATGCTCATTACATACAAATACATAGACATACACAGACTCTGACACATAAACACCTGTTTTGGGAAAAAATAATAAAGCTGACTGTTTAACCGTTAAACATTTTTATTGTGCAGGCTTGTAACCTTTACAGGACATGCATGATAAAAAATTGTAAAATATATCAGTAAGCATATAAAATTTCAGCAATCTTTTGGACCAGTAATTGATTTGCATGAGGGACTAAGCATCTATGTAGAACAGACATGTCTTGGAATACACAGTTTACAGATTGAATCACAAAGCCATTTCCTAAGTGATTTTCTTCATATAAAGATAAAAATATCTTTACATTTAAAAAGTATGCAGTATAGCACATTTTCAGTTATGTACACAGTTTAAAAGTAAAACTATATCCATGCCAGTGTCTGTTTTAAATGCAAAAAGTCAAAGTAGGTAACAGGTTGGTAATTAAAGTGTCAGGAAGACTGGAAGAGGCAAAAATCAAGCAGAGTTCCAATAAGTGTATGAAAAAAAAATCATAACTGAAGGTTTAAGAAAAGTCCCCAAAGGCAGAATCACAATATGAGCAGGAGGAATAAAAAGCTTTTGGATATACCAGGCAGCTTTCTGTACGACTCAGGTTTACAGGTGAAATTCCTCAGTTTGAGTTCAGAAGAATTTGAACTTATTCCAGCAAAATACTTCAATCTTTTTATTACTGCCTCCTCCCCCATCTTCTTTCTGGGCAAAGGGATGCTTGGATTAGGTCCAAAGCTCCTGGCAGGGGGAGGGGCCATGTGTCACAGCATAACAGACGGTTGCAAGTGCTTTACTGAGCAGGGGTCAGGTTTGCAGCAACTCTGATAGGCTCACACAATGGCCTCCATTTTACAGCCCCTCCTTGGAGGCCCACTGATCAGCTGAAATGGGAACACAATGTTGAGCCACTAAACCACCCCGGTGATGGATTAGTTTGGATTCAGGAAAGCGTGATTATTCTTGAAAATAAACGAAGCTGAATAGACATGCTGACCTCATTCAGTTGATGAGAGGCAGGGAAAGCTGGCTTCCAGGACTGCCAGCCCACAGAGAGCTCAGCCCTATTGGTCCACTTTAATTCATTTCATTGGGCTAGTGTCAACCATACCCACTACGGATAAAGATGTTGCCAGATGAAGCCCAGAAGTGAGCTTCACCAGACTCTGTAGCTCAGAGTCAGAAACACGCATGGAAAACTAGGTCATGGATATTCTAATTTTGGTCTTCAGGGAGGCTGCTGACCTAAAGCGAGTTGCTGAGTTAGACCCTATTTGAAAAGGAAAATGTGAAAAACAGGAAGGCACTGAGGTCTTGTTATCTACATAACAAATATTCAGGCACAGAAAATATCATAGGTTAAAATTTCAAGAAGAGTAAGGCATTAGTTGGATCATGAGAAGGCAGAAGATTATGTTTTCTAACTTGTAAGGATCACTGGATCCTACTGGATTATGAAGTGAATGGCAGTAATCCACTAACTCCTTAAACAGTGGGAAAAGAGTTTGCTGAAAATCTGCCCACATACTTGTACACTCCATGGCCATACCCTGGAATTCTTCCCTTAACATAAAATGACCAACATTTTGGAGTAGGCAGTTGAGGTTGTTGGTTCTTTTCTTTTTTTTTTTTTTCCTCCTCAGTTCTTCATATTTCTCTCAAATTACCTTTCAACAATATGTTCATATCTCAGCCAATAAAGCGATGGTTGATCCACATGCAAATAAAAAGGTAAGGAAAAAAATTTAAATGGGTTTTAAAAATTCAGACTGCCAAAAATAGATGAAATAGCTCAGAAGAGACATAATACTTATGAAAACTGAGAAAGTGATCTTTTTATTTTCAACCAAGATAATTCAATTCATAAATTGTTGCTGTATTAGCAACTTGGAACTTGAAATTGGCACCAGGAAAATTAAAAGGAAAAAAAATCAGGTATACTTCTATCCTTGAAATGTCATTTATATTTCTTTCTGCAAGTTGATGCGGACATTGCTGAATATTTTCCCAACAGCTTCAAAGAGTGGGTCACAGACGGTGTGGACGTAGATGGAATAGACACGGCTGATGCACTGAATCTCAATCAGGAAGCTCTTAATGCATGGTACAACTGCCCAGATGTGCAGGAAAGAGAGAATGGCGAAGTAAATGCCCCAGATGAGTGCCATCGGGATGCCAAAGAGGGCAGACAGCAAGCGGTAAAACCAGTATTTCGTCACAGTGAAGGTGGTGAAGCTGGCCTTCCAAATGCCGTCAAAACTGTGTGTCCCTTCTGGTTCTGCAATCACATCTTCAAAGTCAATCTAAAAGGAAGAAGTGACACAACATGAGCACAGAATAGAAGAAAAGAGAAAAAAAACCCACTATTCAGTATCCATAGACATATACTGTATTAGCATTTATGAGTTCGTTCTTTGTGAGATGCTTAAAGGCAACCAGCAGCATCAGCATCACTTGGAACTTGGGAACACAGATTTTTTTCATTTTTATTTTTTTGAGACAGGGTCTTGCTCTGTCACCCAGGCTGGAGTGCAGTGGCATGATCATGGCTCACTGCAGCTTCGACTTCCCAGGCTCAAGCAATCTGTCTGCCTCAGCCTCTTAAGTAGCTGGGACCACAGGTTCATGCCACCACACTTGGCTAATCCTTTTTTTTTTTTTTTTTAAGAGATGGAGTCTCACGATATTGCCCAGGCTGGTCTTGAACGCCTGAGATCAAGGAATCCACCCACCTTGGCCTTCTGAGGAGTTGGTATAATAGGATGAGCCAATAAGCTGACCTGAAACACAGATATTTGGGTTCCCCTTGGACCTTATTATCTCTCAAGGGTGGAACCCAGGATATTTTTAAACATGTTCTCTAGGTGTTTCTCTACCACACAAAAGGTTGAGAACTACAGCTCTAGAGAAAACCAAATGGATGTGATTAAATTTCTTGACTTAAAGTAAAACCCCCAAACATGGATAAGGATACGAGGCACTCAGTACAATGTAAGGAACATGACATAATTTAACTGCCTTTGAAGACAACTACACATGCAATGTTAAGGGGCAGTTAGTTGATAATCGGTTAACAATTCTTCAAATGCCCAATTAGCATAATTACTTCAGGAAATTAGATCATGGTGTGCTGGGAGGCATCAAGAAGGCTTCATGAGGTGGGAGATTTGAGCAGGGCTTGGGCAATTGGCTGATTTGGAGAGGAAGAACAATGGGACGTTGGAAATGTGTCAAAGCCCCAGGAACAAGCAAGGGTGTCATAGTAAGTGTCTCAGGCAGAATAGACCTGTGTCACCGAGGCTGGAAAGACAGGTTGAGGCCAGACTGAATATTATTTTACAGACAGTGGGGTCTATGGAAGATGTGGGAGCAGGGGAGTGTAGCCACAATCGATGCAGTAGTTTATCAAGATGAGTTTGACAACCGTATGCACACTGGGAGAAGGAGGAAAGAGACTCAAGGCAGGGAGACTGTTGCTGTCACTCAAGTTTGAAGGGCCAGGACTGGAAAGGTGGTCATAAAAAAAAGAAAAGAAAAGAAGGTTCCAGAGATGCTAAGGGAAGAATCCACAGGACTTGGTTAGCTCAAGGGTGGGGATGAAAGGAGCTGGAATGCAAATTTGGCCCCTTTCCCAATAGCTCTCCCAGGTACATGTTCACCCAAACAATTAATTACAGGAAGTTTTATCCCTCTGTAAAGATTTATATAAACTACACTGAAGCACAGGATTAAAAACAGAATTACCAACAGAAAGGTAGGACAGAGCCAGTGCAACTGCTTGGCAGTGACAGCTATAGGAGGGGATTTAATGCAGTTTGAAATCCCAACAAGTGGATGACTGACAGCAGCGACTCAGGCAGGCTCAGGATTAGGGAATGAGGACTGCCATGACTCCACGGAGCTACTCAGTGCCAAAGAGCCACCTTTGATTCAACAAAATAAAATGTCTTCTGGAAAAAGCACATGATGCTTACCAATTTTTAAAGTTTATTTTGTAGAACATTCTGTTTCTTGACTTATTGTCCAATGTTCTAATAATGTAATGTGAAAAAAACGGCATGGCCACAATTATGTAAGTGAGCTTAAGTAGATGTATTGTCACTCATTTTTCTTCACCCATTTGGATCTAGACACAGGGTAAACATTTAGTTGTGTGTTTTAAAAGGTGGCAAATACATGGCAAATCAGGTCAATACTTTTATGAAGTTTCTGTGCAAATTATTTGTCTATTATGGGTTTGTGTTCTGACACTGCATTCTTCCCAAAACTATCAAAAATAAGGGGCTCTGGTTTTCCTGCATTCAACTGCAAGACACCTAAAGAATTTTATTTTTTAAAGATGTCTTTGTTTTGTAAGAGGATTTGAAGGCAGAATTAAAATACTACAGCAGGTGTTCTTAATCTGGGGTCAAAAGATGGGCAATGGTCATCCATGACTGCCCTGAAATGGACACACATTTTGAGTGTATAATGGGAAATGATCCATCACCTTTATTAAAAAATAGTCTATTACCAAAGAAGGTTAGGAAGCAATTTACCGGGAGCAGAGGATTCCTACCTCTTTACAGAGCAGACCCGAAGCAGGTCTGCCTTGAGATTCTTTTCCTAGGAGGGGAAGAGTTGTGAACATTTGTTGACTAGTTGTGATCAGACACTGTTCTCATTTAACTGACAACAACTCTATAATATAGTATTCTCACTTTATAGAAAAAATGTGAGGTTCAGAAATGCTAATGAGTTGTCCAGGTAAAAGAGAGGTAGATTTGAGGCTTAAATCTGGTCTGAAAGTTATCAACTTTCTTCAATATTGTACCACTTTACAAAAATGGTTTTCAAATTTTATCTAAGGTGAGTATGCTATTTCATAATTAAAAGGCACGTTAATAAAAAAGAGTTTGCCAAATTTAACCCTCTGGTAACTGCAACAATTCTCCCGGCATGTTCTTTGAGGACAGTGTTACACCATATACACAATTGGTCCTTAGTGAAGATATTTAAAAACATGAGTGTGTAAGATTTCTTAATAATAATTCTATTTTTCTAAGCATAAATTCAAATTATTTTTCAATGAATACATAGGAGATTCTTACACTTTCTTTTAAGTTGCTTACTAAATTTCTGGATGCCTGCATTTTCAGTGAAACTGCATTTTCAGAAACTGCTAGTGAGCATGATTTATCCTCAAACGTCCAAGTGAATTTAGAGCAGGTCTCCAGGGGTGGAAAGCAACATGACAAAAATAACATGTTATATAAATATATTCAGTTAGTTATTGCTGCTTTAGTCTTTGAAATTTAAGGCAGTTTTAAAGAAAACTAAAAGTACAGCCAATTAGGTGCAACTGAAAAAGGAAGCAAGGCAGGTTAAAGAAACAATAGAGGCAGAAATAAAGCTTAGTTTCTTTCTACCTCCATTTACACAGCAGTAATTAGTTTTAGAGGAGTACATGAGATAATTTATTTAAATTACTTAGCTTGGGTGCAGAGCATAGCAATATGATTAGTAAATGCCCAAAAAATAGTAGCATTTAAAAAATCTCTTGCTTTTGGTGACTAGGTCTTTCTCTCTCTCTCTCTCTCTTCCTTCCTTCCTTCCTTTTTCTTTCTCTCCTCTCCCTCCCTCCCTCCCTTCTTTCTTTCTTTCTCTTTCTTTCTTTCTTTCTTTCTTTCTTTCTTTCTTTCTTTCTTTCTTTCTTTCTTTCTTTCTCTCTCTCTCTCTCTCTCTCTCTCTTTCTTTCTTTCTTTCTTTCTTTCTTTCTTTCTTTTCTTTCCTCCTTCCTTCCTTCCTTCCTTCCTTCCTTTCTTTTTTTGGAGACAGGTTCTTGCTCTGTCATCCAGGCTAGAGTGCAGCGGCATGATCACTGCCCACTGCAGCCTTGACCTCCTGGGCTCAAGCAATCCTCCAACTTCAGCCCTCAGAATAGCTGGGACTACAGCCATGCATCACTGGCTAATTTTTTGCTTTTTGTAGAGATGAGAGGGTCTCACTATGTTGCCTAGGCTGATGTTGAACGCCTGAGCTCAAGCAGTTCTCCTGCCTTGGCCTCCCAAAGTGTTGGGATTACAGACGTGAGCTACTGCACCGGGCTGTGACTAGGTTTTTAAATAGACAATTGTAATAAGAGGAACTAACAGCTGCAAAGCACATAAGGGCTGGGAATTTAAACCCCACCAGTGGCTCAAAAGAGCTAATTTCTATTTGTAATAATCTTCACCACAAACCACTGAAGTGCATGTCATTATTCCCATTTTACAGATGAGAATACTGCCGGGGGTTAAGAAATTATCCAAGGTCACAGAGATGCTAAGTGACAAAACTAGAACTTGTCATATTTCAAGTCTGCGCATTTTTGCCTTTGTATTCCTGAGATCACAAGCCTTTACAATTGTCTTATTTGCTTAGTTTTCACCCAGATAGATATGCTTCCTAAAATATTCCCAGTTTGATGATTCAAAGAATTACTCTTGTTAATGTTTCCACTTTAAGTTAGGACACCTAGTATCTAGGATGTTTTGCATCCTAGGTACTGGTACTAGTACATTATTGGTACTGATTGCATTTTTATGGCTCTGAATGGTATGTTCTCACAATCCTGGGCACCCAGCCAGGGACTCTTACTCTAATTGACAGATATGGAAACTGTGGCCCAGAATGATTAAAATGAGACAGATATTCTCAAGATCCCAAGTGAATCAATGGAAAAGCTGCAATTAGAACTCTAATTTCCTGATTCCCAGGTCTATGTCCAGCCTTGTGCTTCATACTTTTTCCCTAGGAAGTTACATCATTCTCCTCACATACCTTCTCTGCCTACTCCATTCATATCTCTAGGTCTCCTTTAAATCTCTCATTGCTTTCTAAGGCATTGACTTGAAAGGTATCTCTGTGTGAGTTTATGAGAAATGTCCTTTCCACGGTGTGAACACGGACATTTTTGTACATCTATCTATGGTGAAAAAAACAGGAAGGAATATTTTTTACAAATCCAAGTATATTTTGACATGTATTCAGAATGCACTGAATCCAACAAAGCTCGGCTAAATAATTGGTCTTTGTATTTAAGGGAGTTCAGAGATCCACATCAATCAAAGCACAGCTGCTTCAGCAGATTCATAGATATTTAAAGCTAAAGGGATTCTTAAAGCAATAGAGTCACATATGAGATAGAGAAATTGATGACCAAAGCTGTCAGATGACTGGACCAAGTATATCTTCCCATTTTATGGCAGCACAGGATTGCAATTCAGGCTTAGGAACTCTCCTGGGCTCTTCCACTACTGCTTGCTGTCATCACACATCCTTGATCAGTCTAGCTGCTACATTCTGGATACCTGCACCTGAAATTAAACATCCTCAGGCTATCAAGAGGTCCCACAGGCCTATTGTTGAGTGGATGATGATGCCTCTTTCTCACAATCTCTAATGGGCTCATTGTTCATGTTTAGCATCAGTTTGATTTATCTCTCATTGAAACGATCACTCCCCAGTCCCGTTTCCTAGGGGACTGACTGCACTTGCCCTTCTACAAGGGCTGGTCTTGCTTGGAGCAGCACTTTATGTGCTCACTTAGAATATGAGCAGAACAAGAATTAAAAATGGGCTTAAAAACTCAATGCCCAAGAGGTGTAGGTGCCATTAGTTTCTTAGAGTGGGATGCCTCAGATGAGGTTGAGCTATTCCTCCCACAACCAACTTTCTGTTCTGTAATTTATGGAACAACTTGGCCTTCTGGAGGGAAGTATTATGCAGACCTAAAGAAGAAAGGCATAAATGCACTTCAGTGATATTTTTGTGTGTCAACAGATGCTTTATAAGGAGTTAACAGTTTACATTACTAGATTTTTATAAATGACATGAAATACCTTTGTGCAGCATTGGCTTATGATACTACAATTTCAGAAACATGAGTTAACACAAATCAAGCAGCAGACGTCAAGAAAAGCAATCTGTCCTGTTTGTTTTGATAATACTTGGCTGATGTAGTAAATCTCAGAAGATTTCATTCTGTTCAATGTATCTGAAGGCAATATTTGAAAAACAGTTTACATGTGCACAGGATTTTTAAAATATAGAATCTTTTCTGGGTTTCAAAATCTGGACATTTTATTTTGAATAAGGAATTTTCAAGAAGGAAACCTTAAGTACATTTGGGATTTCATAAGTAATGATCTTACACATTCTGTTTCTATTGGAAAATATCTTTTTAGACTGTTATTGGAAATTGTGATTCTACTGGATATATAGAACACATAAAAAACAACACATAAGAAGTTTACAGAAGACTTGTTTGTTGCCTGCTCAAAATTTACAGTCCCACTTCTCTGCCAACAGGATCCTGATGGATTCGGGTAATGGTAATAATCCTTTGATTTCAGAGATGAGTCACAGTTGGTTTAGACTTGCCATGATAATGTTAGTCTTCTTGGTGAGTGATTGGTTTAAGGCAGGCATGTGACTCAGTTCTGGCCAATGAGATCTAAGTGAAATCTGCTAGAGGGGACTTCCAGGGAAGCTTTGTCTTCCTTATGAAAAGAGACAGAGGCATATGGCATGACTCTTTGCCCTTTTCATCTTGCTTAGAATATGAGGTGTTGCCTATGTTGTGATTGTGAGGTGACATGCATGATTAGAAGGCCAAGGAAATAGAAGAGATGCTGCTTTTGCCATTATCAAGCTACTGAAGCAATGCCAGCAGCTGCCCACCCCTAGACTTTTGCTTATGTGACTTAGATATACCTTTATTTTAAAGCCACAGCTGTTTAGGTTTTTAGTTACCTGTAGCAGAAAGCATTCTTAAAACACTCTTTCCTGTTGGCTTGCATAGTAGTTGTACATATCTCCTCTTTTAGAAACATGAGCTTAATTTCTGACCTCAACATATCTTTTCAACACTACTGGTCTCTATTACCACAATACACTACCTAAATTGTATCAGAAAATGTTTGCTTTACATTGATACAAGTTTTAGCAAAGCACAAATGGGATGGCACATCGACTAAGACTGAAACAAATTAATATATTCTTTTCATCTGGAAAAATCACACTTAGATGCGATAGACAGCATCTAAGATGGCTTTCAATGACCCTGTCTGCTGGTGTTCATTCCCTTGTGTAATGCCATCCCTCTAATTGTGGGCTGGACTTAGTGATTTGCTTCTAAATAATAAAACATGGCAAAAGTGATGGGTTAACACTTCTGAGATGAGGTTACAAAAGACTGGGACATTCACCTTGCTTGCCTTTCTTGTTCTCTCACTCGCTTGCTCTACTGGAAACCAGCTGCCATGTTGTGAGTTGCCCTGTGGAGAGGCCCATGTGGAAAGGAACT
The DNA here is from genome assembly GCF_000001405.40 of Homo sapiens. Classification (NCBI taxonomy): domain Eukaryota; kingdom Metazoa; phylum Chordata; class Mammalia; order Primates; family Hominidae; genus Homo; species Homo sapiens. Next base: position 116,551,920 of record NC_000007.14, on the reverse strand, counting down.
GAGAGAGGGCTCTGGCTAAAACCACTGAGACACGGAGGCCCTCAGTCTGACAGCCTAAGAGGAACTGAATCCCGCCATCGGCCATGTGAGTGAGCTTAGACATGGATCTTTCCCCAGCTCAGCCTTGAAAGGATCCCAGCCTGAGACCTGGATTGCAGCCCCCGAGAGACCCTGAGCAGAACCATTAAATTAAATCACTTTGATTCCTAACACACAGAAACTGTGGAGGATCAATGTTTGTTGTTCTAAGCGACTCAATTTTGGGGGTGATTTGTTATGCAGCTGGACAATATAATTCCAAAACAAACCACTTCTGATGATGATTTCTTATTTTCTACTTCCTTGCCCTTTTCTATTAGACAATTCAGTTTTCATGTTTACAGAAAAATGTATGCAATGAATGTCTATCAGATGCCCTGGGATTTGGTCTTGGGACAAAGTCCAGAAATAGATGAGAAGGAAATATAGCATTTACAACTTTCTAGAATTCATACCAAACAGAATATTAGAAAAAATTTAGGCTATAGATAGTGTTTCGGTTGAAATATCAGCTCATATACCTGAATTGGCTTGGATTTATACCCAGGTATGCACCAAGGACCAGCTCCATCTGGAAAACTGATCACCAAACTTCAACTCTGGAATATAATGCTCCATTCAGCACTAGCACAGGGTTCTCATTTCTCAGGGGTTCTCAGCAAAAGGATCACCTGGTGAAGGTGCTTGTTAAAATGCAGATTCTCCGGCCCCATTTCAGAATCAGATCAGACTCTTTGGGGTGGGGCCTGGGGATCTGTATTTTTACCAGGATTGCCCTTTGTCTCGTGCAAAAGACTAGAGTGTGCCATGTTCCCTTGGATTTAATTACAGCTCCTTTTTGCATATGCCATTCTTTCTCCTCCACTCCTGACAGCCCTAGTTTGTTCCCTGCTCCTTTCTGGGAGCTCCTCATGTGCTGGATGGCATCTGGACACTGGTGGATAAATGAGTGGAGCTACTTTTTGAGAGGCTTTTGCTAATTTAAGCCCATAAGTATGTATTACTGGTTAAGGATAAATGAGCATTATTTACTATGAAAACACACAAATGGACAATAGAAATGTTGATTTATTGTCATTATTCTGAACCCTATGTAAACGCTTTTTTTAAAAAAAGATTAAATACATACTTGTAAAATCCTAATGTACGTGTCAAACCCAGTTATACAGAGTTTAGACCAATTTCAAACTCCCTTCTTTGTTCCCACACATATTTTTAACACGTTGAGCTTCCTTTGAAGTCAGTGGAATAAATGTTGTGTGTGAGTGTGTGGGTGCAGAGGAGGTTGAGAAATAGCACAATTAAATGTTACCAGAACATAGGAACTTTGCTCTAATTGCCCATGTGTTTTCTCAGGGGCAATCTTTACTGGGCCAAACTGACACCTCTGGGGAAAAGGCTGCAGTGCTCTTGCAGCCCCTGCTGAAAACAGGAGGCCTGGATTGTACTGTAGATGCCTGTGTTGACGGGGGTTCCCAGGAATATCCACCTAGACCCCTGGGAAAAATGTAAACCTCTGGTAGGAGTATTGACTCTTATTCTTGGGCTTCGACGTTGGTTCCCTTGGGGTGACAGATACTAAGTAACCTCCCCTGGCGGAAGCAAGGGTTTCCAGGGTTTCAAGATGGAAGAGGGCAAAAATGTGGGTATTTATCTACCTTTGTGAGCAACTGAAGAGGGTTAGGGTGTGGGGTGATGGGTGTGGAGGGGACCTGCAGTCACTGACCTGAGCATCCAGCTTGGAACCTAGAGCCTCTCTCTCTGAAATGACCTCCCTCTTGTTGCTTCCCAGTCATTACAGAGGCCTCAGAATAATATTTTACATTGATAGTGTTCTATTTCACTCATCTGCTTCTCTTCACAAACTTGTGAAGATCTAAATCACTTTTATATTAAGAATTGTCTTCTACGTCTTTTGTAAAGTCCTTTATTTCCCCATTGAAGGAAGGTCACTTGTAGTGACTAAATGTAGTCACCTGTAGTGACTAAAAAGTGACTACATCAAGACCAGGACTTAGGGCAAGGTCTGTGTCTACTACAAACATCTGGTATCCTCTATAATACCTAGTGGTACTATGCACATGTTAATTAGCATGTAAATATTTCTTCAGTAGGCATATTTTAAAGGAACTATAAATGCTCATTGAAAGGATGTAGCCATACATAACATTTCACCAACCATAATATTATCTCTTATTAATTCTTTGCCTGGTATTACAAGCACACTTTGATACATATATATTTATTATTTTTAGCATCCTCTTTTATCCCATTATTTTATTTTAAATGATTTAAAATTCATTTAAGATAAAATAAATAAAAACAATAAATAAATAAAAATCATTTTATTTTAAATGATTTTCTTATTCACCATAGCTCTAAAATACCACAACCATTCTCAAAATGAAATGGAGGTTGATTATCACTTAGGTCACTTGGACAGCATGGAAAGCCCACTGACAAGGGGATAATTCAAGCTCAGAAGTCTTCACCTTTAAAGAAAAACAATTTAGAAAATATAGGTTGAAGCATGTTTTGTGCTTGTTTGGGTTTTCTCCCGTGACCTGAATCACTGCAGTTGTGTAGACCTGGCCCCAAAGTGGTGGACACGCACTGGAATATGATGAGGAGGGGGCTTCAGGGAGGAGGCAGGAGAAGCAGCCCAGGCCCAGCCCTGCTGGGGAAGGGACAGGCGACAAAAGTGACTTTGTCCTTTGGTGCCTCTTGTCTCCACTTTTCCTCATGTTTTCCCATGTGTGTGTATGTGCATGGTCTGTGTATGTGCGTGTCTGTGTATATGTGTCTGTGCAGGAAAAGAGGCAGGCATACTCTTTAGAATGACTTCAGGTGACTGTGTTTTCTTTTCTGGCATGGGTGGGAGGGATGCATAGAACAAGGGACATCGTTATCTCCAGTGTCCTTTATGTGTCATTAATGGACTGCAGGCATTGGTGTGGCAGATATATTCCAAGGCAAGAGCCTTTTACGGGCCTTGGAATAGCAATAACTCATGTTACACAGTGCTATATGCCTCAGTGGATTCACATCATGCCCTGTGTGTGAGGACCTGCAAGGCAGGTATTATTTCCCCCCATTTTACAGATTAGGAGACCGAGCCTCAGGGAGGTTGTAATCAGTGATTGAACCAAACACAGGATTTTGCTCTCTCAGTTCCTCATTCAGCTCTCCCTATACCACACCATTCTCTTTAACCCCACCCCAAACTCCTTGTGCTGTTTATGCAAGCGTCTCATTCAAACAGAAACACATGGGGATTTCTGAACCCATGGACTCTGGTTGCTCTTTATTGTCTACATCCATACCTGCCATCCAAACTGTAAAACATGCCTTCTCTAACTCTGCAAATAACCATTTCCACCAAGGAAAGGGTGTGTGATCCAAGCAAGAGGATATAGCTGGCTGGCTTCCTTCTGCTCTCAAGCCTCCACATTCAGCATCACTCTTACTCCTCAGCAACCTAACTCTCTTCTGGCCAGGGCCCCTGGGCATTTGACTGACCATTGGCTACCAGAGTCCTCACTGTGTTGTCATGTCTTTCTGGCTTTTCCTGGTTTACTGTAACATTGTACGTTCCCCTTATTCCATTTCTTTAGTGTCAGTGGTTCCCATACATTAGTATACTTAAGAAATTTCTGGGGATGCTTGTTAAAATGCAGATTCTTGGGACTTGAGATTATGAATCAGTGCTCCAAGGGCAGGGTCCAGGCATTTGCACCTCATCCCCTCATTTTGATGCAGCTGGTCTGGGGAGGACACTTTGAGAAACAAGGATACCTTAGGCTTCATTCTCTGCTAGGAGAGCAGATCTGAAAAATGTGACAATCAGATGTGAGTGAGTGTGATAATCGATTACTGTGTTGCCTTTGAAGAGCATGTATGAAAGGCAATATGATGTCCTGGTTAATAGCATGGAGGCTGGGTTCGAATCTCTGCTCATCAGGGTTATCTCATCTAAACTACTAAACCTCTTTGTGCCTAAGTTTCTTATCTGTAAGATGCGGTATGATAGTACCTATATCTTAGGGTTGTTGCTCTGGGCATCAGTTAATTTATGCAAAACGTTTAGGGCACTGCCTGCCACATCAGGAGCTCTGGCCCAGGTGTCTCAACCGGAAGTGGAGAGGTGTTAGTGATGTCAGTAACAGTATTGGGAAGATGGAAGAGATATTTTGGAAAAGGAGAACCTTTTGGCATTCCTGAAATCGTTCCATGTCAGTGACTGCTTATTTTGTATTTTGCCATTAAGCAAGCAAGAAGGATGAGCTCATCTCTAGCAAGTCAATGAGGCTTCTGGAGTTTATTACCATGAGGCACACAGTGACCAAATGTACCCCAGGGAGATGATGCCCCAGCTGATGAGTGCACAGATGTGTCAGAGAAAGTTGCACCAACATTCCATATAAGCCACTCTCTTTGCTTTGGATTAATTCCTTTTCATCTTATTCCTCCTTTCCTTTTGTTTGAAGGTAACCATCGGGTTTCTCCATCTTTTGCTCTTCTTAGGAGGGAGTATGAGTTTTCCTGGGGTTTTTATTACACTTTGAAAAATTAAGCTAAATCTTTCTACACTGATAAAAACATACCCGTTTCTAGTTTCCATCCTGTTATGCATTGAATTGTGCCCCCTTCAACAAGCTCTGTTGAAGTTCTAATCCCCAGACACTCAGAATGTGACTTTATTTGGATATAGGGTCATTGCAGATGTAGTTAGTGAAGATGAGGTCATACTGGAGTAGGGTGGAACCCTCATCAAATATGACTGGTGTCCTTATATGAAGATGGTCATATGAAAACACTCAGGCAGAAGGCCATTAATGATGGAGGCAGAGTGGAGTTATGTAGCTGCAATCCACAGAATGCCAAACATTGCCAGCAAACCACCAGAAACTAGGAGAGACAAGGAAGGCCTTCCCTATAGGCTTCAGAAAAAGCATAGCCTTGCTGACACCTTGATTTTGGACCTCTAGCTTCCAGAATCATGAAATTTGTCCCCAAGAAATTTCTGTAGCTTTAGGCCATCCAGCTTGTGATACTTTTTTAGGGAAGCCCTAGAAAATGCACACACATTCCCTCACCAAAATGAACCTCAGGGATAGGATTTGGGATTTCTGGAACATTTTCATACCTCTTTATGCAGCCTGCAGACTTTTTTTTTTTTTTTTTGTGACAGAGTCTCATTCTTGTTGCCCAGTCTGAAGTGCAATGGTGCGATCTTTGCTCACTGCAACCTCTGCCTCCCAGGTTCAAGCGATTCTCCTGCCTCAGCCTCCCAAGTAGCTGGGATTACAGGCATCCGCCACCACACCTGACTAATTTTTTTTTTTTTTATTTTTAGTAGAGGCAGGATTTCACCATGTTGGCGAGGCTGGTCTCGAACTCCTGACCTCAGGTGATCCACCCGCCTCAGGCTCCCAAATTGCTGGGATTACAGGCATGAGCCACCACGCCTGGCCTGCATATTCTTTTTTATGGGGTTCCCACATCGGAATCTAAAACCGCACTGCAGACCAGCTGGCTGTGAGCCGTCTGAGGGAACCCGGAGCCATCTCTCGCGTCCACATGGCCTCACGTGTTCATTATCACAAAAAACATCTAGTGGCAGCTGGCTCAGTACAAAGCAGGCTGTACATATCTTGATTCTTTTTTGTCCTCTGGTGTCAATTTGGTAGCACATGTTGATGTTGAGTGTTACCAAACAAGTGACACTGAACAGTGAACAGTATAAAAATAGGCCACAGAAGGGCCAGCGATAGCATGGATACTGGGTGATTAGTTAGCGAACTTGAACAGAGAGGAGGGATAACTCGGGGCACTCATGTTTGCCATCTTTGAGGAGAAATAACTACAACCCCTCCAAGTGTTGAAAGTTCCGTCCCAGATAGAAAAATCCTACCTTGTTTAATGTATGAAAATCTTATTTTATCCAAACATGCAATTACAGGGATTCATCCAGAGGCCTGGATTCTTCGCTAAATTCTGTGTTTACACTTGGGAGTTTGTTATTCTTCAACCTTCTGGGCATGTCATGGGACAAATCTGAATGATTGCCACACTAAAGAAAATAAAAGCTCTTTCTTTTCTATCAAAGACACAAGAAACGGAAATGTCTTCATCATTTTCAGTCTACCCATTGGTCTGCATGCACATTTGTTTGAACTACAGCTTTTTAAACATCATTAGCGTCTTTTCAGTTTCTACAATACACTTCCTCACGGTAGAGGTTGTTTCCTACTATTCAGCTAAGTTAAACTAGGGTTACTAATAGCTTTCGTCTTACCTCATTGCTGGAATATTTTTTCCTCCAGTGCTTCTAGTCTGTTTACTAAACACACAGAAAATGAATGAAATAAATCTCTGCAGGTTTGAACATTGCTTGGCAAGTGAGGAAAAAGATACACACTAGGGTTCTTGCAAAATCTAGGCAAGGATAATTACAGCCCATTATACAGAATTGTTTGATACACTGTATAATGTGGCTGTCAAGACGCAGTCCCCAACCTCTACAACAGGGTTTTTCTACCTGGACACCATTAACATTTTAGGTCTAATGATTCTTCATTACTGGAGTGTGGGTGGGGGTACTGTCCTGTGCACTGTAGGATGATTATAAGCATCCCCGCTTCTCTACCCAAGTTGAGCCAGAAGCATCCCCCAAATCGTGACAACTAAAACTATCTCCAGACAATGCCAAATATCCCCTGGAAGGGAAGAAAAACTTTCCCTTGACTGAGAACTACCACTCTAGAAAATCGGAATACAATGTAATAAGACACAATTTGAAGTTGAGAAATATTTCTAGCCTAGAATGCTTGTTTATTGCAGGCACTTTTGCCTTGCTGTACTGTGACTTTGTGAGTTCATTCATTTATACAATATTTATGAAGCGTCTACGTTTTGAGGATGGAGTAAGTGAAATGAGGAAACGACCAGGACAAGGTCAATGAGCTAGCCATGGGTAACTGAAAAGGGGACAGTGCCTATAAAATAGAGATGGCCTCTGGCTTCTCAGGCTCACTCAGGAATTATTACCAAGGAAGGGTGATTTCCTTCTATGGTGCACTTACTTTTAAGGTAAGAGAGGAAGTCATTTTCGTACTTGCCTCTCTAAATCACTAACCTCTAGAATTCAGACTGGAATCTTGAGTATTTCTCCCAGGACAATTCCTCAAACCCTTTTCTACATCAAGGACTCCCCATTTGCTGTTGATTTTGCCTGGAGCACTCCTTCAGCACTCTGCACTTGGCTCACTCTAAGTTATTCATAATGTTTTAACCTAAATGTTTTTTCTTCAATGACTTCTTTCTAGCCCCCACCTTCTTTTCTCACCTGGACCTTTTATTTATTTATTTATTTCATCTAGCCTATCACATCCTTATTTAATGTAGTGTGTGTGTATGTGTGTGTGTGGTTATTATTTCTGATACTAGACTCTAAGCTCCCTGGAATGTAGTAGGTAGTAAATTAATATTTGTTGAATAAATGAATGAATTAGTGAATACTGCTATTTACTAAGTTATATTTTTCTCTTTCTCCTGTTTACAAGAACACTAACCTGATAAAATCTCCCAGGGAAAGGAGAATTCTGAATGTGTTATTATCTGGCGTAAGAATTAGTGATTGCATTCATTGATTGAATTTATTTATTCTAATCCAGGCATAATTTTGGCAAAAAGGTGAACAAAATGGAAGACAAATTAATTCAATTTTTGCTTATCATGAAATTTGAGTTAAAACCTACAGATTTTGGCATAGCTCTGCCCGTGGAGATGATGATTTCCTTAAGAATGTTTAGGTGGTCTGGAATTCAAACGCCTTCATGTTTACCTTCAGAATCATATGGCTGGGGTGTTAAGTGATGGAATTAAAATCATGCAGGGGCCTAAATGGTAAACTTTATATGAGTCAGAGAGAAACAAACTCTTTACAGCTAGGTAATGGGAAAATTTGACTCTAAGTAACAGTGTTTCTGCCCTGTAGCTCTTAGTCATCTGATCCTATTGCTCACAGATGGGCTGTTAAAAAACAAAAACAAAACAAAACAAACGATAGAAATGGGGCCATGTGAACTAGGTGAATTTGACAACTGTCAGCACTCAGAAAGTCTGAGCACTTTTTATTTAGCTAGACCTTCTTAAGGCCACTGCTCTAACTAAAGTTGCAAGTAATTATGCACTTCTCTGTCATGTGAACTAAGATGAATTGGCTGGTTGCAAAAACAAAACAAAACAAAACAAAAAAACAAAACAAAACCCAAACCTGAAAGTTTGTAGCCAACTTTGGAACTGATTTTCTGATCCATCTTAGAACAGATACAGCCAATTTGGTGGCAAGGATGATTAGAGGGAAGACCACAGAGTTCTGAGCCCAGATCAGAATGGGAAATGAACTCCAACTCTTGATCTTCTTCAGTACCAAATATTTATTTGTGGTCCTTTTGCATTCAGCATGCCATCTGTTGATAGCTCAGTATTTCAAAGATGATTTAATTAAATACCACGGTCTGTATATTAACAGTGAGGATGTTGACTGGTAAAACCTAGGAAGAGGGTAATAAAAATACTACTGATGAGAGGTCTTCCACTGTCTCTTTGTGTGGGCTTTCTGCACTCTTACAGGCTTCAACTCTTGTATGAATACTGGTCAACTAGAATCTCGGAATTTTATAAATAAAGGCAACTTAGAGATTGTCTGTTTCTGCCTCTTGATTTTATAGATGAAGAAACTACAGTCCAGAGTGTAAGTGCCTTTTCCAAGGCCCAATATAACCCTGGAGGTCCATGTTCAAGAAAGGACTGAAATTCAGTCTTTCATTCTGAGGCTCAGTTTCCTTGTCTGCTCTGAGGAGGGACTGGTATCTTCTCAGTAACCTAAGGTCTCTTTTCTGTGCCAGGAACTGGAGAAAGAATGATGTCTGCCTGTCCCTGGGCCCTGTGAAGATCTCTGTGGCCACTCGCACTTTGGGAATTTTGCTGCATAATTTCGAAAAAAACTAGTGCATGTTGTCAGCTTCATTCCTAGTATGTCTAAGCCATGAACTCAGGTGGGAAAAGGGGGAGGGGGATGATACTCTGGTGTTCTAACTGGCTAAGCTTCCTCTTGGGAAGAATTAAAAATAAACAGGCAAAGGAAAGGAAGGAACCACAGAGCTGGATTACATAAGTGATATGAGATTTGTGCTATGTACAAAGTATATCTCATGTAGTTGCTAAAGCAGTGTGCAAGAAAGAATTTTTTGTAATAGAAATTTGAGTGACAAATATATTCCAGTAAAAATGCCAAGGACCTCCCCAGATGAGGACCTAGTGAAATGATAACTACCCCACTGTGGCCTTTAAGGTCCTGAAAGTCTTGTCATGATAAAGTGTTTAATTATTAAGAAATTCTGAGAGTCTAAACCAGACCCAATTTTAGCTATACATTAGCAGCACCTGAGAGCCTTAAAAAAAGAATACAGAGTTCTGGGCCCCACCACAGACCAATTAAATCAGAATTTCTAGGGTTGGGGTGTTTAAAACAGTGTTTTTAAATGTTCCCCAGATGATTTGCAGCCAGGGTGAAGAACCACTGGTCTAAATTCACAGAACAGCCAGCTTTCGCAGAGACCACACTCTTTCATGAGTTTCTATCACAATAGGGGTTTATACAAGCTGCAAAACTGTGTGAATATGCAACGTGTAGGAGGGAGTGGATGGGCAGGCTTGCCATACAGATAATGCTTCATGCTGACCTTTTGGTATATACAATGCATGCCTTTTGCAGTGTTCTATTTTTCAATGTTTACCACTTGCATTTTCAACCACTGATTGAAACAACGCCACATCAATTCCTCTTTGCCCCTAAACAAACCAAGTATCCTGCTGGCATAGGGGAAAGTGTTCATATGTATGTCTATGTTTAATTATGAGGCTGTGTGTGAAGGCTGTTATGCGCCAGTTAAACTATAACTGTAGAGGCAGAAGGATTTGAGAAGTTATATAGACAAATAAGGAATTTAACACACGACTATTACAAAATAACCTCTGGTGACACATTCCTGGGATTAGCCACTCTTATTACTTGGAAGATCTTCTCTCATGTCACCTAACACTTTTTTTTTTTTTTTTTTTGAGGCAGGCTCTCACTCGGTTGCCCAGGCTGTCATGCAGTGGCACAATCATGGCTCACTGCAGCCTCGACTTCCTGGGCTCAAGCAATCTTCCCACCTCTTGGCCCCCCAAGTAGCTGAGACTACAGGTGCATGCCATCATGCCTGGCTAATTTTTGTATTTTTTTGTAGACATGAGGTTTCACCATGTTGTCCAGGCTGGTCTCAAGCTTCTGGGCTCAAGTCATCTATCCACCTTGGCCTCCCAAAGTGCTGGGATTACAGGAGTGAGCCACCGTGCTCAGCCTACCTAACACTTTTTTAAATAAAAAGCTAAGTGTGCTAGCCTTTCCTATTATTTCTTATCTTGAATGGTAATTGCGTCTGAGCAGTGCTTTTCTTGTAAGTCTCATACTAACCTGACAATAACCAAAGGTAATTGTCATTCCATGTTTCCTTCCAACCCTTCCAATAAATCACCTACACGAAACAGTCCCTCCTCAGCCTTACCCTGGGTTTCCTCTTGGCTCCTTATTCCTTTCCTTTTGCTCTTCCCTAGGGCTTCTCCAGAATCTCTACCTCCCTCTTAAGATCAAAGCAGGAACCTATTCTGAATGAGTCTAACCAAAGCAGAAGAGGTACAGAATCTTGTATGTGACATTCCTTGAAATATTTCATTGTGCTTCTTTTAAATTATCATTAAATTATTTAGATGCTTAATTTTCTGGAACAATTGACAGACCTAGTTTGAGTCCCCACTTACTCAAGGAGGTATGGCATGTGGATTCATCTATGGGTGTGTTTACAATAGTGACTCAACCTGGAGACCTTGGCCCCTTGGAACTGTGGAATTATTACAAGGGGGGTTTCCATATCCATTATACTCACCAGGCATCTTGGTTTTCCACATCACAGGCTCCCACAAAAATGACAGCTCTATCCTGGTATCTTCTTGTTTTTATATGCTTACCTATGTGTTGCCTACTTAACATATCTGTTTTATTTCAAGTCTTTTAACATCATCTTACTTTGTGTTAAACTTTATCTTATTTTTATGGGCTATTGTAATTTGTCTAAGTCACTTTGCTATTATTTTCATCACAAATGTTAACAAGATCATTGCAATTGGTGTCATTTTTAAGTTGAGAGTCCTCTTAACTTGTTCACGCAAGTTTCTGATAAAATATTAAGTGTGCTATGACTGTGATTCTGGCTGTATGTTAGATACCAAGTTACACCCCAAATCCACAATGCACCTCATCATTCTTTTTTGATGGCTACTTCCTAGTTCTATCTATTCTCAACTGAATAATGATCCTGGTATTTTACACTTAGCCTGTTGATAGGAAAGCTATTTGGAGTCAAATTGATGAGTCTTATATTATTACAGTAAAATCATCTCTTATTATAGGAGGCAAAAGAAGGAAACATATCTGGGAAAAGAGCTGACGTTCATTTCACTTGGCACAGACACCAATAATGGAATTAATGGTGTCTGACTCTTTCAGAGTCATTAATGTGTTGTTATTGTTGTTGTTTTTCTTTTTCCTGAAAAGAGATCTGAGATCTATGAGAAACCACTTCTGAGGCAAAGAGAAATTTCTGTGCTATTGGAATAGAGGGTTAACAGTTATCACCTCCCAGCACACAAAATCTCAGAGCTCTGTGTATTTGCATCTAGAAGCAGTAAAGCCAAAGAGAAGGAAGCAGAGGCTTCGGTTTCTCAAAGCTGTGGCCTTGTCCAGGGTTGGGAGGTTTTGGATTTTTCTTTCGGGCCATTCCCTGATCTAGTCATTCCTCTCAATCTTGCCATAGTGCGGGGATAGATGGGGGGTTCAACAGGCACTCCTTTCACCCCTCCCTTGCCAGGGGACTTCTCCTGTAGCCAGAGACCCACCCCCAGCCTCCACACTCTGGACTTAAGGGCAATGCCAAACAGCAGCAGATGGTATATTTTGGCATTCTGGGAATTTGCCTGTCCTGTCTGCCAGACACCTAGGAGATTAGCCTTATCCCCCATGACCCAGGAGATCATCTGGATGCCACAGCTTGCTTACTGGAAGGTTTAGGAGGATATATTTGTGTCCTCCTCAACCTGGAGACTTAAAAAAAAAGTCTAAATAACAAATATTTTAAATATACACACATATTAGAATGAGTTTTCTCTTCACCTAAGTAAATAGACTAAATGTTTTTGAATTTATTTATTAAGTTCTTGAATTTTTTTTTCCAACAAGATTTTCAAATATGGCCAATAGGGACAAAAGTGGCAAAGGAAGAAAGACACTCAATAATGTAATCCCAGTGTCTTTTCATTCAAAGCACACATTAACTTACTTTAAAAAGAATTTCAGAGTGTCAACTGAATTCAGCATCTATTTTCTGATGTCTGACTCTGCATGGGGCACTGGGCAGCCACAGAAGTGAGGGTGCCATTGCTCTGCTTGAAGGATACAGGCACAAAGTGGGGTGAGAAGGAAGGGAGAGGAGAGAGGACACTGAAGGACAGTGACGCAGGATAGTTGGAAGGCTTTGATGAATGCCACAGCAGAGATAAAAACAAAGGATGGCGGGGGCAAGGAGAAGAGATGCTGATTCTGAGGAGGTCCAGATGTCAGAGGCAAGCTCCAGAGGATGACTGAGGTCTGTCAGGCAGGCTGTGGTACGGCAGGACTCATGACGTGCTCCGTGCCTGGTGCAGGGCTGGTGCTTCCCAAATATTGGTTGAATGCCTGATATGGTTTGGCTGTGTCCCCACCCAAATCTCATCTTGAATTGTAGTTCCCATAATTTTCCCATTTTGTGGGAGATAATTGAATCATGGTGGCGGTTCCCCCATACTGTTCTTGTGGTAGTGATAAGTCCCACGAAATCTGATGCTTTTATAAGGGGTTTCCCCTTTTGATTGGCTCTCAATTCTGTCTTGTCTGCCACCATGTAAGATGTGCCTTTCACCTTCCTCCATGATTGTGAAGCCTCCCCAGGCATGTGGAACTGTGAGTCCATTAAACCTCTTTTTTTAAATACATCACCCAATCCCGGATATGTCTTTATCAGCAGCGTGAAAACAGACTAATATAATGCCCTTTCTGGGACAGTACATTATATGAGAATGACTCTTATTCCTAGCTTTAGACCTAGAGAAATAGAGGGACTTACCCAAAATAGTTTGGTGAATTTGTGGTTATTAATCGTTTTAGACAATTTCTCTTCCTACTAAAAAGCCTCGCTCTCAAGAACAAGCAAGGAAGAGAGATCTGTGAAGCTAACTAAAATAATTAGTGGTGAAATCTAATGAACGCAATTCCACTTCCTTGACATATTTTGGTATGCCCATTTCCAGCCATATATTACTTCTAAGAAGATAGAAAAGATATACAGTGAACCATGATTGCTGAGACATTTTAATTGTTCTTCTTAGAGATTAATGGTGCCTTGTAAAATGCACTATTAAATCTGCTTCTTCCTTCTGGCATTTGTTTTTGAGAACAAATATGTAATTACTAGGGAGGAAGTCTCAGAGAAACGATTTGCCATATTCCATAGGCATTTCTCCTACCAACATAAAACTCAGGTTTTTCTCAATTGTTTCCTGCTTTTACAATGTACTGGTGTGGTCCCACAAATGTCTGTAGAAATTGAGCAGGCAAATTGAGAACCTTATAAGGAGCTGTTTAGTGCAAAGTACCTGTCAGGACCTGCTTCCTTTCCTCATGCTTACCCCTCCCCGTATATCCAGACAGAATCAGCCCCACCCCAGGGTCTCTGGCCAACTTGGGTGATCAGGGGCACTTTAAAGACTTAAGCGATTCTACCTTATCCACCACTGCAACGTGTCTGGTTCTATTTCTAGTCACTGGAAGTTCTACTCTAGTTCTACTCTGGCCACACCTGCCCTGTGTACCCCATTTCTGGTCTTTGGGGCTTAATCCTCCCTGCCCAGCATCCACATTCCTTGAAGCCTGGGGTTTTACATTGGTCCTTCTCTTTCCTCAAACCACTTGCCAAGATCTAGGGTCTGATCCTAGAAGCTCAGACCTGTCACTCCCAACAGAGATCATGTCTGGAATCACCATAAGCTGCTCACCCAGTGTGAGGACACTGTCATCTCTTTCCATATTGTGGCCACACCAATGGCTTCTGGGATCATGACTTATTACAGAGAGGCACTGGAGGACAGTGGTTAAGAATCCGGGCTTTGGAGTTTCACTACCTGGGTTCAAACCCTGACTCTACCACTTCCTGCCTGTGTTGTTCTGGCAATCTGCTAAGCCTGAGTTTCCTTATCTGCAAAAGGAATATGATGGTGATAATAATAATAGTACCCATCTCATAGGGCCATTGGAGGTGTCAGTAAAATGATCTTTGTCACTCAGTCAGCCTATAGGGAGTGCTGGAAGAAGCACCCCATCTCCTGTCTCACTCCCACTTGCACAAACCCCCTTGATTTGCCCCATTGCACCGAGAGCCCTTTAAAGGGGATATCTCATCAGACATGGTTCTGACAAGCGCAGGATGCAGCTTTTCAAAACTTCACTTTTAAATTACTGTGAGACAGAATATTAAGCACATATGTACACCCTCAGAAGTTATTTAAATCTTCTTGAAAGTAAAAACTTTTGGTTTTTTAATTGCCAGCACAGCTAATGAGGATTAAGAGGAAATGGTTGTGTCTTTAAGAATATGTAGTTCCCCTGCCATGAAATAATGACCAACAAGAGACATGACTCCCTTTTTAATGGCTTTTTTTTTTTTTTTTTTTTTTTGAGACGGAGTCTCGCTCTGTTGCCCAGGCCGGACTGCGGACTGCAATGGCGCAATCTCGGCTCACTGCAAGCTCCGCTTCCTGGGTTCACGCCATTCTCCTGCCTCAGCCTCCCGAGTAGCTGGGACTACAGGCGCCCGCCACCGCGCCCGGCTAATTTTTTGTATTTTTAGTAGAGACGGGGTTTCACCTTGTTAGCCAGGATGGTCTCGATCTCCTGACCTCGTGATCCACCCGCCTCGGCCTCCCAAAGTGCTGGGATTACAGGCGTGAGCCACCGCGCCCGGCCTTAATGGCTTTTTTCTGGCCTAAAAAGCCCTCTGTGGGTCGCTGTGGCCTACAAAGAGACAAATGCCTTTGCTGGACAAGGAAGGCCCTGCTGCTCTGGCTTCTGCTAGTATCCCTGGCTCTGGCCACATTGATCCACTGCTGGTGCCCAGAACAGGCCACGACCCCTCAAGGCTCTGGTTGCTCCTGTTGCTCCCTCTGCTGGGACCCTGTTCCTGGTAAACATATGTTCGGCTTTGGAGACTGCTGAGAACTCTCTTCTTTGTGGTTGACTGTGGCCTGTCCTTTGATTACATGACCTCACTCAGGTTTGTTTACATGTCTGTTTCCCCACTAAGCCCTAAACTCTTCAGAGACAAGGGTTATAATTTAACTACTCAGTCCACACCTGAGCCTGATTGGGTCATCACACATGGAAGCACCATGCACATAAATGGTTGTTGGGAGTTGTGGAGCTGGGATATGAGATATCGCAGCCCAGTCCATAATGGAGCAAGTGGCAGGACAGGGAGAACGGTGCTCATGTTACTTTTTTCCTTTGCTTCTTGTCCTCCCAATCTCCTACTTTCTCACTGCTTGGGCTCAGCTTCTTTTTTTAGTCATTGCAAATAAGAAAATGTAATTGTGTTTGACATCTGCACCATGCATGAGATGACCCACTGCCATATCTAGACACAACTTACCTTTTTAAATAAAATCATCACAACATCCTTGCTGGGATCAGGAGAAGTTTATACACTGAATGCAGCTTTTTAAAACGTCACCTTTAAATTGCTATGAGATAGAATATTAGGCACATATGTACAACATCAAAACTTAAGTCTCTTTGAAAATAAAAGCGTCTGGTTCTTAATGGCCAGCCCAACTAATGATGGTTAAAGGGAAACTCGGTTGTGTCTTTAGGAATATGTACTTCCCCTGCCATGAAATAATGACCAACAAGAGACATCTTCTCGAGGTTCAATAAAGAAAACAAGATGTATTTCATATCTGAAACATCAACATAGTTCCCATGAAAGGCAGGAAATTTGTATTCTGTGCAGGTGTAATTCTGTTCTACCAACTAATTCCCTTGGTAGTTGCATAGCCTGTGGATCATGCAGATTTCCTTTAAGGCAAAATTAAAAACACTTCCCCCACCCTAAACAATGGTTTATGTGCAAGCATGCCATTTTATGTTTCCTGGACTAACTGAAAAATAGTTTAAACTATTTTAAACATTTACATCTTTTACTGAGTAGCTGAGAAAATATGTGATGGAAGGATGTCAGTCTCATTAACCCTGTGTTTCAGAGAAAGAAAGATCTGAGGGATGAGTAGATTGGAACATAAGGGATCCTCTTTAAGTTAGGGTGCAGTTTAATGGCTGTGATAAAAGACAGCAGACGAGTGACATTAGAGAAAGGAATCAGGGAAAGGCCTGACATGCCTGGAATGTAGAAATTTTGCCTATTCTGCTAGAAAATAGCATGAGTAGGGACTTCCAGTATATTCCAGGTATAAGAATCAGAGACAGGCCATTGCCAATTCATTTGTGACAATATTGTTTTTTTCCTCCAAATGGGACACTTCTGAGCATGCCTGGATGCTATTACTTGCGGCTGAGTAGTGCTGGCTAGTCTGTATGAGACAACCTAGAATATATGGTCACCCCATTCCTAGGTCACTCTGAGGCTCTAAGCTTGCAGTTGGCTTTAAGCCCAAGTAGCCTGAAGGGATGGAGAACCATTGAGCAAGTTGATTTGGGAGCCCTCCACAGTGTTTCAAAACTCTCTGGCAGGGTTTTAAATGGCCTAACCCGCAAGTATTCTACTGGCAGGGAAAACATCTACAACTTTGCTGTGTATCTTATTTGCTCTCTTCAGGTAGAATCAACCAGGGTGTGTATCTTTTAGCCAACCTTGGGTACAGTCATTTCTAAATCTGACTTCACAGTGTAATCATTTGAAGAACGATCATTTGAAACTCTGAAAAATACAGATACTCAGGCTCCACCTCTAGATATTCTAATTTAATATATCTGGGCCGGGTGCAGTGGCTCACGCCTGTAATCCCAGCACTTTGAGAGGCCGAGGCGAGCGGATCACAAGGTCAGGAGATTGAGACCATCCTGGCTAACACGGTGACACCCTGTCTCTACTAAAAAATAGAAAAAATTAGCCAGCCGTGGTGGCGGGCGCCTGTAGTCCCAGCTACTTGGGAGGCTGAGGCAGGAGAATGGCGTGAACCCGGGAGACGGAGCTTGCAGTGAGCTGAGATCATGCCACTGCACTCCAGCCTGGGTGACAGAGCAAGACATCGTCTCAAAAAAAAAAAAAAAAAAAAAATATATATATATATATATATATATATATATATATCTGAGGTGGGCCCAGGCATCTGTATTTGTAAACATTCCTCTGATTCTTTTGACACCTCGCCAAATTTGATAGTGCTTTTGGGTTTATAAAGAGGCTATGGGGTTTTAAAAAGGCTGCAAATTTCAATTTTTATTTTTATTTTTTTGTGATGGAGTCTCACTCTGTCGCCCAGGCTGGAGTTCAGTGGCTTGATCTTGGCACACTGTAACTTCTGCCTCCCGGGTTAAAGCGATTCTCGTGCCTCAGCCACCAAAGTAGCTGGGACTACAGGTGCATGCCACCATGCCCAGCTAATCTTTTGTATTTTTAGTAGAGACAGGGTTTCACCATGTTGGCCAGGCTGGTCTCAAACTCCTGACCTCAGTTGATCCGCCTGCCTTGGCCTCCCAATCAATGTTTCAATAGGAGGATTAGAAGTTGAGAGCCAGTATGTGAGGAGAGGATATTAAAGAGGAATTGAAATATTTTCTACAATTTAATTACAATTTTTTATGAGACCAAAACAGAAGTAAATTGCCTAAAAATATATATTCCTATTTTGCCTTGTTTATTTGCCCAGAAACAATTTTAAGGTTTATAAATGACGTGTTGTTTGGACTAAAGATATAAAGATAGAAGATTTTAACAGACAGTAGAATTTGGTAAAGGAATCCATCAAAAGTTTGTGAAGGAATCTGCATAAAGAAAGTCAAGGAGATAGCTACAAACTCTATGTAGGCAGCATTTATATCCTGGCTAAAACAATTAGCCGGGAATTGTGGCACATCCCTGTGGTCCCAGTTACTCAGGAGTTGCTTGAGCCCAGGAGGTTGAGGATACAGTGAGCCAAGATTGTGCCATTGCACTCCAGCCGGGGCAACAGAGCAAGATTTTGTCTCAAAAGAAATAAATAAATAAAGAAAAGAAACACAAAATAGTTTGCCCAAAATATTTTTGGGGCGTTCATTTTATTTTTATTTTATTTTATTTTATTTTATTTTATTTTATTTTATTTTATTTTATTTTATTTTATTTATTTTATTTTTTGAGACGGAGTCTCGCTGTGTCACCAGGCTGGAGTGCAGTGGCGCAATCTTGGCTCACTGCAATCTTGGCCTCCTGGGTTCAAGCCATTCTCCTGCCTCAGCTTCCCCAGTAGCTGGGATTAAACACGCGCTACCACACCCAGCTAATTTTTGTATTTTTCATAGAGATGGGGTTTCACCGTGTTGGCCAGGATGATCTTGCTCTCCTAACCTCATGATCCACCAATCTTGAGCTCCCAAAGTGCTGGGATTACAGGAGTGAGTCACTGCGCCCAGCCTTTTTGGGGCATTTATTAACTGCTTTTAGACAAACAATTTTGCTCCCTACATATAAGCTCAAATCTCGTGGACTACTGAGGAAGATAAACCTATGGGCCTAATATTTTCCGTCCCTTCTTCCTCCTTGGTGTCCAGTGGGACTAGAACGCTTTCCAGTTGAAAGAGATCATGAAAGCATTAGGCCATTATGCTGAAACCACACCTGATCTGATTACTTCATGCATGCCTTTTCCTGACTGCTAAAGAAAAAGAATTTTGTGTCGGTCTTTACTTTAGAATCACCACATTCAAGTTTTAGAGAAGACAGTTACAAAAGTTGCAAATATTTGTTTTCTAATCTTGGCACAATCCTCTTGCACTACAACAGGTTGCCTCTGAGCATCTATGTGTTAGGCATAATTTCTAGGGGCTGAGAGTGTCTTTTTTAGAAAGTTGTTTTAAAACAAGTATAGTTTGCAAATCTTTTTCTCTAGGGCCTCAGATTATGGTAAAGAAGATACTAAATATGCAAGGTCTCCAGGGTGTGGAAGAAGAGTGTGTGTATCTTGGAATAAACCATCTTTGTATAAAGACAGCAGCCCTCAACTTTCCCCACAGCCAGGGGGATTATGGAAGGTCCAACCCCGCAGGTGAGCGCACATAGCCCTGTCCTCTTAGAGACCAGCTGTTTCTGGTCATTCCATCACAAAGAGTTATGTTTAAAAGTAGGGCAAACTAAAAAGCAGTTTCATTTGGAATATGAAAGTGTCTGTTATTTTATGGACTTGAGTGGGCAGGATACATAAACAGGTGGTTTTTCAAATTACTGGACTTTCCAGATGCAGCTCACTATTGCAGCTGTTCCTACTTTGAACCCCTTAAAAGTGTAGCCAACCCTGCCGTTAACTGAAAGAATATCCCACATCATGAAGCTTTTCATAATTCAAGGGTACTTGGTGCACCTTGCCTTAAATTTTAATAAATAATATGAAATCATGTTCAGTTAAAACCGAAGTTTTTTGATTGCAGTTAATAGATGGAGGAGGGAAAAGACTCTTTTAGTAAGCATTTAAAATGTATGTAATTTTGGGTTGAACCTGAAAGCATTTCATATGCTTAAGAATGAATAATAGCTGCCATTTTGGTATCATCCTTTGCTCAGTATTCTGAGAACAATTTCCCACTAAAGATGATCATAATGCAATTTTACAAGCTGGGGATTCTGAATTCCACGCATGACTTCATACATGGTAGAATATCAATCACCAACTTGTGAAGCTATCTCCTAAACAAATACACAAGCAAAACTAATACTAATGCCAACAGAAAAAGATATTAACATGGTGCCGAGACAATCTGATCTTTTAAACCTAATGCTAGACAACGAGTTAGTGGGTGCAGCGCACCAGCATGGCACATGTATACATATGTAACTAACCTGCACATTGTGCACATGTACCCTAAAACTTAAAGTATAATAATAATAATAAAAATAAATCTTATGCTTTGATTAGATGTATATCAAATAAATAATAATTTTATAAATGACTGTTATACTGATATTAATCACCAATTGCTCTAGAATGCTTTCAAGTTGAAAGGGATCACGGAGGCATTAAACCTTTGTACTATAACCAAAACTGATCTGATTATCACCTGCGTGCATTTTCTTGACTGTTAAAGAAAAATTTGTGTCTGTGCATATTTAAGAATCATTACATTCCAATTTTAGAAAAGCAAGTTATGAATGCATATTTCTGTTTTTCAACAAAGACCTCCTTTCAGATATCCTGATTTGTCTCAGTGCTAACAGAATCATCTAAACACATTTTTCCTCTCATGACAATAGTCCATGGTGAATCACATAATCTTATCTATTCTTCTTTAATGATACATTTCAAAATATTCACTTTGGGCAGTAACTATGTAAAAAGATGGATAACATTTTAAACTTGTTAGCCCTTAATTTCTATTAATATTACAAAAGAGGAATTGGAGGCCAGCCTGGTAACCATGATGATCCCTTCAAATTCTAAAATTCTGTCATTTTGTGCATGTATGTTTCGATCCACAATGCCACTTCGCATTGTCTTCATTTCACATCTGGACCATGATGCAATTACATCTGAACTCTTTTCTGCTCAACTAGACTGGCTACTTTTCATTACCTTCTGTACCTTCACCAGAGTCATTTTACAAAAACGTCACCTTCATTATACCACACCGATGCTTGCAGTCATTTATGGCTGTCCACTGTTGACATGATGTCCAAACTTATCATGAGTGCTGGATTTACAGACTCCGCATTTTACTATGATCAGTCTTTTCACCTTTATCACCTACCACTCTGCCACATGAAATCTCAAATCCCAGTCTGATTGAGCTACTACAACTCCCTTGTGGGAGACATTCTTGTCTCCATGCCTGGCTCGTTTAGAATGCCTTCCTGTGCTTTTGCCCCAGCTATTTGCAATCCATCTGTCCTCCATGACCCAATTCAAACTGCACCTCCTTCATACCATTCTCCATTAAACCAGCTGCAATACATCCTCCTTCTCTGACCCTGCTATCCTTTTCATGGCTGGGTCTCCCTAACACTTCATATTGATACCATTCCCTATTTAAAAACCTTTTTGTTATGCAATATTCAACACTACTGTATTTACTTTTGATTCCTTATCATATATATTATATTTGGTCTGTTTCCAAAATGATGAGAAGGCTTACAGTAGAGATCACATAAGACAGTATGTCAGTTAAAAGGGGGAAGTGAAAATACAGAACCATATGTGGGAACATGAATTAATGAAACTTAAAATCCAGCTATAGATTTGAAACTGCTTCCTGGCAGTCAAGGCAAAAAAAAAAAAAGGAAAAAGGACCAATCAGTTTCCATGTAGCAGTGACTTACTGTTTTGGTTGTATGTATGTATTTTTTAAAAACACTTTTTACCTGTGTGCATGTCGTCTCACTAACTGTAATCTTTGTGATTGCTAGGATTTATTGTAGGAATTACATAGCAAAGCATCTAATCTAGCATATTGCATGGGTTTAATAAATAAATTAATTGATGGCTAATTTTATCAGAATTATAGATTTGAAGCCATTTTATTTATCTAGAAAATCAAAATAAGTACATAATAAACATGTGAATAACAATGTGAACAAAAGATGACACAGAAATCTCAGAGGGAGAATGAAGGGTTTGAGTTTGTGACCACTTTAATTAAAGGAAATTTTAAAAAGTATTCACAAGCTACTTAATATTTTTGGGTAAATGTCTATATTTGGGTAAATTGTCTCATAATGTGGAGCAGCAAGCTTTTAGTAAGATGAGAAATTAATTTTATTGGAACTGGATTGTATACTATAATGTGTGTCATTATTACTAGTAAAATAGGTAATAATGCTGCACCTTCTTGAATATAAACTCATGCCACACATGAGTTTTCTTTCCTCTCCAGAAATGAAACTGGGGTTTCATTTCTTCTCTAGAGTTTTGTTGTTGTTTTCTTTAACTTGGCAAGGGGATGCTTTTACAATGCAGAGAACACCCTAATCTGGCACTGTCCAATAGAGATTTCTGTGCTGATGGAAATGTTCTATGTCTGTGCCACTAGCTTTACCTGTTGCACACTCACAACGTGGCTAGTGTGACTAAGGAACTGAATTTTAAATTTTACTTGATATTAATTACTTGAAATTTAAATGGAAACACAAATGGCTAGTGATTACCATATTGGACAGAGCAGCTTTTACAGGGCTGCTTGCTTTTAGGACCAACTTTTCCTTACTTGATTGGGTACCTTTAACAGTAGATTCCATTGGCCACTGGTTCTTTCTTATTATGTG
This sequence comes from Homo sapiens, assembly GCF_000001405.40. Lineage (NCBI taxonomy): Eukaryota > Metazoa > Chordata > Mammalia > Primates > Hominidae > Homo > Homo sapiens. The sequence continues at coordinate 116,529,226 of NC_000007.14, read as the reverse complement.
AAGTTTTAAGCTACCATGCATTAGCAGTAAAGCTTTGGGTGCTTTTAAGAAGCACCCAAAATTATTGTCATGATTTTTTTAAGAAGTCTGTGTTGTTGGCCAGGTGTAGTGGCTCACATCTGTAATCCCAACACTTTGGGAGGCCAAGACCAGTGGATCACTTGAGGTCAGGAGTTCAAGACCAGCCTGGCCAACATGGTGAAACCCCGTCTCCACTAAAAATACAAATATTAACCCGGCATGGTGGCGTGCACTTGTAGTCCCAGCTACTCAGGAGGCTGAGACAGAAGAATTGCTTGAACCTGGGAGGTGGAGGTTGCAGTGATCCCAGATCATGCCACTGCACTCCAGCCTGGGTGACAGAGTGAGACTCCGTCTCAAAAAATAAATAAATAAATAAATAAAAATAAAAATAAAAAAAGTCTATGTTGTTGAAAGTAAAATTTAGGGAAATTTATTATTTACTGTCATGGAAACTGGGAGAGAATCATCCCTGTTTCTGTTATTTTGTTTGTGCTTGGACTTGAGGATACATATTTATAAAATAGGAGTCTCCATAAGATGTAGATAGGACCCTGTTCATCGGCCAGGCACTCTTTGGGCAGAATTTGCATTTGTAGTCTTGGTGTCTCTCTGTAGGGCATTCTCTGAAGTCCCCTCTAGGCCAGGCATCTGAGTGAGACTGCCAAATTCTTTTCTAGGTGGATTTTTTGGTTTGACTGTCTTGTTTTGCTCACAGTTCTATGAGCAAGTAGTCAGGGTTTGGTTTCTTTAGGCTAGCAGGAGCTTGCTCTAGCTTTTTCTTTTAATTTCTTTAATTTGAGGATCCCCACACTTGCTCTTTGAAATGCTGTTTTGTAAACTGCTATTTCCTCCAAGCCTGTTATGTTTTTTTTCCATCTGTGTTGAAGTCTCTTTTCCCAGTGGGGCCTTTCTTTCTCAACTTAGTCATGCTATGTGTGGAGACCCACATCCACACTGTTGGCCTCTCTGACTCATCCCGGGAGATTCGCTTGCTCCAGGGAATCTCACTCACAGTGCAGTGGAACAACAGGGAGGATCCAGTGAAGCCAGCCCTCTCTGAAATCTGCCTCTTTTCCTGGCAACTCTCCTTCTTGTTCAAAGCCACATGAGAAGGGTGGGGGTGGGGGAAAACACAAATATCCTCTCCCTTTAAGGTAATGTTTTTAGTAAATAGTTTTTTAGCAATTCTATTTTCTAGTTTATAAGGTACTTTTGTTGCTGTTGCTTTTAAATATTCCATAATCCAGCTAGTCAAAAAAAGCTGCAAATGCTCCAATTTTCCTTTTTCCTACTCCAGGAAGCCAAGGGAGTCAATTCTGACAGTTTTTTTTTCCCTTCCAGTTACAGATTAAACTGTTTCCCCTTTTGAAATATATTATTCATGAATGTAAACGGTTTGTGAACTATAGCTCCTCCCATCCATAGATAGCAGGCGTGGTGGGTGGAAATTGCTCATCCGCCTCATTGATTGCTGGGGGTTGTATAGGAGTAGATCTTCACACTGCAGTCCCTGAGCCAGGATTTTTCCTTAGCCCTCCATTTCTCAGAGAAAACCCTTTGCCAAGGATGGCTCTAGCCCATGATATCCCAATCCAGATGTGTTTAGGCAATAAATTCCTCCCACTAGATTGGCTAAAAGGGTCAAAATCTAATAACAATGATAATTTAAAACTGACCACTGAGTCAGATCTAAGTCTGGCCAATAACCCAGTCCAATTATTTTTAATCTCACCAAGCACATCCTGAAAGTATGAAAAGGAACTCCAACCTGAATGTGCCATTAGCTCAGGGCAGGCTGACCCAGGTAGCTACTAAAGAAGCAGCTTTCCACATCTAAGTGCAGGTGTCCATAGATAGAAGAAACCAAGAGGCATACATTGTTTTTGGTTTTGTAAATTTGCTTAGTTGTGCACAAGTGACTTGTTAGTCTAGTTAAAGTAACTTTCATATGTATATGAATAAGTACGTATTTTCTTTGTCTTTAGTCCTAGGCATTTCCATCCACTGTAGTATTTTTAAGAAAATCACTTCCCATCGTTTTAGTTGGGGGAACATGCCCATCTTGTATTCTGACTCATCCTCAGCACAAGACCTGACACAATTATCTGACTGTCTTAATGCCACGTGCAGTGGGGACCTGTCACTAGACTTTCAACCTGGGAATGGATAGGAACCATCTCACCGTCCCAAGGAGTATGGGCCGTCTGTTGCTGAGGTCAATAGGCTCATTTGCTAGGATAAAAGTGTAGTTATAGGAACTTCTACAAAACTCACTTTAGCTGAATTTCAGCTGAACTAACTATTGGGGGGAGATGGGGGAAGGGAGATGTAACGTTTCTGCCGACTGCGGGAGCTCCCACACATCAAACCCACAAAACTCTGTGTGTGTGTGTGTGTGCGCGTGTAGGGGGCGGGGTGGGGTGTGCGTACACGGCAATGCTAAAGAAGGATGCACGGGCTAACTGCCAGAGGAGAGCTGTCCCAGCCCTTCCCTGTTGGTCGCCTTGGCTTACCTTGACCACGTCATCGTTGAGGTGTTTAGGGTCGCGGTTGACCAGGTCGATCTCCTTGGTGTGCGCGTCGTACACTTGCTTCTCGCTCAGCTCGTCTGCCATGGCCTTGTTGTTGGGCTTGTAGATGTTGCCCTGTTCCCGGATGGGAACGGTGTAGAGATGTCCCTGCAGAGGGCGGAGGGCGGACGGCCAGGACGGGGAGGGCGGCAACGGCGGTGGGAGGAAAAATGCAAAAAGAAAAACAAGCGATGAGAAGTCAGCCTGGCGGCGGGGGAAACCTCGAGCTCGAAATCGAACTAACCGCTCCGACAGCTACGGCTCCGTGCACAGAAACCGCCTGCGCGTAGCCAGCTTTTTAAGAGGATCTCGCAGAGGACACCACACCCCTCTGTACTCTGCAGGGCGCGCCTGCCTCCCCCGCCCGCCGCCAGGGGTCAGGGCAGGCCCCGCCGCGCGGTCCGAAGGCCCCCGCCCGCGCACGCCCCGGCTCAGCACGCAGGACCCGCAGGACCCGCAGGACCTCGGCGGCGAGGGGGCAGCCGCAGGCTTCTCCCGGACTCCCTAAGCCGAGTCGCTCTCGCCCTGAGCGCTTCACCTGTTTCGCGTTCCCGTCCCCGGTCCCTATTACCCCTGCCCCGGTAATCCCTTCCAGCTTTATCTAAGATCCAACAGCAGCCGCCCGACCCGTGGAATGTTCCCTTTATCGCTGCTTCTTGGCCGCATCCCCCTCGCACCTGCCCGCGCCCCCCACCCTGCCTCGGCCCTCTCTTGTCCCTCCACGGCTCTCCCTGCTCAATCCGCCGTGATGATCACAATCCCGAAAGTCCCCATTTTTGGCGGAGCCAGGCACCAGACCCCCTAAATGTCCTAGAACTCAGTCTCACCTGCGCAGCTCCCCCGACCCACCCTCAGGGCACTCCCAGGCTGCGGGCGGGTGGCTGAAGGGCAGCTACGTGTTGGAAGACGAGGTTTCCACACCCGGGCAGAGCTCCAGCGCGTGGAGGGCGTTGGAAGTGATGGTGGCAGTTTGGGGAGGGGAGGTCTACCTCTCTCGGAACACCCCTGCCAGACGCCAAGATGCAGAAGGAGTTCTTGAGATGGTTCAAGAACTTTGGAAAGTGCAAACACACCGCGCGCCGCCTGCGGGACCTGCCGGTCTGGGCGCCTGGCGGAGAGTCCCGGGGACTGTCCCCAGGACTCGGGTAAATAACACCTCCACCCTGCACTCCACCTCTTCGAACCCCCAGCAGGCAGGGCCGGACCGCGGGGGTCCCGCGACAAGGGAGCATCCTAGACCCATCCAGAAAACGCGTCCTGGGCCCAACAGACCCAATCTCAGGACCCCAATCCCCTTTTCCGTGTCCTCCTAGCTCAGGGGCTCCCTAGGCCCCCTCTCCATTAGGAAAACATAAAACATTCCTGGCTTCTCTTCACCTCCCCGCCCAGGCCCATTCCTCAGCGGTGCCAACGCCAGAGGAGTGCTCCGAAGTGGAGAGAGGGCTGGGGCCAGGGCAGCAGTCGGGATATTTGGAGAGGCAGATAGCAGAAGCGGACACTCCCCGCACGCCCGAGCCGGCGCCCCCCCACGGATGCCTACCTCCGAGTCTACGTATTTGCCCCCAGACATGCTGGCCCGTGGCTGGATGAAAACTGTGAGGAGGTTTCCCTGGGCTGTGCTTTAAGGGAACTGAGGAAGGAAGATCTTGTATTGTATGGGGGGAAAAAAAGGCGCTGGAGGGGGGCGGTGGCTGGGAGGGAGCCTCCTGGCCGCCCGCCAAAGGTTTGTTCTGCTCGCGGTTGGCCCGGACGTGTGCTGCGCCGGGTCTAGGCACATCCCCAAGGTTCTGGCAGCAGAGGGCGGGGAGCGCCCGCAGCGAGCAGAGAGCGAGTGAGAACGTTTCTCCCGCGCTGGGGTGCTTGGGCAGATTATTTTAAACCTGAGGCAACATTTTCCCTGCTCTGAACCACCGAGAGGCGTCCCGGGGAGAGCGAATGTTTTCGCAGTGCATCATCTCAGCAGGGGTGGAGGGAGCCGACGCGCCTGCAGAGATGCCCAGTATGGGCAACCAAGGCGGCAGAAACAATCCACAATCCTGCCCTGTCCTAAGCCGTCCCTTCCCACCTCCCCCACCCCCCGCCCATCGCCCAAGTTCCATCTCTGCCTTAAAACACATGTGTCTCCCTGTTTCACAGAGGGAGGGATGAAAGACGGCTAGGAACCTTTAGGTACATTTCACATCTAAACTTTGTGGATCCCTTATGGAAGGAATCTGTGTGGGTGCCTGTGGTGTACTTTTGGTGACACTCGTTTACATCTAGTCGGTGTGGATGGAAACTTAAGCAGGCATGCAGAATTTAACATTTCCCATCCGTTTCTGAAATGTCTCCCAAACGCTTCGAAATAAGAAATGAAGATCTTTAACTTTTCTATAATTTTATTACCGATATTTTCTGGAACAATGGAATTTTATGCCAACAGGTTATGCCATATTTGCAAAATACACAAAATGTTTATAATTGTAGAATTATTTAAAGCTTCAAGTTTATTACCAGAGAAGATTTTTTTTTAATGTGCTTGGCTGTGAGGAAAGATTTGACTTTTCTAATTGACTAGACTTAAAAAAAATGTGATAGCGATTAAAGTATTTTGTCTGTTCCTGAATCTGGGGCTTCTGTCTTTACTTTATTGTAAAGAAGCACAAAATGAATTAAATAGTAATCAGTCATTTTACTCTTGAGCTGTAATTAATCAGGAAACTCATTATCCAAAAATGAAAGGACATGTTACTTATGCTTCCATATGCAGTCAAAAGTCAAAGTATCACTTGAAATTATTTTAAAAAAAAAGCTGGAGTACACTTGAAGGGGCACAGGTTAAAATTAAAATGGAGAGGGGAATGTGGGTTGGGAGTAAGAGGGAGGAGAAAGGGAAATGGATGGAATGCTGAAAGAGTTGATTATTTAGTTAGAGAGAAGACACAAAAGTATAAAAGAACTATAAAGGACAGGCTATTGTTGGTAGCAAAAATTTTTGGAACAAAAGATCAGTTTTAACTAAGAATGGCAGGGAAAGTGTCACAATGTTACAAATGTTGGCATGCCTGTAATTATGTTGGCCATTCATGATTAGCAGACTAAAGATCTTTCAAAAGTTGGATTTTCCCAAATACCACATTAGTGGGAGCTAAATGATGAGAACTCATGGAAACAAATAGGGAAAAAACAGGCACTGGGGCCCACTTGAGGGGTGGAGCGTCGGGGAGGGAGAGGAGCAGAAAAATAACTATTGGGGAGTAGGCTTTGTAGCTGGGTGATGAAATAATCTGTACAACGAATCCCTGTGACACAAAATTTAACAAACCTGCACATGTACTCTTGAACCTAAAATAAAAGTTAAAAAATTTGGAATGCTTTAAAATAAGCTTATTTATGAGTAAACAAATAATTAGGGTCTTCCTTCCTTCCTTCCTTCCTTCCTTCCTTCCTTTCTTTTCTTTCTTTCTTTCTTTCTTTCTTTCTTTCTTTCTTTCTTTCTTTCTTTCCTTCCTTCCTTCCTTCCTTCCTTCCTTCCTTCCTTCCTTCCTTCCTTCCTTCCTTCCTTCCTTCTTTCCTTCCTTCCTTCCTTTTCTTTTTTTCTTTTCTTTCTGACAGGGTGTCCTCTGTCACCCAAGCTGGAATGCAGTGGTGCATTCATAGGTCACTGCAGCCTGGACCTCTTGGGCCCAAGTGATCCACTTCAGTTTCCTGATAGAATGCTGAAACTATAGGTGTGCACCACCACACCCTGCTAATATTTTTAAAAAGTGTTTGTAGAGACGGGGGTCTCACTCTGTTACCCTGTCTGGTCTCAAACTCCTGGCCTCAAGCAATCCTCTTGCCCTAGTCTCCTAATGTGTTGGGATTACAGGCGTGAGCCACTACAACTGGCCAAAAAGTTGCGTTTTCTTAATTTCATTTCTGTCAGATTGCATTTCTAAATTCTTTGAACAAATTATATTAACAAATATTAACAAACACAATACACTAGAAAAGGACTGTCAGGTTCAATATGTTCTATAGTACCTAGCCCACCTCTAATGACTGCCATAAATTCATTTAATTTTTCCTTCATACAAGTCAACTGGGGTTACGTTCTATGGAAAAATGTGGAAACCACTTCCCATCTATTGTTATTCAGTCTTCAGCTGTGATGAGTAATGTTAACTGTGAAAAAAGTCAACAGGAACACAGAGGGAGCTTGTCCTGCATTCCAGCAAGAAAAGGACTTTCCAGGGAGGCCTTTAAGTGAACGCTTAACTAGTACTCAACCGAGGGAAAGCAATCTCGCTGGGAAAGTCCATGTAGAAAAGTCTAATCAACAGCAACACATGGAATCATAATGATCAGTGAAGCGTTGTCAATGCCAAAATGCATTCCTAATGAGAGGAAAAACCACAATCTCTTCATTAACCTGCCTCAACAAGAAGCTGGCACCAAAGAGAAACACATCTTAGTCTGGTTATAATAGCTGACTTAGGGAAACTGCTCTCGATTTATGAGAAATAAAAGGAGAAGAAGAACATTGTTAGCATAGGTACAAAATTGGAAATGAATAGATGATATAAGCAAAATTGTTTTTGTTTGATTCTCACACAGGTAACTTTGGGCTTGGAGGCGAGTTAATAACTTTCTCCAAATCATTTACTTAAAAAATGAGTATTTGGCAATTCATTTGCCCTCTAATATTTTTCTTTTTTGGAAGCAGCATTAAAGGTCATCCCATGGATTAGAGGGCACTAGAAATACAGATCTAAAAGCCACTCAGGCGAACCAAACCAACCATCTGAGCGATGAGGATACTAGAGCTTAAATACATTAAAAATACCTTTTCCTAAGGAGATTGTTGGATAATGAAACATTTTACAGTTGATAAATCACTAGAGAACCCGTTAGCAACTTCTGAGACATGAGGTTCTTAAGTAGGCTAGTCAGGGTCAGCTTATGGCAAAATTGTGAAATTCGTTGCTTTTCATGTTCTCTCATCTCCTTCTCTATGTCGCTTTGCTCTGGTACAACTTCCTCTTCCCATCCCTACCACCATGGGTTCTTTTCACATTCTTGGCTACTTTTTTTTAACTACCACTATAAGATTTGGAATCTAAAGGTTTGACCACTCTCAATGATATCAATAGTGTTAAGAAGCAGGCATCTTTCCAACATTTCCCAACACTCAGCAGTCCGAGACTTCCCAAATGTGCCTCTGGCAATGCGTTCAGAGAAGGAATTCCAGCTTGGGTTATAATAGGAGTTATCACCAGGTATGATATTATAATCAGTATGGCAGAGCCACCAACCAATCATTTCAAACTTCAGCCGTGGCACTGGAGCTGTGCATTAGAGTACTGCTGGTTAGTTGCTGAATCATTAGGAAGTTAAGGGTCCTCAGGGGAAGGGCAACGTACATTTCAGAGCGGTGACTATTTACATGCAAGTGTATAAACATGCCAACATTTTAACCATCTGTGTGTAAGTGCATAAACATGTCATCTTTTAATGATCTCTGAGTTCAGCTCAGTATTTACCCTGTTTATCAGCATCACCACCCCATAGGCCTTCTGCTATTCATTGCATCTGCTGAATCCCATTGAGGCCTCCTTCCTACAGTTGCCCATTTCATATGTGGAAGGAAATGGCTTTCTGGATGAAGACTTGCCACATCACCTGACCCCTTCCTCACCTTGTTCTAACTTGAAGCTTCTGTGGATTGGGCTTTTCCACTTTGAGTATTTTAAATAATTTTTTCCCACTTATTTTCTTCAAAAAAAAAGCAAGCAAACAGCGATTTTGTGTTTTAAAAATCTTTCTGATCAAGATGGCTAAGAGTTTTCTTTTCCTACTATTTATTTAAATTAACTTCACTTTATTTACAAAATGAAAAATACTACTGATATCTACCCAATAGGAGTTTGTAAACTTTAGTGAGGTGATGTATTTGAAGCTCTGAGAATACTGCCTAAAGCACAATAGTTGCTAAGGTTGAGGGAACACATTTTAGTCCACAAATTTAAGATTCAAATAAACATATTTTATTTCAAAGTATTTTTATTGTAAAATAGTTCAATTATCTGAAATATGGCAAATTGTATGATGGACACCTGCCACCCAGCTTGATTAAGTATCATTTTGCCTTATTTACTCCAGAGCTTTTTAAACAGAAAACATTATGGAAACTGTCAAAGTCCCATGTGAATTGTAACTTTCTCTTTTTCTGTAACTGGTCTTAATTTCTTTTACAAAGCCCCATTCCTTCAGGTGGCAGAAACTTAATTTCAGTCAGTTTCTAGTTTCTTCCATTTTGTCCTAAATTCTAGGGGCTTATGATGTGACCAGGAATCTTGGGTGTGTCTGTGGAGGAGGGTTTCTTCCTTAGCTGTGCATCTTGGCATCTGCTGATGAGTATGTCACTCTGTCCGTCCTTGGTTATTGATCCATTCAGGAGAACAAGTGCTGCACTGTCCTTCAAGCTCATTGAATGTGCCTCTTTGGGCCAGAGACACTTTCTTGCTATTTCTGTTCCTTTCTTGGGGCTCTCTGCAAGCAAATCTGATGAATCTGGATGGGTAGGTCTGATACAGCATAGTGGAACCTCCTATGTTGAGTGCGATGTAGAGAACAGAATGAGTCCTGTGCTCTGTCATGGTGCAGAGAAGCTCCAGGGTGTCACTGCCTCCATGTGCCCTATCTTGAAACAGAAGGCACAGACATCTTTGCTTTCCGATCCTCTTAATTTATCAGGGCCCACCCTAGAAACACCCCTGTCAAAAACTACTTTGCATCTTTTCTCAATTTCTTCTCCCTTGAGCAGGAAGCCTTGTTCTTACATCGCCCACCAATATTTTCATGCCATGAATCCCCCAGGACCAGGATTTTGGAATTAAGGAAAGCCTTATCTCTGCTTTTATGCTATAAAAATTCTTCCACAAGGGTAGATGGGGTAGGGGAAAGTTCCAGGGGCAACCAGAAAAGATCATTAGTGAAACTTCGGAAGTGTCATCCTTCCCTAATCTTCCCCTCTTTCCCTTCAACCAAATCTTGCCAAGATTTTTGCTGGTAACATCTCTAAGAGCTGCTGTTTCTGAGTTAACAACAAACCCTCGAACTCAAATTTCACATATGTAATTTCAGAACTTCTGCCAATATTTACATTTCATTGGTAGCCTTGATTAAGGCTTTTTAACCTAATTAACTCCAAATATTGATAGTGAAAGAATATGTTTAGTCTTTAGCATTTCCTATGTCACTTTACAATTTTATTTGTAAAATATTTTGTTATTCAATACAAAATAAATCTGATTGGTTATTTAATACAGTGGAAATAAGGTTAATTCTTAAGAAAGCTTTTGAGTAGCAAATCCTATGTTGAAAGTGCAATTTTTTTGTGTGTCCTAGCTAAAATTGCTAGAGGAATAGCCATATTGTGACTGCTAGGCCAGTAGTGCAGATGTGGCTTTATGGCCCTGTCTAAAGGATATCACAACAGCCAATTGAAAGTGAAAGATGAAGTGACCCAACATGTTTTTGTCATCATATATCTGACACATATTTATTTTAAGACTACATTTTAGAGTGTACCAATCAATTATTGCTGCAATAATACTGCTTAAGTAAACTACTACAAAACTCAGTGCTCTAAACAACCACCATTTTTATCATAGAGCTATGGGTTGGGTTGGCTGGGGCTTGGCTGATCTAGGGGAGGTGCCTGGAGCAGATCCACCTCTCACCGCTTGGTACATCTCTCCTCCTCCTTGCACTAGCAAGATGATTGGGGCACATTCTTCCCATGCTCCATGAAGCAGCAGTGGCATAAGAGGACAAGAAAAAACATACAAGGCTTCTAAAAGCCCAGACTTGGAGAGGCACATTGTCACTTCTGCCTTATTCCCTTGGCCAAGGCAAGTCAAGTGACTTAGCCCAACATCAAGGGATGGGGATGGAATTGCCACCAATGATGAAGCCATGGCAAGGGATGTATGAAGAACTCAAATCTATATCACATATGTGTGGTCATTAGAGGTTTTTTGTTTTGGCTTTCAATTTTATAAGTTTTAATCTAACTTTTTGATACTTACTATTTTTGCCATTTATTACTTCTTTCTCAGAAAGCTTTATACAGTATATTAAAATTTCCATTAAACAGTTGGTAACAAAAACAAAAATCCCTTAATCACAAATCAAATGCAAACTTCTAGATGAAGATTCTCAAATATGATGCCTGACAGAGGGCCTCAGAGAGAGGGGCTCGGGGTGGTCACAGATACATTCTCTTGCCTTAAAAGAGAATGTGATTTTCAAAACAGTTGATAATTTATCTTACTGAAATAATAATTAGGCCACCACCTTTCCTCAGAATTCTTGGCTGATGAAACCTAAAAGAATGATTGATTTTAGGTAGCTGAAACTAGCCTTTAGAGTGCCAGCTTTTATATTTCAGTAATTTCTGACAAAAATCACTCTTTAAAACATTAATTTTTGGCTGGGCACAGTAGCTCATGCCTGTAATCCCAGCACTTTGGGAGGCCAAGGCAAGCAGATCACCTGAGGTCAGCCTGGCCAACACGGTGAAACTCATGTCTACTAAAAATACAAAAATTAGCCCGGTGTGGTGGCGGGCTCCTGTAATCCCAGGTACTTGGGAGGCTGAGGCAGGAGAATCACTTGAACCCAGGAGGTGGTGGTTGCAGTGAGACGAGACCACATGCCATTGCACTCCAGCCTGGGCAACAAGAGCAAAACTCCATCTCAAAAACAAAAACATTCATTTTTCTCCTCCCTGCCTTTTAAAGCAGAGTTGTTAGAGCATAGGGGCTTGCCCCAGGCCAACATTCAGTAGGGCTGCTGAAAGTGCTGGCATCTTCCTCCTACTTCTTCACTGTTTTAATGAAGATCTGGAGAGATGCTGCCTGAAACCAGATTTCTGAAACAAAATTCCAGTTGCAGAGACTTCCTGAAATAGTCTCATTGGTATTTGTGCTACAGAGGACAAAGTGTCATCATTATTATTCTGGATTTAGAAAATCTGATGAAACTTGTGCTTGTTTTTGAAAATGTAGAAAAATTTTGCCTTTAAAGGTAGGTTTTCTCAAAATGTACACTTTCTTTATCTTACTCTATCTTATTGCAAAATTTTGTTCTTTGAGATAATATTTTCTTTTTAATTCCATTAAAAACAAACTCATAAAGACAATATGATTTATCAGTATAAAGGTAAGTTCAAATATTGAGAAAATGTGAAGTGATAAGCAAACCAAATTTCATTGAGTTATTTTCATTTGTGCTTAAAGTCCATGAAAAATTTCAGGTTTCAATTCATCACCTCATTATGATGACATATAAGAAATCAAACTAACTGCCATGAAATTGAGTGGATTATAATAACCCTACCAAAATAATGGCTACCATTCTCTAAAGATAGGAAGTCTTAGTCTAAACTCGGAGCCAAACACTAATATAATCAAGGGATAATGTATTCAGTAAGCACGAAATGAGAGGTAAATAAATATTTGGCTCATTTTTCATCTGGATAGATTTATATCAATAATAAAAGTAAAAATTACAGCCCTACCTAACTCAAGACTGAAAATATTTACTATAAAGCTTGAGCTTAGCAATTTTCAGAAAAATTATGGTCAAGTGGTAAAACAAATTATTACTTTTCATCTAGTTGAGAGATGTAAAATATTTAAATATACAACGATTATGTTTTCTCCCATTCAAGCAAAACAAAATTATGACCACCTTTTAGAAGTATGGAAGCTCCATAAATGTTATCCAAAGTATGACTAACTCTCAAACCTAGTAGGACAACAAAATAATGCAATATGATATAACTAGTACCTAGATTTAATATATATTTAACATAATATAGCTTATATCTGAGAAATGCACCATTTTATAGCATACTAGTGAGCTTTTAAATAGCATATTAGGGAAACATAGATTTTATTATTAACAAGTAAGTAATTAAAAATCCTTTTTGATTATAATGAAATGATAAAGAATAAAAATGCCTTTAGCCCCTTAATACTACCCCAAATTATAAGGAGATATTAAACTTCCATGTTTTTCTTAAGTTAATGTAAATATTTGGGAGTAGTTCTCCACAGAAGCCCTTTGTGTTGTAACCCATCTGGCTTTAAGTCAGGGCTCCATTATTTAACAAAGGAAACTCTCTTTCCTTTTGGCCCTTTCCCTAGTAAATAAACTACTTATCAGGAGTTGGTTTTACCTGGGGAAAATTTATCTCTGAACCACTCCTTTTGAGGCAATGATGCTTTAAAAGAGTAAAATATTTTACTCTTTTAAAAGTATATATATATATATATAATATATGTATATGTGCTTGTATATACACACACATTATATATATGTATGCAAGTTGATTTTTCATATATTTTTTTTTTGAGACAGAGTCTCGTTCTCTTGCCCAGGCTGGAGTACAGTGGCATGCTTCACGGCTGACTGCAGCCTCCACCTCCCAGGCTCAGGTGATCCTCAGCCTCCCTAGTAGCTGGGACTACAGGTGTGTGCCACCAGACCCAGCTAATTTTTATATTTTTGGTAGAGACAGGATTTTTGCCAGGCTGGTTTCGAACTCCTGGACTCAGGCAATCCCTCCACTTCAGCCTCCCAAAGTCTAGGTTTACAGCATAAAATAAAGTCCGTCTTTAAAGACTCTGTGGGTGTGTGTGTTTCTATGTGTGTGTGTGTGTGTGTGTGTGTGTGTGGATGTAGGTTCATGTGGTGAACATACACATAAGTGATCTGCTCTTCATACAGAAATTTACTTTCTTGTAATCATATGATGAGTTTGTTTTTTCACTAATTCCAGGGCAAATCTTTAATTGCAACATCAGCTTTTGTGCATACTGGAGAATGGGGTTTATTTCTGCACTGCTGGTTTTGCCTTCAAGCAACTCAGCTAACTTCAGAGGGAATGTGAATGTGTTTTAAAGCAGGTGTGGGGGATTTAGTTTTTGGACAGCCAGTAGAATCTTCTCATAGAGCCAAACAAATGAACTCTCTGTTAGTTTCTTCTCTTGTCTGTCTGTAGCTACTTTATCTTCATCTCTTTCCGTGTCTTACTCAAGCTACTTACTAGATAGATCCTTGCTACTCAAAGTTTGATCTAGGGACTTGCAGCCTGAGCATCCAGGGAGCTTGTTAGAAATGCAGAATCCCAGGACCAATCCCAGATTTACTGAATTTGAATTGGCATCTTAACAAGATCCCCTGGTGATTCCTATGCTCATTTTATTTTGAGAAACAGTAATGTAGGGGAAATAAAAACTTTAAACCTGAAGATGTTTAAAAATGCAGAAGTTATGCCAGCAAATATCACTCTCCTATGTAAGAACCCTGAATGGAGAACAAAATTCCACAAATACACACAAAAGGAGACTTTATATCATGGGAAGAGCAGCAGCACTGCAGGCTGGATGACTTACAGGGAATCCCAACTCAATAAAATGAAGGAACATACTATTAAAGAAATATTTGTAAGCAAATTGAAGGATACATCATTTAAGGGGGAACCCTACAGGCTAAGTTGGCCAAGGTGCTTGCAGGGAACTGGCAGTTCTTTCTATTTCTATAAACTGAAGGCTTCTTGGAATGTGAAATCAAGAATTACAAACTGGGCAGTAGACAGGATTATTATTATTTTTTATTTATTTTTGCTATGAAAGGGCTTGAGCTGTATTAAGTTATCTCATTGACCACACCAAAAAGGTATTGGTGAACAGCAAGAGTTGAGGTGGCACCAATCTATTAACTTCATAAAAAGAACAATTTCTTAGGGGCTGCTTCAAAGTAGCCCAAACCTATCCTGCATTTTGGAGAGTCCCATGCCCTGCAGACTTCATTGCAGACTTCAGGGATTTTCCTTTCCAATTCTGAATATTTCTTCAACTCTAAGAACCGTAAAATCATGGAAATCAATAGATCCCTAGCTCATCACACATCATAGAGCCTGGTCTACATCTGATCTGCCCCAGATTAATGCTTATCATTGCCAAAGTTCTTCCAGGAAAATTGTTTTACAATCTTCTATTTGCCATTTTCCCTTGTTTGAACATACTGATGGTCACAGTTTTTTGTGTTTGTGTGTGCCTAGTCAAATAAGATTGTTGCTTAGGATAACCCCACATAGGATTTCTTTTCCTCAGAAAAAAAAAAAAATAGTCTTTGTTTTTTTTTTTTTTTTTTTTGAGACGGAGTCTCGCTCTGTCACCCAGGCTGGAGTGCAGTGGCGCGATCTTGGCTCACTGCAAGCTCCGCCTCCTGGGTTCACGCCATTCTCCTGCCTCAGCCTTCCGAGTAGCTGGGACTACAGGCGCCTGCCACCACGCCCGGCTAATTTCTTTTTGTATTTTTAGTACAGACGGGGTTTCACGGTTTTGGCCAGGAAGGTCTCGATCTCCTGACCTCGTGATCCGCCCACCTCGGCCTCCCAAAGTGCTGGGATTACAGGCTTGAGCCACCGTGCCCGGCCAAAAAAATAGTTTTAATAAAAATCAGTTTACACAGTTATTTTTTTTCCTAGGACCCTTCAATCACTTCCAGGACAAATAATACCAACAATGCTGATACTTTTTTAGCAATCTAATTTTAAAAATTGTAATAATCATAGGATTTTCCTCGTCTAAATAAAATGTATATTAATGATTCAGTTGATTGCTCACTTGGTTATTCTATATGATAACAAATTATTTTTTGGTGTTTTATTTCCAGTGCTTTCATCATGCCCCTCACTCCACCCATCCCATCCCCTGCGTGGCCCCTGCACATACAACATGTGAAATTGATTGAATAGACAAGAAATTCTGTGGGGATCTTTTCATCTTGTTTATGTTACCTAACCCTGAATAATGTGTGCTATTCCTATGTCTGCCCCAAAAAGGCTACAGATAACTGGAGAGAAAGGGTTGGTTGCATCTTATGCTTCTTTTTATGTATTCTAGTGTCATGATTTCCCATTTTTTCAATCTAATTCTTGACTTTGATACTGATCAGTTTACCACTGTCACTTTGTGAGAAAATATGTAGAAACTGGGTGCGATGGTATGCACCTGAAGTCCTAGAAACTGGGGAGGCTGAAGAGGGAGGATCACTTGAACCTAGGAGATTGCACTACTGCACTCCAGCCTGGGTGATAGAACAAGACCCTGTCTCTAAAAAATAAAATAAATAAAATTTATAATGAGCAAATTATTCAATAGGAGAAAATAAATTCATATATGGTTTTCCCTGGGATCTCCAAGACAAAGTAACTGACAATAAAATTGGATAACATAAAAGGATGTACAAACTGACAAGAAATTTCCGACAAAATGAAGAAAATACAAAATAAGGATTCTGTCTAGAAAACAATATGTTTAGTCCAAACTGAAATTATTGCTGTAATTATTAATATTTTACATGTCAGGATGTTTAGCATTGAGAAGAAAAATCATCACTGGGCTTTTGATACATATTAGGGAAGTCTGTGTGAAGGAATAAAATGCTACAAAATTTACAAAAAATGAGAATAATGGCATTTGGGAACTATTTTTCTGACTTTAGCTGGAGTGTAAGGTCTAGAGCTCAGATCCTAAGGAGAAAGAAAGGGTGTGCCCTGAAAAGCGGCATACAGGGCTGGGGGAGGGGTTCAGGGATTAGATGGAGGCCGAGTGAGGAGGTTACATGAAGCCCAGGTGCTAGCTTGGGACAGCTCTTACAACTGAGGACATGAAACTGCCTCCATTGATGGGAGAATGGAAAAAAAGGTGCTTCTCAGAGTAGGAAAGGTGGATGAATGAAAAAAGAAGATTTTGGCTGGAAGCCATAAGAACAGCCATGGACACATTCTTTCAGGAAATAGAAAATCATCTCTACAGTGATTAGGAGTGTGGGCTCTGATGTCAGGCTCTCTTGGCTCACATCCTGACTGTGGTCTAGGGCAAATTCTTTAACTTCACAGCATCAGTTTCATTATCTGAAAAATGGGAATGACAGTAACATTCCCATCGTAGGGTTATTGTACTGATTAAGTAAATGCCCAGAAGATTATAAGTGCTCGACAAATCTAAATACTCCTGTTATTGTTTGTACTGAGATCAGAGGTCTCCCAGCCATATAATACATAAAGAATTTCAACCAGTTTCCTCCTCAGTAAAATAAGCGTGGTGGTTATTCCTCACCACTTGCCTCCCTGCGATGTGGAGTGTGCATCCCTGAAACTTTCCAAATGACTCCTTGTTTCACTGCCCTAGTTAGCTGAGACAGCAGTTGGCTGGAACCGATGTGCCAGTCAGTTAGAGAAACAGGTCCTGCATACTGCCCTTCTCTCCCCTTTTGTTACTGGTTGGTGCTCGGTGACAAGTGACTGGGAGGCAGGAAAGAAAAGAATGCTCCAAAGATGACCTGCTGCTCTCACCTCTTCCTGATCCATTTATGTCTGAGAGAAATATTTGCCCTTGGCTACGTGCTGTTTCCCACTCTGAGTCATGTCTCTTCCTTTCTCTCATCATCCTACACCCCTACCTTTTCCTATAAAGGCAAAATGATTTCTCCAGTCACACAGCTGAGCTGAATGACCTAATACGTCCAAGCACAGGCAGATAGGTGTCCCTGTCCTATTTTTGGTTAATTGTTGAAGTGGTGTCCTCTGATTTCTCTGACTGCAGCATGGTCTTTCTTTGCCGCAGACATGCCGCAACAGTCAACAGCACAGAGAGGCAAGGCGAAAGAAGACACAGATAGATGGTCACAAGTTACAGTTTCATTTTCATTTTCAGTTGCACGCTTCGGCATTGTCTTTAGGGCACATGGTTCCAGCAGAGCCCTCATGCCCACTCCTAGGGTCCTATTCATTCAGTAAGACAAAAGCAACTTTCCTTTGTGGATAAAAAGAAAAGTCTTTAGCTGACTTCAATTTCCTCCACTCCTGTTCAGATTCCATGCCCCTTTCACTAGGGATTTGGGTTGTCCAAAAGCGAAACTGGGAAGGCTGAAGGCCATGTGATTGGAGCCTCTTGTTTCCCTTTGTCACAGCTTTCTCTTTGGTGACATCTCTTTTAATCAGTGTATGGTGCTCTCATATTGTGCTCAGAGCTCTTATGCTTGGTTCCCATATGTAGTTTTCAACACTCCTTTCTCAGATCACTTGTTCACCTAAAGTAAATAGATGACTGCTAATAGATTGAAATGTTACCCCACTCAAGGGTGTGTTTCACTTAAAAAAGTATCAAGATGTCAAGTTCCAATGGCAGCATTTCAGGTACAATCCAAAGCAAGAAACTGGAGAGTGGGCACAGAAATGTCTTAAAAATTTAGCAAGGGGTGCTTTATTTTGCTCATTTTGCTATTTTGGGGTGAATAGGGAGAAGAAATTGGGATGGTTAAATTATAGTTGCCAAACTTATTTTTATTCCTAAAAAATATAAACTGACTATCTAGTATACCTGTATCCTTTACTCCTCCTCTGTCAACTTCTTCCCCTGTCTTCCCTGCACACATACACAACTTGAAGGGAAGAAGTGTACCAAATCCTGATTTGTGATAAATTACATTCATTGTGGTAATTTTTCTTTGCAGCTCTACTTACTATTTTTTTAAGTTTCTTAAAGTAACATGTAACCCTGTAAAAATTCTGTAAGCACTTGTTATCTTAAACAAACATTCTAAAATGATAAAGTTGCAAGCTAGAAAAACTAAGCTATTATTTGTTTGATTTCTCCATTATGTTATTTAATTTGTCCTGGGATTCAGATGAGACAATGTGTTTTCTAAAATGTAAAACCCAAAGAAACAATCTTTCAGTGTTATAAATTTCAAAGTGAGGAATAGAATAGTAGATGAAATAGCAACATTCTAGAAAGCATGAAAGTGTGTTTCCAGACAAGTTTCTAAATGCTAGGGCTTTCTACCCCTGAAGAATTAAAAGTAAATTTTAGATACGAGAATGGAGACTAAAGGCAGGCATTACCCCAATCGATAAAATATAAAATGGTTTATATACGTTTTTGTTTTCTCAACTTAATGATTCATGAGTGAGAAAATGGTGGGAAGGAAATTTTTATTAGAATCAGTACATTTCAAATCCCTTTTGTAAAGAAGAAATTATGAAGTTTTGTGCAATTCCCACTCTCAGTTCTGCAATTATCCCAAGCTTTCTCCAGTTATTTATTTACATAATCATTCATACAGAAAATATTGATGGAACTCATTAAGCACTGGGCACCATTTCAGAATCCCAGCAAACGTGAAGTGATGTTTTTGGTTCTCAAATACCTAACTAGCAGTCTAATGGTATTAGTTAACAGGGTTACTTTTACAACGTGACAGGTGATAATAGGAATTTGTACAACATTTTAGATGTAGACACAGAAGAGGCACTTAATGTGGAAGAGTTTTGGAAACAGATAAGAGTGAGGCAGGCATGAGAAGAAAAACAATGCTGGCATGGGTACACAGGAGTAGCACGGGTTGTTCAGTAAAGCTACAGAAGAGTTGCTAACGATGACAACGGGTTGATGGCGAAGGCCTTGCATATGCTGCTCAAGAACTTGGAATATTATTCTCAGGGCAATCACATACAATTGATAGTTTTAAGCAAGGAAATGACAGGGTAGTCTTGGTATAATCACGTTTTTTTTAAGAGAAAAATGGATTGGTGATCATATTGAAGGCAGGAAGTGAGGTCAGTTAGGAGGCTGTGGCAAATAGCCAGGCAAAAGAGAAAGATGGCAGTGATTATGGGGCATAGCAGTGATTTTGACAGAAAATCTTAAAATGAAATAGAGTCATTCCTCGGTACCCTTGAGGGATTGGTTCTAGAATTCCCCTGCAGATATAAAAATCCTTGCATACTTAAATCCCGTCATCCCTGCAGAACCCAAGGAGGTGAAAAGTCAGCCCTCCTTGTCTGAGGGTTTTGCATCTTGCAATACTCTATTTTGGATCCAGTTTGATGGTGGATGAGGAACCTGTGGATACGGAAGGCTAACTGTATTTACTGAAAAAAAATCTGAGTATAAGTGGACTGAGCAGTTCAACCCCATGTTGTTAAAGGTTCAATCGCAAATTCTAATTAAGATATAATTTTTTTCAGAAATTCATAATAATAAAGACTTAGCATTGATAAAAATCTTAGGATCTCTGTTTTAATGAATTGAGGCCAAATACAGTCTCACAATCAATAGAAGGGTGAAAAGTACATGCATTAATTATTGTATTTATAGCACACCTATCCTGTAATTGATTGAAAATTCACTGATTTAAAAAAATATTTTTGGACTGGACAGCTAGGTTGGTTTTCATATACATAGCCAAGTTTTCATCCTGCTGAAGTCACAGAAAACAATGAGATAGGAAGCTCCTGAGAGACCATTTAGTTCAATTCTTTCATTAACGATAAGAAAACTGAGAACCCAAGATTAAACCCTTTGCATGAAGGGATACACCTCAATAACGGCAATGCTGAGACTGGAATCCAGTTGCCTGACTTCTAGGGCAGGGCTTTTTTCACTACACTCCAACAACTTTCCAAGAGAGGCATCAAAATAAATTAATGGGATGTGGATGACTATCAAAAAGATGAATTTTTAAAAGTTCCTGAAAACTATAAAGAACATTTTAAAAAGCCAAGCACCTGCTTTATTATTATAGGTTGGTCGTTTTTCCAGATGAACTGACAAGAAAATGTATGCCAACATCAGCAACTACTCTTCACATACTCACTTTCCAAAAATAATTTTGGACTCTAGTCTAGCTTCATGGTACAGGTATCCAAGTGCCTGTGATTTATATTGTTACTTTCTTATTTTAAAAATTGGAAACAAATTTCAGTTTATTTAGGATTAGCAAGAAGAGACTATAAAAAAGAAGAAGTATGGTGGGTGTGTGAACAGGCTATTTTATACTATTCATCAAATGATAGAACATTTATATGGAACCTCTTTAAGTGCTGGAAAACAAAGAATTCAACTACTAATGTAATAATTTTTAAAAATACATTCCCAAATAAGCAATAACTAATGTATTTATTATCTATTTTGAGTTTTTAATAAGGTAAAAATAAGTATGAAAGATTCCATATTTACTGTAATAAAAGCAATACACACATTTGTAGGCTTTTAGAAAATTTATTATGAATTCCGAGAAGTCTGCTCATCATATACCTCCCCCAGCCCCAAATAAAACAAACAACATGTTTGTACATAAAGCCTGGATTTACTTGGTACAAAATTTGAGTCTTTGAAAAAAATAGTTAATGGAAAATCTCAATAAAAATTCATTTTGAAAGTAACCAGTACTGTTCAGAAATAAGGAAGTCATGTTACTTGAGAAGTCAAACAGTTTTATTACAGAACTATGTGTATATATTTTGGGTTTAAAACTTGCCAATAGCTGTTTGAAAGGATAGCTCATAATTTATTCAAATAGATATTTTATTAATCAAATGTTTTTGGTTTATCAACATAACCAAATGTATAAAAAATGTTTTTAAATACAAGACATAACTATAAAGTCATGAGGCTGATTGACCTTTTAAACTAACATAATAAAATCTATATGGTCAAAATGAGTGGTGATGCTTTAAGGTAATGATTATGCGTCCCATCTAAGGATGCTGCAATGGCCTAGGGCAGTTTTGAAATGTCTCTTTGCAACTACCTTCAAAAGGATATGAGCTTCATAATTTAATCATTCATTTGATTTGGTCCCCAATATTATTCCAGTTCAATCATCATTTATATTCACCAGTCCTGGCGATTTTGAAAAATCTTATTAATCTTATTTGTCACTTATTAGCGTATTCAAAGGAATGTCAATTGAGGTTCTGATGGTAATTCTGAAATTTAAGCATTTACACACTTTTAAGATGTGTAAATTTTAGTAACTACTCACATTATAGACTTGTTTTTGGTATATGTCTATCATTTTGAAATAATGAGATTTTTCTTTTTTCTTTTTTTCTTTTTTTCTTTTTTTTTTTGAGACAGACTCTTGCTCTGTTGCCAGGCGGGAGTGCAGTGGCATGATTTTGGCTCACTGCAACCTCTGCCTCCCAGGTTCAAGCAATTCTCCTGCCTCAGCCTCCCAGGTAGCTGGGACTACAGGTGCATGCCACCATGCCCAACTAATTTTTTTGTATTTTTAGTAGAGACGGGGTATCACCATGTTGGCCAGGATGGTCTTGATCTCCTGACCTCATGATCCACCCGCCTTGGCCTCCCAAAGTGCTGGGATTACAGGGGTGAGCCACCATGCCCGGCCCAGAAATAATGAGATTTTTCAAAGCAACAGTGATTCATCACACTGAAATAGGACTCTACAGTTCAAAATGACAAGAATAACTTTATCCTGTGTTACATACCAATATTAGAGAAATCTTAAAAGTTTGTAGCTGTTAGTTTTTAGTTTATGCATGTAGTTCAGTAGCCCAAGTTGACAACTCCCCTGTCTCTCTACATGAATCACTGTAGTTGAAATTGTACTAAAGTATCAGAAGTAACATTTACTGTAAAATGTTAAATAGCACCAATATTACTTGAAAGTAAAGTGAGACATTAATAGGAATGCTGACACAGATTTAATTTCTAACTACTAGAGAGAAAGCATCTCCTAGACAAAATACTATTTAGATATGAATTATTTTAAGATCACAGCCAGAAAAATGTCATAAAACATTTTAGATTTTGCTTGGAAAAGTTAGAAAAGAAAGCTTTGTGTATCGCTCTTTTATCTTTTATTTCCAAAGAAGATGTACAAATGCTTACATAATCAGAACAGTGCAATCTTACCAATGAAGTTTACCTTGTGGGAGCTACATTTACTTATTTCATATATTAGTTCAACAACATAAATATAATAAAAATGCTTTTAAGCAATCTGATTAGAGCAACATTTATATTAACTACAAAATATACAGTAAAATGAAACATCTTGTTAAATAGGCCTGTAGGAAAACAATATTTTAAAGGAATACATTTTCATGAATCTACTTTCATATTTATTTGTTTTATTGTATCTTATAGTTACTATAATCGTTGTGTGCTTTTGTTACTGCAATTTCCAGGATCATTGTATATTCTCAGTATGCCAGTGACTATATATGTAAAGGTAATTTAAAAAGTATTACTCCCAGAGTAAAAACAGACAAACAAATAAGAAATCTCATTTTTAATGGGAAGTTGTGCATAAAACTATTGTAGTATTTTTATAGAAATGTCCCTTAATCATTATAAGTTCATCATTATAAAATGTATACTATTGTACTAAAGCAAAACTGTCTGCCTTTAAATCTAAGTGGTGTCAACTTACTGTATAATTCTGGTTACAAAGTTAGATATGAAATCTTTGGCTATTAATTAGAAAAGCATTATTTGAAAAGACCTGTCAATAAACATTTCTAAATGTGGTTGCTCATCTTAATAGTTTTCTTAATTAGAACAGCTAGGAAATGAACAGAACAGTGGTGCTTTTATGTTATAATAACAAAGAAGTATTACAGTATCCCAATCTCCAGACCTGGGGTCCAAGTATTCAATCCTGGCTCAGTTGCAGGCTGACAGAAGAGAAGCATCGTCCTACGCTCGTACACAATGGAGCAATGATAACATCTGTCACACTCTTCCATATTGTCTGCACTGAAGGCAGAACCATTAGGCAGGTCTTTACAAAAGGCATTAAAATCCTGGAAGGAAGGAAGAGAGATGTGTGAGGATTGTTGCTGTTACCAAATAAGGTCTGTCTTGTACATGTATGAAAAGATAAAATACTGACCCATTTACTTAAATTTGGTTGAGAGTTTGAAACAAATAAATGAACAATGATCACTGATAATGATTTGGGTTTTTTGTCCCCCTGACTCTCATTTTGAAATGTAGTCCCCAGTGTTGGAGGTGGGGCCGAGTGGGGATAATTGGATCACAGCGGGTAGATCCCTCATGAATGTCTTAGTGCCTGCCACCCTCTTGGTAACGTGAGTTCTCACTCAGTTAGTTTGCTTGAGATCTGATTAACTAAAAGAGTCTGGGACCTCCACATTCTCTCTCTTGCTCCCTTTCTTGCCATGTGACGTGCCTGCTCCTCCTTCTCCTTCCACTATAAGTGGAAGCTTCCTGAGGTCCTTGCCTAAAGTAGATGCTGGCACTGTGCTTCCTGTACAGCCCGCAGAACTGTGAGCAAAAATAAACCTCTTTTCTTTATAAATAACCTAGTCTCAGGTATTCCTTCATAGTAATGCAAATGGACTAAAGTGATAAGATGCACAAAAAATATGTTGCCTAAAAATATAGTCATGTAGATAATAAACACTAATATTCTTTCTACTGGTGGCATGCTATCTGAAACAGTAAAACAAAAATAAATAAAACCATGTCTTTATCTACCTGGTCTCTGCCAGTTAACATTAACCTGCTTAAGTCTTCACACTTCCCTGAGGGTTTACTTCCTGATAGCCTTTCCTGCTGCCTCAGTCTTCTTCCCTTTTCCTGGACCAGGCTAGATCGGATATTCCCTCATTGTATTTCTAAAGTACTGAAACAAACTTCTTAATTTTCACATGTATCAAAAGGTATTATAAATAGATGCTGTATTTCTGTCTTTCCTACTAGCGTTTAAGTTTTTTTAAACAGTGAGGACATCCTTGACCCTTAGTAAATGGTTGAGCTAACATAAATTTATCATTCTTTTATGCCTTATGTTATTAACTATGTTTTATATTTTTTAATTTTTTCACAGTAATCACACACACTGAAAAGGGCTGTATGGTATAGTTGAAAGAACCCTGCAAATGATGTTAGAACTTTTACACAAGAAAACTAGTCTATCCTGAAATTGTTATTTTTCATACACTTGTTCCTAACATAGCTGCATATCCTTATAGTCCTCAGGATGGTTAATTTTATATGTAATTTTCTAAATAATGTTCTCTGTTGTAGTAATGTCCTCTGAGCACAAAAGTAGTTGTGAGATTTTCAGGCACTGCTGGTAGCCTCAATGGAAGCTTTATTATTACCTGGGTGGGCATAAGGGAGTAGGCTGATTTTCTTGGTTTGCTATTAAAATATGACTTAAATGAGGGTCTGCTGTACTTAGCCCAAAATGAAGGAAATATTAGGCAGCTTTCTGATTGATTGATATATTTTTAGAATATAGAATTATTCACATTGACTGTCTCCACAAATTGTGTTTTATTTCAAGTGCTAAATACATGAAACACTTTTATATAATAAGAAAATTAATTACTAAGTGTTTCAGAGATAAATAGCTGAATAGAAACCTCAATGATGGCAACTTTAGACTTATTATTCTATTATATTTCTCACTTGATATGTGGTCTTGGGCATGTTGCTACAAATTAAAGTGACACCAGGAGATCTCTCAGAACTGGCTATGAGGATTGACATTTATTATGTACCCCTGAAATGCCTGTATGATGCTGTCATTATAATGTATAATAAATAGACCTATTTTGAAGGCAGAATATATAATGAAAATAACTATAACAAGATGACCTCAAATTGGCCTATTAAAAGGCTGAAGTTTAGATCAGAAAGTTTCCTAACCAAATCCACTTCACTTAGAATTCCTTCCTTCTTTCTTTCTTTCTCTTTCTTTCTTTTTCTTTCTCTTTCTTTCTTTCTTTCCTTTCTTTTCTTTTTTCTTTCTTCTTTTCTTTCTTTCTTTCCTTCTTTCTCTTTTTCTTTCTGTCTTCCTCCCTCCCTCCCTCCCTCCCTTCCTTCCTTCCTCCCTCCCTCCCTCCCTCCCTCCCTCTCTTTCTTTCTCTCTTTCTTCTCCCCTCCCCTCCTCTTCCCTTCCCTTCCTTCTTTCTTTTCAGGTTCTCACTCTATTGCCCAGGCTGGAGAGCAGTGAAGTGATCTCGGCTCACTGCAACCTTCGCCTCCCGGGTTCGAGTGATTCTCCTGCCTCAGCCTCCCTGAGTAGCTGGGATCATGGGCACTTGCTACTATGCTTGGCTAATTTTTGTATTTTTAGTAGAGACAGAGTTTCACCATGTTGGCCAGGCTGTTCTTGAACTCCTGACCTCAAGTGATCTGCCCAGCTTGGCCTCCCAAAGTGCTGGGATTACAGGCGAGAGCCACTGCTCCCAGCCAGAATACAATGTACTTTCTATTCTTCCTTAGGCTAACAAATTTTCTATCTCCGTGACTCCTTAGATCTCCATGTCCTAAAAGGGAATTTAGCACATGTCAAAAGTGAATCTTCTTGTTCAGCAAAGCAGTTACCCACATTCGAGGAGTTCAGTTTATAGGGTGTTGTTAACTCATTTGGATTTTATTTTTGTTTACTTGTGTTCCCTCATTTTGGAGCAGAGAATCTAATGATCCTCCGACATCAAACTTAAGTTGGGTTCTCAACATCACAAATAGTTTAGCTTCTGAAACTCCAGGCAGTTCTGATTGACCCAAAATTTGGTTGAGGCTGAATGTGGCCAATACTTCTTAAGTAAATCTTATAATATATATATATTATATATATTAATATATGTAAGGTTATATATTCCTTGGATAATATATATCCTTGGATAATAAGGCCATAGGATAGAGACTTTTATTTAGTGTTGTAGTAATTGTAGAGTCATGCAGACTGCATTCATAGCAATTTACTGTATGAAAACTGTCTTCTAGAAATGAGATTGCTACTATCGCATTTCCATCAGTTGGGCATTTGTTTGCTTTGCATTCCAGCAAAAATAAGGGATATGGGTGCTCCAGCCACATTTCTTTGGTTATGATCCACTTATGACCAATAACCTGTGCTTAACAAACAGCAGCTATCTCTGTCTGACTGTAGTATGGAATCCAACTAATTCACTGATTCCTAATGGCCCGTACTTCTGGTCTAGGATCCAACACCACCAGACTTCTGTGTTTTATTGTTGTTGATTGTTTGTTTAAAGGATCTAAAATCTGACCTGTTTTAATATTGTGACATGGTTCAAAGTTCCACTACTGCATATTTTCCTAGCTTTGGTCACCACTAACTTTTTGGTAAAAACAATACACAAGCCCCTGCTTTAAAAAATATATATAAAAAGAAAACAAAACAAAAAAAGCTTGCCCAAATGGGTTTGCAATTCTGTAAG
This sequence comes from Homo sapiens, assembly GCF_000001405.40. NCBI lineage: Eukaryota > Metazoa > Chordata > Mammalia > Primates > Hominidae > Homo > Homo sapiens. The sequence goes on along the minus strand of NC_000007.14, from coordinate 116,502,553 downwards.
GTCTGTCCTTGATCTGGTCTTATCATGTCATGGGAATGCAATCTATTAATGATAAACCTATTTTATCAAGGCATAGCTAACTTTTAAGCATTCTTGTTTGAAATTACTCCTCTACTTGCAATCACAGCTGCCTGGTGACAAATGTTTTACAGTTAAATATTAATGCCCCACATAAATATAGTTAAAAAAACAAGCTGAAGTTAAATAATATTAAATAATACATTTTATGTGGCTAAAAAAAGGTGCATTGATGATTCACCAATTGAAGCACTATACAAAAACACCTCCCATTCTCAGAAGAGCCAGCTGGAGAGAGGCATTGCTTGGTTAATTGTAGTTTTACTTATATCTTTCCACCACTTAGTAAATGAGAAACTTTTTTTTTTCAAATTCTTTCACAAAAGCTTTGGGAAGCCTAGCTTTGTTGACTATAAATATGGTACTTCACATTTCCAAATAGCTTCATAGTCAGCATTTCACAATATGCTATGCGGTCACTCAGTTTTTCACAGTTTTGAAAGTGAGAAAACTGACATAGAGGTTAGATGATTAGTTTTAGTTAATTGGGAATCCCAAATCTTATGTGCCAACTCAGGGATCTTAAAAAAAATTCAAGTGCAAATGTCAGAATATAACTATCCATTTGACCTTCATGAAGCTGATCATGTACTAAGGCAACATTTTCATTTCCCTGGCAATCTTGGCACCTTCAACATAGTTTAATTGTTTACAACCTTTAGTGATAAAATTAAATTGGTGTTCTTTGTGTATCCTTTACGTATTTGGTGAATTTTCATTTATCCTTTCAAAGTCTTTTTCGACTCCTTTCACTCTTCAAAGCCTTGTCTGTTCCTCCCTCTTTGTCAGTTGACTGTGTTTTCTCAGCGTCCATCTCTGTACCTAGCCAGCTGCCCTGATAAGGCTGTGAGTAAGCTGAAGGCAGACCCTATCTCTCATTCATCCTGGCCCAGTGCCCAGCACAAACTAAGCACTCAATCAATTTAAAGTTTGTTGAACTAACTAGCTAGCTAACTGACTAAATAAATTAAGATTCAGGTGGTATAGAGAAATAAAGGATAAATTGGTAACTTCTAACAATGAACACCGAGTATTTATCAGGGTGTGGCAATATCATAAAAGGTGTAAGAAAGACACGGAGGTACCTTGGGTTATACCTTTCACCAGGACTAACCTGAAGCACTAGCGTGACAACTGTTGTGATACTGGGGATGATCTGAATATTCTTCCTCTCAGATTAAAGTGGATATTTTCTAACACAACAACATTTATTGGTAAAATATGACATTTTCCATAAAAAATTTAAAAGATGCTTAAGAAAGTTCTCTACAGTTTAGGACACATTTTGAGTATGAATAGAGTTACTCAAAATATCCTATCAATATACAGTGGGCTTCCATATTTCTTTCCCCTTTAATTATATGCCACTTCCATTTGTGTTTCATCAGTGAAAAAGTAATTTGGAGGCCTTCTCATTCATTATCCCGCAGCTGGAGTTTTCATTCGTTTGTACTGGGGGGGACCCTCGCCTTAACTGCACACACCTCCCTTTCCTCTGGGTCCCATCCTTGCCATCTGCCAGGGGCAAAGTTGAAGCAGCCCCTCCACACTACTGCTTAACCAGGTCTGACATCCTCATCCAATTCTACTGTCAGCGGCATTCTGCTCAGAGATCACTTTTGTTTTACCCCAAGCACAGGCAGTGACTGAATAAAAGGCAATGAAAGAAAGAAGAGTCCTGCCCAGAACCGCAGGTACGAGTCACAACAGGGCCCCGAGAGCAGCCTGTGGTAAGAAGTGTGGCTTCCAGGTACCCGCCTCCACACTCAGCCCAGCCTTATGTATGCAAGGAAAATCACACCCCAGGAAAGACCGACATTCTTTCTCCTGTTGAAACTCCAAGCCCAAACTGTTATTCTAAAGGAAGCGCATTGCCTTTCAAGGCCTTCCAGTTCTTCCTACTGCTTGGGAACTGATGCGCGTTCCTCCTCCTGACGCCGGCCTGGGATAAGAGGAGAGTAGGGGGCAGGTGGCGGAGAATATGCCCATGTTTCAGAAAGCCGGTCCACCCGGTGTGCCCCGTCTCACCAGATGTGCAGACAGCTGAGGGTGGCAAAGAGAATTCCCGCAATGAAGGCCAGGGGAATGGCCAGGAACACCGTCAGGAACTTGTACATTACGTATTTGCTGATTTCAAAGAGGGCATGGCTGCAGATCCACACTTTGTCAAAGGAGTGCGTAGTCACCGGCTCTGCGATCACATCCTCGAAGCCCAGCTGAGGAGACAGGACGCAGGGACCCCGAACTGTCAGCCAACCTGACGCCCCGGGAACCGGGAGCGCTTTGGGCGGGGGAAGCAGGAGGGAAGGACGTGCCAGGGCGTCCGCCTCTTCTCTTAGGGTCACGGTGGGCGCACAGGAACCTGGCTAAGAATTCCTGGCTACGCGGGCGGCCTGGTGACGGGTGGGACCGGGGAAGGGTGCGGGTCTCAGACCCTGCGGGGCCGACCCGGTAGCAATGGTGGGACGGGTTAGGGCGGGGCTGAGGGGCGCCCGCACCTCCCGGCCTCAGCGGGGACTTGGGCCCGCCCGCCCCGGGCTTCACCTTGAGATGCGAGTTGAGCCGGTGGGGATCCCGGTCCTGGTCCGAGTCCGCGAACTTCTCGGGGTCGGCGTACTCGAGGCCGCTGTGGTGGCTGTAGGAGTCGTCGTCCATGAAGAGCTGTACGTCCGCCTTCTCCGTCTCCAGCCCCATCGCAGCCTTGGTGCGCGGCCGCTGCAGCCCGGCTGGCGCGGTGCGGCTCCCGGTCCGCGCGGCCTCCCCTTCCCGTAGCGCCCGGCCCCGCCCCCCCTCGCCTCGCCTAGCCCTGCGAGGCCCGGGCGGCGGCCGCTTCCCGCTGTGGGCTCCAGCTCCCAGCCCGGCCGTCCCGAGCCCCGCCCCGGCGCCCCGCCGCCCCTCCCCGCCCACCTCCCCCGCCGGGGCGCAGGGAACCGTCCCCACGAGTCACAGCCCGGGCCCTGCAGTGGGCGGCGACGCCGGCAGCTGGGACGAGGAGGGCCTCCTGGTCACCCTTCTGGGGGCCCGTACTGTCATGCCTCAGAGCTGGCAAGTCGTCCCAGGGAAGACAACGGCCTTCCTGGAGGGAGGGAACCTTGTGGTTAGGCGCATGGGGTGCGAAGCAGGTATGTGCTCACCTCCGGCTGTGTTTGCCTTGCGTGCTGCGGCTCATGGTGCTGGTATTGAGCCTCTGGGAACCTCAGCTGCCTCGTTGGCAAAATGGGGGCTGTGGCATCTGTTTCAGGGGTGTCCGTGAGAATTAAATGTTAATTTCACATAAAATTCTAACACACATGGCCCATGGCCCGTAACACACAGTGATAAACTTCCAATCAACGTTGTTGCTGCTGTCGTGAGAGGTAAGGAGCCACAATGTACCTGAGTGCTAGGTACCTGAGTGCTAGGTGACCTGCAAGTGCATGTGGAGTTGGGTAGGCGAACGCCCTGGCCCTAGAGTTTGTGCCTTCAGATCTGAGGTGTGAGGGGAGATCTGATTTTTTTTTTTTTTTTTTTTTTACTTCCTAAACTACACCGTGTGTGTGTGTGTGTGTGTGTTTGTGTGTGTGTGGCAGAGTTTCGCTCTTGTTGCCCAGGCTGGAGTGCAATGGCACGATCTCGGCTCATCGCAACCTCTGCCTCCCGGGTTCAAGCGATTCTCCTGCCTCAGCCTCCCGAGTAGCTGGGATTACAGGCATGCACCACCACGCCTGGCTAATTTTGTATTTTTAGCAGAGACGGGGTTTCCCCATGTTGGTCAGGCTGGTTTCGAACTCCCAACCTCAGGTGATCCGCCCGCCTCGGCCTCCCAAAGTGCTGGGATTGCAGGCGTGAGCCACCGCGCCCGACCTCCACCTTTTAATTTTCTTGTGAACCAGACTGTCTTGAAAGATTCAGGAACTTCTAAGATGCAGTCACATCTGTGATTATCTTGCAGGCAGCACGGAAACAGAACCCTAACACAAAGCCACATTGCAATGGATGAATTAGCCTGCTGACCACTCACGCAAAGGTTTTCAGAAGGGAGGAGTTTGCATGTTCATAAAGGGCTTTAGGGTCTGGTAGACATATACGTGTGTTTGGGGAGGAAGGGCACTTAGTGAAAATTTGCCAAAAGCAAAACAATGAGAACTAGGCTTGAGGTGCAGGTTGCTCAGAGCTCAAAGTAGGCATGTAGTAGGTATTGCTGGATACAGTGTATTTGGAGCTTGTTGAACATATCAAATCCCCTTATGTGAACTGGATTTGAAGAATTGCTTCTTCCGAAAGAAAAAAGATCATTTTTGAAACAGTAAAAATTACAGAAATAAAAAAGAACAGGAACTGAATGAGAAAAATGTTTGGGGGTGGGAGGCAAAGTTCAATATTTCTAATAATTAAAAAGTTTCCCTGCTGCTACCTCAGTATATGAAGGGCAGTGTTGTAACCCTATAGGGTGTTACAGAGTTGACTCTCATGGCTATGGAGCCCCTCCTCTCCCAGACATCACCCTGCTTACCCATTCCCTTCTTTTTTACGTATCTTTCTCATTTTTATTTATGTTCAGTCAATTCCAAAGTGATGACTTAGACATTCTACTCATTGCATTTTCTCTGCTTCTCCACCTTGTCCATTCTCCTGATGAGAATTGGAACTCTTCTAGAATTGTTGCCCAACAACTGTTCATTAAAGTGAATAGAAGACATGAATCCTTATGGGAATCCATAATATCAACTGTGAGGAACAGAAAAAAAAAGGAGATAATTTACAGCCAAATACCATTTTATAATTATAATTCAAAATTATAATCCCAGATTTCAAGGTCTCACCCAAAGAAGAAAGTCACTGCCCTAGTACAAGAGTGGGCTTATGTAGTGGGTAAAAATCTGACATTAGCACTTCTTACCTTATAATTCTTGGTCCTCATTACATTTACATTTTCCATGGGATTATTAGGACATTTGAGAGTTATCACAAATAATTGATTTGTTTTCAGGAAGTGGCCAAGAGGACTCTTTAGACAACAGCTTCATTCGTAAAATGATAGGTATTTAAGAAAGGTGTCTCTAAATCCCATCTAAATGAGACCCATCTAGATTTGTTGTATGGAGCACAGAACTTGAAAGGAGAGGATTCATTTATTCATCCATTTGTAATTTTTTATTGAACAATCTTCTCTCCCTTGGGTCAGATCTGGTGAGGTTCTTATTTTGATGAAATTCTTATACATTTCAACATTTTAATACATAAGATTTTTTGAAGGAAGCTATAAAAATGATTTTGCTTATCCTATTGGCCAGTATTTAGATAAGGTTAGTGATATGGCTTGGATTTGTGTCCCTGCCCGAATCTCATGTGGAACTGTAATCCCCAGTGTTGGAGGTGGGGCTTGGTGGGAGGTAGAGATTAGATCATGGGGGCAGAGTTCTTAGGAATGGTTTAGCAACCACCCCCACTGCCACCCCTGCCCCCCGACCCCGCAGTTGGTACTGTATAGTGAGTGAGTTCTCATTAGATCTCGTCCTTCAAAAGTGTGTGGCACCTCCCCCTCACCTTTCTTTGGCTCCTTCTGTGGCCACGTGAGGTGATACTCCCTGTTTACCTTCCGCCATGATTGTAAGTTTCCTGAGGCCTCCCCAGAAGCTGAGCAGATGCCATCATAATGCTTCCTGTACAGCTAGTGGAACTGTGAGCCAACTAAACCTCTTTTCTTTATAGATTACCCAGTCTCAGGTATTTCTTTATAGCAGTGTGAGAACGGACTAATATAGTTAGCTACTGTTTTTCTCAAGAGGCTTAAACCAGAGTGATTCCCACAGCAATGGCATCTGTCCTTATGAACATAAAGGAAAATTTACCAGGAAAGGGAAAAGAAAGGGGGTGGGTGGGTGCTAAATGGCTGAACACATTCTAGTGTCTTCTGGATCACAGAATTACTCTCCAATAAGCACCTCCTACAGAGTTTACGTGCCCTGTAATCCAGAGAAATTAAAAAAATTATAATAAATTCCTACTGGTGCATTTATCTTCTGACTTATTATGTATCATAGCTTCTGATAAGAGGGCTGTTTTTTAGATGGTGTATTAATATATTTTAGAAATAACAGTCTGATAATAGATTAGAATTTGTGAGAAGGATAGTTTATAACCATTTTGTTACTCACTTCTTTCAGCACAGTGTCAATGGAAGAAGGTTATTTTTCTGGAGCATTGAAAATTGTATGGCAATGCTCTTATGAATAAAAATATCTAATTTTTTCCCTTCAGCTTTTTTTCCTTTTCAAATCACAAATGTGTCATATTTTTTTCCCTGTATAACGCACATGCAATTTTAGTCAGGGTCTGTTTTTCAAACTGCCTTTGAGCAAATTGGTATTAACGAAAATGCAGTAATAAATTCTTGATCTCACCATATGTTTTAATAATATTCAGAGTGTTCAGATTAGACCAGAGTTTCTCAATCTCAACCCTGTTGGCATTTTGGGCCAGATCATTTTTCCTTGAGAGACTGTCCAGTGCATTGTAGGATGTTTAGCAACATCCTTGGCATCTATCCACTAGATACCTATAACACTCCCAGTCATGACAACCAAAATGTTTCCAAATGTTGCCAAATGTCCTCTGGGGGGCAAAATCACCTTTCTCCTTCTTTCCCAGGCTGAGAACCACTGAATAAGACAATGTTGAAACAGTGCTGTGTGAATTAGAAAAATTAAGCTCCAGCTCTTCATTTACAAATCCATGCTTAGAAATCTCAGAGTTGTATCACCAATGTATTAGAAACTCCAGGGCTAGGCCTGGCACAGTGGCTTACACCTATAATCCCAGCTCTCTGGGTGGCTGAGGAGGGAGACATAGTGAGACCCAGTCTCTACAAAAAATAAAAAAAAAACTAGCCAGGTGTAGTGAGAGATGCCTGTAGTCCTAGCTACTACAAGAGGATTTCTTGAGCCCAGGAGTTTGAGATTGTAGACTGGAGTTTGAGGGCACAGAGCAAGGCCCATCTTAAAAAAAAAAATAGAAAGAAACTCCACGTCTTTTTGAAATTAAACTTAAGAATATTTGTTTGTCATGTAAAATGTTCAGAAGAACCCATTATCATTGACTAATTGCAATTTTTTCAATACAATGTTGGTATTAATTAATGAATACATATTAACCCCCACCCCCTTCCCCTAGAGATCAAAAGGAAGCAACTGCCAAGGCCTCAAGCTCTGTCTACCTTGCCTGGCCTCCTATACTTTCCTCACAAAGGTTAGGATTGTTTAAATGATTATATCTGGAAAAATACAGGCTTGGGACTTCTTGATCTGTAAGATTCTCTCTTAAAGCTATAAAATTCAGTGATTTTTGACAATCTTCAGCAAGTGAATAGCTTTTGCAATTTTAAGTAACCTTAACTGAGAAATCCATGGACTTGTTAGTGGGAGAGCCGGGCAGTTGCTTACCAGGTTCTTCAAGCATCCCCTCCTAGGCTTGCTTACTGTTAGCAAGGACAAAGCTTGAGAAATTTGGAAGGACCTGCTGTTTCTGGCATAAGCCACTCTCTCTGTGGCTTTACATAAACTATTGCTTGCATAACTCCTGTACCCTACTGCTTTATCAATGCATCTTTTAATTTCCTCCTTCTACCCTCCAACTCACACTCAACCACTATCTGCCCCCCACCTCCAACTGTCCCCCCACCCCCCCCAATACAGAGGACATTTCCTCCACAAAATGTTTAAAGGAATAGACAAAAATGTCTGCTATTAAAGTTAGTCAATAATCAACTTTGCGGAGTGGTGCCAGATGGTTGCATGGTATTTAATAAAAGTTGCTTCACTTTTTTCCCTCCTAATTTACCACTTGTCTTTTTGTTCACAATTTGAGTAAAATAAGTCTTGCATCAGTGGACCAGGGAATTTTTAGCTTGATATTAAGACACAGTAGCTTGTCCGTAATTGTTGCAAGCTGGATCTTCTGGCTGTTTCAAACAACACCTTCTCTGATCAAAAACCTCTCTTCATTTACAAGAATTTCCAGAATTAACTTTTGTTTGGCAATGCCTGGCAATTAGAAATAAATGAGGAAGAAGGTACACTCTTGAAAAACCTGTATTCACAATTAGAGGTGGTAGGATAGGTCATTTGGTTCTCATTCAAAAACGATGTATGACAATTAATTTTAGATTTATTTTATCCTGTGTTCCATAAGTAAAGGATGTTCCTGTTTAATCTTTTGAGTATCCCATTGATTTCTGAAATGCTGTATATACAAATAAGACATCTCTATAGGATGCTGATATTTTATCTTTCCAGAACATGAAATGGGCACTAATGAACTTTTGTTGTGCACTAACTCTTGAGTTAAACTCTCAATAAGTACAATTTCCTCTATGTTCAAGTGGGAATATCATTTCTACAAAGCTACAGAGTTAAATGTTTTCCAAATACCAACTGAAATGTGCACAGCAGATTATTAGTTGCTAAAACAACAGATCTAAAGGTTGTTTTCTTGATTTGGGATTTAATTTTGGACAAAAAATTTATTGTATCTCAGTTTGAAGCCTTTGTGTTCTCTAATCTTTTTTCTTTTTACAAATGTTATTCTGTTTTTTATTTAGAGTTAATGCAAATTTTTGAAAATAACATAGCTAATCTACTACATTAGCCAAGAGAAAAAAAATGGGAAGTCTTTTTTTAAAAAACGAATTTTAGCCTTATTGCATATTTCCAGTATAAAAGTAAGAACAAAAGTACAAAATGCCTTCCACCTGGATCTTGCAAATTATGGCTTTGGTGTCTATCAGGTGACTTTTAATGCTTGAGAGAATCATTTATGAGTAAAGAGCAAAGGGAATCCAACTGCACAAAGCAGATGGAAGACTGGGATGCAGCCAAGGGGTTGGGCAGAAGAATTTTTAGATTATATTTTCCTAACAATAAATATCTGGGAAGATTTTTGTTTCCAGAGAGTTTACTAAAAAAAAGTTAGTCTATTTCTGTTCTGTGGCTACACAAAACAGTAAGGCAGATTTCTACAATACATAAAGGCATAAAATAGGCAATTTAGATGTCTGTATCTACTCTTTTTGGGCCACTGAAGCACAATGAGACCCTCAGTGTCTGCTAACTGCTTATTAAGTTCTTAGTTTCTTGTTTAGAACAGCCTGAAGTTTGGATCTACAGGTAGTTAATAAAGAAGGTACTCTATTAAATACATTATAAATAAGACTGTTGACATTCTTGAGTGTCTGAATGAAGTAATTCTTCTCTAGTTAAGCAATTACTAAATGGATAAATGTCTTATTTCAAAAGCAACTTTAGTACATGTTTGCATTTTCTTTAAAAAAAGAGGAGGAAGAGTAGAATCCTTCAAAGCATTCGGAATATTCTCATCATGCTGACCTTGAAAGAAACATTTTACTGAAATATGCACTATTTTCTATAACATCTTTATGTTACCATTTCACTTTTTGGAAATGATAACAATTATGTGCCAGATAGACAGAGGGAGTCCCCCCCACTTCATAATAGTGAATATACGTAAAATTCTGCTTGTTACTTATTGTCCATCGATATACGTTCATATAATTACACATAGTACTAAAAGGTATGCCTTTTTACCTTTTAAAAAGTATTGCAGTCATTGGAATCTCTTGGATAAATAGGTTACCAGAAATAAACTTAGATAGTAAAACATTGTGGTCCTGAAAAACTGCACACTACTTTATTTGGAAATAGTAGAATTTGCAGAATGTTGCTATAAAGGGCATGCTACTCAAATTACTTGGTTCTGAAGACTTTTACTATGAAAGCAAAGTATTTTCTGAAGGAGTAGAGCACAAATAGCTAAATGTTTGGGGCAAAAATAGAGTTATTATATTATCATTTTGTAAAATCCTCTCCAATTTCACCATGTGTGTATTGCAAGTCATGTTGTTGAAAAAATGATATAACACAAGAAATGAGAGGTGTCAAATGACTGACTGATAGGTTTAAATTACTTAAAACTGTAGAATGCTGATTATTTACCACAGCTGGGCTGTTCTTTAGGAAAAGAATAAAATCCAGGAAATTTCTTTTAGGCATAGGGAGATGTTTTAGGATATTAAAACCTGCTTTAGAAGACCACACTCCTGTCGCAAATCTTATTTTCCCCTAAATTTATTCAGTGTTTACTTGTTAGTTTGTCTTTTTCTGCCAGGGAAAGTGTTTGATAATATAAATGTTTCCCTTTCCTTCCCTTTTCTCCTGCTCCTTCCTCTCTGTTTCTTACATTCTTTTTTTTTTCCTTTTCAAAATAATTGCTTGTCCATTCATAACATCTCAGAGTTGGGAAGAACTTAGAGGCTCTAGACCAACGATCCACTCATCCATGAATCTTCACAGTGGCCATACAGGCTTTGCTGGAATATTTTGGCAATGGAGAATTACCTTATTAGGCAACTCAAATATAATTCTTAGAAAATTCTGTGTTATTCTGTGTCAGGATTTATTTTTCTGATTATCTATCTATCTATCTACCTATCATCTCGTCTTAATTCTGCCTTTTGTAGTTTTTTAAGAAAAAGGTGTTAAATGTCACCCTTGAAGTATTTGAAGGTAGATTTTAAACACCAGTCCCTCTCCCCACTTTATCTCTTTTCTAGCTAAGCAGCTCCATTTCTTTCAGTTGTTTTTCACGTGTCACTGTTTCCAAATATTTCTTGTAATTTTCTTTTTCTCTGAAGCTGTTCCCATATCTTGTGACACTTGGTCTGGGGTTGGAAGAGCACAGGATAAAATGAGAAAACTATATTACCTTTTTTGTATTGCTCTCTAGACTGCTGTATCTTATTGTTGAATCAAATGCATCTCATTTGAAATTAAATCTTTATGTCTTTTATAGTCTTTTGTATTTTGGTTAGGTCACACTGCTAGTATGAAACAATTGATTATTTGAACCTAAGGCAACTAATTATACCTACTCTATTTTATCATGCTTTGAGTTTCCTTTTACACTGTTTTCTGTGTATTACTTCACTGTTAATCTGTGGGTTTGTTTACACCTCTATTCCTGGTGACTGATAAAATGTTGAATAAGGAAGGGTTGAGAACAGACTTATGAGGCATTCCAATTTAATGGCTATAAATACCATCTATATACTGACAAGTTCTAAATTTATAGTTCTAGCTATTTTCAAGCTTCAAATTGATATATCATGCTGACAACTTTGACATCTCAGATTTCCTATGCCCCAAAACCTACCTGTGGACTCCCATCCCCAAATCTGATCATTCTGTGTTCACACAGTCAGTCAACCTCAAACCCTACGTGTCAGCTTTCATTCCTCCATTTCCCTCATTACTTCTTCTCCAATGAGGCCTGTTAGTTCTACCTTCAAAATCAGTGCTTTCACCCTCTCCCATTTCACTTCTCCTCCCTGGTCTGGGTTCAGATCTCACCTGAGAAACCTCCACAGGCTCCATGTTTGGGTGTTCATTCCCACTCCCTTCTCATAATTTACTTGATCTACAGAGTAGCCAAAGAACCTTAAAGGATGCACAATTTAGTGAATATTCTTGTGTGTATGCACATATATATATATACACACACACACACACACAGAAAACTGATAAATCATAAGTATACAGCCCAAAGATCACAAGGAAAACACACCTTATAAGTTTCACTCAGATCAAGAAATAGAACATCACCAGACCTCAGAAGCCTATCTCTGTCACCACCTATATCCTCCTCCCACAAAGTAACTACTATCCTAACCTTTAACATCATGCATTAGATTTGCCTGTTTTAAATTTTTTGTAAAGAGAATTATACATTACTCTCTATTGTGTCTAGTTCATTTTGGTAAACATGACTGTGAGATTCATCCAAGTTGTAAATAGGAGTAATTCTTTCATTTTCATTTCATCTTATTCTTGGTTTTTGCACATGGTGTTTTATTGTATGAACAAACCACAGTTTATTTATTCATTCTAATGTTGATGGAATATGGGCCACTTCCTGTTTGGGGATGCTATGAATAACACTACTATGAACATTTCTAAATATGTGTCTTGGTTTAGATGTATACACATTTCTGTTGGGTTTATATCTAAGAAAATATTTGAAGCATTAAAGGGTAAATACACATTCGATAATACTAGTTACTGCCGTATTATAAAGTGATTATATTAATTTACACCCCCATCAGCAGTGAATCAGAGTTACAATTACATTTTCACTATATGTATGTAAAACTTTGATTTTGAATAGCAAAAACAAAAAAATTATCTAAAAAAACAGATAATTCAACAAGAGTAGAAGAAAATATTGAGGTTGGCAATGTCTAGAGTAAAAGGTGACAGATCTCTGCTGTCATTTTAAACTTATGAGTTAGTGAAAAGCATAATTGAGTACTGGTTTGAAACTGATATTCTTTCCAAGAGGTGGGTCCCTGGCAAACACACACTCATAGGAAAACACAAGGGCCAAAACAATCAACCTTGCTAAAATGTCTCTTTGGGGAATGAAAAATGCACTCTTATCCACTCTACTTGCCTCCTAGGAAGAAAAAACATCAAATGCTGGAGGAAATATCTTGCTTTTCCAGACTGCCTTTTAACATATCTTATTATCAGCCAGTAGATTATTTTTCTCTGAGTATGTTAACACATGCTGTCTCACAGTTCTTCATTTATGTGCTCTCTATTTCTCTTGTCTTTCCTGCCTCTTCAGTCTAATTATTCACCAGGACTTTATCTTCTTCAGACATGTACATAAAGCTTAGTCTAACTACATAAACTTAAAGAAAATCTTCTTTTTTCTTTTCCTTTTATCTTTTTTTTTTTTTTTTTGAGATAGAGTCTCCTCTGTCACCCAGGCTGGAGTGCAGTGGCGCGATCTCGGCTCACTGCAACCTCTGCCTCCCGGGTTCCAGTGATTCTACCACGTCAGCCTCCTGAGTAGCTGGGAATACAGGCATGTGCCACCATGCCTAGCTAGTTTTTGTTTTTGTTTTTTTTTAAGTAGAGACAGGGTTTCACCATGTTGGCCAGGCTGGTCTTGAACTCCTGATCTCAAGTGATCCGCCTGCTTCGGCCTTCCAAAGTGCTGGGATTACAGGTGTGAGCCATCGCACCCAGCTGAAGAACATCTTTAGCACGTTTAGAAATCTATGACTTTGATATGTAGGGATGACAGTTGAGAAATACATATGTAATTTCTTGGTGATTCTGGTTAACCTTCACTGTAAAGAGTCAGTGTTAACCACCTCAGATTCAAACCAAAACTTTTTGAGAGTAAAAAGAGAGGGCGGAATTGTTGATAATTACATCACAATTACATCAGGATAATTACAATCAGCCTACACAGGGACTGTCCTAGGCATATTAGGACGTATCGCCACCCTAGCTTGATAATCGTCTTCACATCATCCTCTTCCCTTTTCAGGAGCTATGGATGGTGGATCCTCTAATGTGAGTGTTTTAAAGGAAGGGAGGTTGTTTAGATTACAGAAGGGAGAATTTCCCCCAAAAGCATGGTGTATTACAAAAAAAAATGTAAGTTTAGAGTTAGCTTTTAATTTTTTTTTTTTTTTTTTGAGGTGGAATCTTGCTCTGTTGCCCAGGCTGGAGTGCAGTGGCACGATCTCTGGTCACTGCAAGCTCCGCCTCCCGGGTTCACGCCATTCTCCTGCCTCAGCCTCCCAAGTAGCTGGGACTACAGGCGCCCACCACCATGCCAGGCTAATTTTTTGTATTGTTAGTAGAGACGGGGTTTCACCATGTTAGCCAGGATGGTCTCGATCTCCTGACTTCGTAATCCACCCGCCTCGGCCTCCCAGGTTTTAATTTCTGATCTAAAACTCAGGTATAAATTTGGTTGTTAGTCAACCTCTCTTATCGTTGGGTTCTTCAATGACAAATAGCAGAAACGTAATAATAAAAGAAAATGCTTGAGACAATGTTTATCTCTGTAATTTTCAGAAAAGATACTCAATAAATTTTAGCCTACTTAGAGGGTCAATGCTTACAAATAAGGCAACCAAAGGGAGGGGAGGGAGGGGGCCTCATACTGAATAAGGTCCAATTTGCTCATCTGAGTAATAATTCTTAATATTATACACATCTTTTACATTTTTCTGCAAGTACTGTCACATTGCTCCTAAGAACTATCTTGTGAGCAGGCCGGGTTATTGCTATTACACCCATATTAGAGACAAAAAAACTGAGGCTCAGGGAAGTTCACAGATTTGACGAAGTTTCCATGATTATTAAATGTTGAATCCAGGCTATAAACCCACATTTCTTTATACATCGTCCTGGACTCATCCAGTGAGATATCACACTTATTTGAAAGGAATTTTTCAATAATAAAATATTTAAGGTGTGTGCTTGCGTAATATAGTTGGCTTTATTTTTCTACACAGTGAGGTGCTATTGTTCTGGAAGCTCAAAGATCAAATCATGAATCTTTTATTATCTGCATATGAATTACACATTTTATGGTGATTCTCAAACAAACGTTCAATTCTGTAGTTGCTTTCCTCTGAATACTAGAAATGCCTCAGATAGTTTCCTTTCAACCCTCTTCAGTGTGAACATTCTGCAATTGGAGTGCTCATATTGTATCCAAAATGGAATTAATAATTTAAATCTGTGATTAAAAGCACACATTATTTCAAAGGCAAATAAAAAGTTAGTTGTGGGCCAATTATTGTTTAGAATTTTTCCCTACTGATTTTCTGATTGATAACACCAGAAAGTTATAATTAATTTGAGAAACTTGGATAGTCAGGACTTTGCTAGTTCTTCAACAACAAACAAAAGTGGGGGGCCGGAGAAAACAGGTGGATAGCATTCCAAATCCATGGGAGTGGCACATGCCTCTCCAAGGGGAGTGGGCTGACCCTGGAGCACCAGCCAGGGAAACAGCCACCCACATGGCTGCAGGTTCTACCCAAATAGCTGTGAAATGCCTCAAAAAATGCCAGACTAAAATCATAGAAGGAAATGTATGTAGTTTGTATGATTTGGGAGAATAAGTAAAAGTTGGAATAAATACAGAAAAATATTTAGACATATTTATGTTTCTTTTTTTAAATAACAGCTTTATTGAGCTATAATTAATCTAACATATAATTTACAAATTTGAAGTGTACAATATAGTTTTTAGTATATTCACAGAGTTGTACAATCATCAATCACCACAATAAATTTTAAAACATTTTTATTACCCCAAAAGAAATCCAGACGCATTAGCTAACATCACCCGAGCTTTCCATCTCCTCCTGTCCTAGGCAACTACTGAGCTACTTTCTGTCTGTGTAGATTTGCCTATTGTGGGCATTTTCTATAAATGAATTCATACAATATGTGGTTTATGTGACTGATGTCTTTCACTTAGCCTAATGTTTCCAAGGTTTATTGGTGAATAATATTCCTTTTTAGCAATGCTATCTGTTCATCAGTTAATGGACATTTGGTTATTTCCACTTTTGGGTTATAACAAATAATGCTGCTTTGAACATTTGTATCTATGTTTTAAAATACACACTTGTTTTCATTTCTCTTGGGTATATACCTAGGAGTGAATCATGTTAACTCTATGTTTAATCTTTTGAGGAACTGCCAGGCTGTTTTCCAAAGTGACTGCACCATTTTACATTCCTACTAGCATGTTTTCCATGTCCCCATGAATACTAGTTATTATGTGTTTTTTTAATTATAGCCATCCTAGTGTATGAGAAATGGTATTTTATTGATTTACATTTTCCTAGTCACTAGCATTTTTGTACAAGATGTTAGCCAACACATATGCCATTCAAAGAGCAACATCAGACTTCTAAGCTAAAAGTTGAATAGTTTTTAACCTAAAACATTTTCTCCACTATGAAAATTCTTATTTCATTTTATAAACTTAATATTACATAGTTATTTTTTTCCCTTGGATTTGTCATGTGGGAATGAACTTACAGTGTATTGCGCTATTAGTTATATCTTTTCTGGGGGCATGATACTCTTTTCTCCAGAAAAACTGTAGAAGATAAGGTCTGTGCCTCTTATTTATTTTGAAACCTTATCAGGATCTAATACAAAATAGAACATGTAGTTTGGGCCCAGCAAAGATTGGCTTATTGACTGGTTCAGTTAATTGCTCATTTTTGCTGGGCTGATTTAAATTGTCTTAAGAAAATAACTGAAGCAATATTGACAAAGAATAAACTTTTTTTTTTTTTTTTTTTAAGACAAAGAGTCTTGCTCTGTCTCCCAGGCTGGAGTGCAGTGGGGCCATCTCCACTCACTGCAAGCTCCGCCTCCCGGCTTCACGCCATTCTCCCGCCTCAGCCTCCCGAGTAGCTGGGACTACAGGTGCCTGCCATCACCCTTGGCTAATTTTGTTGTTGTATTTTTAGTAGAGACGGAGTTTCACAATGTTGGGCAGGATGGTCTCGATCTCCTGACCTCATGATCCGCCCGCCTCGGCCTCCCAAAGTGCTGGGATTACAGGAGTGAGCCACCGCGTCCGGCCAGACAAAGAATAACCTTTACCAGTATTTGAGTAATTGAAATTTTACCAAATCAATTTTTAATTCCTAGAGTAACAGAATCTGTTGATTAAGTGAAACAGCATCTCTAAGATAACGGAATTGGGCAATTCCCTGTGGTGGGGAGTGTGTTGCAAGGGGGCGTGTGCTGCTGTTTCAGAGAGTTATGTGGGGAGTTTTTCTCATGTCTGCCAACAGGACAAATACAATAACATCTATAGATTCTATTGGGAGATATTTGGAAGCTAACCAAAGAGCATATGAGCAAAAGTAGTTGTTTTTGTTTTTGTTGTTGTTTTGTTTTCTTTTGAGACAGAGTCTGGCTCTGTTGTCCAGGCTGGAGTGCAATGGCGTGATCTTGGCTCACTGAAAAGTAGTTTTAAGGGAATCAGTTTTCATTTGTTTGACTTCTCTATATACTCTACCAAAACTAATTTGCCAGATAACTGATCTGTGTCTGTGGTTTTCCTTTTTTTTCAAATTTGCTTCTTTCAGCCAGGCACAGTGGCTCATGCCTGTAATTTTAGTACTTTGAGAGGCCAAAGTGGGAGGATTTCTTGAAGCCAGGAGTTTGAGACCAGCTCTGACAACATAGTGAGATTCCATTTCTCCAAACAAAACAAAACAAACAAAAAATGCTGGGTGTGGTTGTGTGTACCTGTACTTCCAGGTACCCAGGAGGCTGAGGTGGGAGGATGGCTTAAGCCTAGGAGGTCAAGACTGCAGGCTCCAGACTGGGAGACAGAACAAGATGCTATCTCAAAAAAAAAAAAAAAAAAAAAGCTTGCTCCTTTCCCATTTTATACAGAAATATAAAGAATTACAAAGAAATGCAGACCCATCCTGAACTCACCATGCTGCTGTACTCGGTAGTGTAAAAGCCTCCAGGAGGAAGACGTGGGGAAAGGAGAAATTACAGTAGGACTGGCAGCAAAATCTTCTTCAATCAGAGTGCATAAGCATTACCTCTAATCCAGCTCATTAAAATAAACATTTCCAATACATTATTCTTTTTATGTTTAGCAATTTTCACCAAAATTTGTGTACTACTTATAATTTATTGATCAATTATATACTATTATTACAGTTTAAAATTTGTTTTTAATTGATAAATAAAATGTATACTACTGTTTTTAATAGTAATTACTATTATTTATTATTGTGAACTACTAATAATTAAAACAATACTCCAGAAGGAAACCTGTAATTCTTAGGTATTATTATCATAGGCAGCAAAAATTAATTTCATTTTATAGGCGTATTTTTGTGGCAGAGAAATATGCTAAGGTGATCAAAAATAATTTTAGCATTAAATATAGACTGTATAAAGAAAATGTGGCACATATGCACCATGGAACACTATGCAGCCATAAAAAAGAATGAGTTCATGTCCTTTGCAGAGTCATGGATGAAGCTGGAAATGATCATTCTTAGCAAACTAACACAAGAACAGAAAACCAAACACCGCATGTTCTCACTCGTAAGTTGAACAGTAAGAATACATGGACACAGGGAGGGGAACATCACACACCAGGGCCTGTCGGGGAGTTGGGGGCAAGGGGAGGGATAGCATTAGGAGAAATACCTAATGTAGATGATGGGTTGATGGGTGCAGCAAACCACCATGGCACATGTATACCTATGTAACAAACCTGCATGTTCTGCACATGTATCCCAGAACTTAAAGTATAATAAAAAATTACTTTAAAATAATATTCTATTATAGATTCTGCAGGAGAAATCACACAGAATAATTGTTTTGAGGAAAAAAAGGACCAAGCCAAATTTTTGACACTTGAAGAGTTGAGCATGTATTTGCTCATATGTTTGTAAAATAGATGATGATGGCATCATATTGATGTAATATTTATATTTTATTGGATATACTTAAAAGGGTAATGTTAGTATTTATAATATTCTGGAAATTTCTTTCTGTGCAGCTATTTAAACTGTGGTGAAGAAGGCATTTTATATGTCAACCTAGAAATTTACAAAGGGGCACGTTTTTCCAAACTCAGTGGATATTGAAAATAAAAAGAGAACATTGCAATGGACCAAGATAGGATACTTTCCAACCCCTCAGGTTTCTTTTCTGTTACTTACTTTTCCATTTTATGCTGTTCATTATATTAATTTTGGGCCTAATTTTATCTAAAAATCTTGGAGTTGGGGAAGAATAGGGGAGCAAGTAGAACCTGCAGCTGTTTAGTCTCTGAGTACATTCTCCTTCTGGAAGTGATCCCAGAAGATGCTTCTCAATGATTCCAGTGAGATGAGACTTGAACCAAGCCTGCTTTTGAGAACCTTCTTTGAGAGCCCTTGATTTCCCCCACAGAGTGATTCTTATCATTTCTTAATTGTCCCATCAATATAATAAAAGCAATTTAAAAGCATATTTTTCAAGTTAAAAGAAAAACCTAGTTATGCCTAAATTATAGCAGGTAAAACTTCAGAGAAGTGGTTACATTCTAACATTATAAGAGTTGGAAGTTGGTAAGTATACTGCAGTGTTTATTTTGGCAGCTGAGAGGCAAAGCTTTAACTCTGGGTAAGATTTTCATATTTTTAAGCCAAATATGGTCAGTTTTTAACTCTTAATAATGTCCATACATAGATCTCTGTTTATCGTGTGACTTGAATTTATTACTTATACAAGCCACTCCTTTATGAGGCAGCGTGGGTTGTTCCTGCCCTTGACCCTTCCTTATGGCTTGGCACTTGCCCTTCCCCCTTTGGGGCATAGGCTCGTGACAAACTAGGCTAATAGGAGGAGATTTGGGGTGATATGGAGAAAGGAGACTGGGACTGTGTACACAGACAAAGTCCTGAATGGAAATGGGTGATGTCATTGAGGGGAGTGCAATGAGGGGGTATTTTCAAGGGTGTGGGACAGGTAAGAGGAAGCACCAGCACCAGCTGGAGGCAGTTACCAACCATAGGCCTGAAGGACAGAGTAAGGGCTGGTGAGCTGAACCCAAAATCTACCTGATAGTGTGGCCTTCGGAAGAGAAATACAGATACTGGTGGGCCCTTGAAGGAAAAAATTAAGATTCATTCTTCTTCTTTACTCTGATCTTTTGCAGGGCCTCTACTTGGCCGACGCAGCTAGAAGACTAAGGTCAGGGGCATTCTGGATGCAGCCCACAAAGCTAGCTCTCTGTGGCACTGAGCAAGGTAGGGAAGGATGGAGAGTATTTTTGCAGAGCAGCTGCAGAATGTCCAGCTAGGTGAGGATAACAATACACTAGAGCTTTAAGAGGTGGCAGTGTAAGTGAAAATTGTGTCTTGTAGCTGAATTGTTTCTAGGTTTCTAAAGGAATTGGAAAGTATCATAAAAGGAATGTTTGTGTCTCCCCCAATTTCATATGTTGAAGCCTTAACCCCCAATGTAATGGTATTAGGAGGTGGGCCCATTGGGAGATAATCAGATTTAGATGATATCATGAAGGTAGAGTCCCCATGATGGGATTAATGTTCTTATAAGAAGAGGAAGAAACACAAGATTTTCGTCTCTGCTGTGTGATGATACAGTGAGAAGGCAGCCAGCCATATGGTGGGCTGAGAGGAAAGCCTTCACCACGAACCCGACCATGCTGGTGCTCTGATCTCGAACTTCTCAGCCTCTAGGACTGTAAGAAAATAGGTGTCTGTTGTTTAAGTCATCTAGTCTCTGATATTTTGTTGTTGCAGTCCAAGTTAAGAAAAGGGATCTAGAGGTTCCAGTGCTATCCTCTCTTCTTGTCTGAGAGCCAGGACCCTGGGGGAAATAACGGGCAAAAAAGCACTTTGAAGACAGATATAGTGGGAATTGATAAACGACTTGATAGAAACAGAAATGAACTGTTTTATTTTATTCTCTGAGGACTCTGCTCATCACCCAATAGTACCATTTTCTTTCTCAGAATGGATTCTTTCCCCTATCTATCTAATCATTAGAGATGTAGCTAAGAAATTACATGTATGCATATGTATAATATGTATATGTATATGTATGAATGCATTATCTGAATATTAATAATTTTATTGAATTTCAACTTAAACTGGTAGGTTTTATTTTAAAGTATTATAAAAGTTCCTATATTCATATTAATTCAAAATCTTATGCTGTATTATCAAAACTATATCACTCAAAACTATATTTAACTTGTTTGATACTATTAATGTAATACTGTCAGATTAAACCTTACCACTATTTATTCTCACATATGTACACTTATAAATAGATAATTTAAAAAGTAACAACAAGCATGGAAATATAATTCCCATAGATATCATTGAAATAGGGTCAATAATAATATAATGAACTTATTTATTCTTGAATAAATATATGTTGTTATAATTTTTTTCTTTAGAAAATGGATTTAATAGAAAAGGAAGAAACAGTGTTGAGAAGGCCCTCCAATTATGATTTTCTGAGTATTCTCTCTCCATTGGAGAGAGAAACCAAAAGTATATTTGTGAGGATGTATACTATAGACCTCTTACCCTGTAGGGAGCTGTGAATAATAGTAGCACTAAGGCAAAACATAGTTGAGAAGCAGGACCTTCAAATGTTTGGACAGCTGGTGGAGGAGTTAGTCTACTAAAAGCGGAGTATTTGCTGAAATTTTCATTTATAAGAAGAAAGTGTATATATTGAGGGAAGCAGTGTTCTGGTCTTCTTTCAGACTAATAAGAAAGCAGGTTCAAAACTTGGAAGTAAGTGAGAACCTTAAGTGAACATCTCGGAATCATAAAAGTGAAGCAGTTGTTTACTTGGACAGCAGATTACAGGAAGGAGAAACTAAGTGTGGTCAACTGACTAGAAACAGCAAGACACGATAGATCACAATGGAAATGAAAAACAGGAGAAAACTAAATAAACCAATGTTTATTGCACATCAAATTACCATACTAGGCACACGTGTCCATATTAAATGGAAGAATACGAACATAACCTAAGACAAATGAAGCAAGAGTTAGGAAGACTAGAGACTAAAATAAAATGAAGCTTGAGAAAAGGACTGGGAACACAATTTAAAAACTAGCAAAGGGTAAGTATTTAAAGGTGAATTTGGTGCAAGGTGATCTGCCTGCTAGACTGTGGCATGTTAATGAATGCTAGAGAGCAGGCTGAACTGCCAGGATCCTGTTTTACGTCTGTAAACTACAAAAAAAAAAAAAAAAGCCCCCAGAAATAATACCACACATCTACAACCATATGATCTTTGACAAACCTGACAAAAACAAGAAATGGGGAAAGGATTCCCTATTTAATAAACGGTGCTGGGAAAACTGGCTAGCCATATGCAGAAAGCTGAAACTGGATCCCTTCCGTACACCTTATACAAAAATTTATTCAAGATAGATTAAAGTCTTAAATGTTAGACCTAAAACCATAAAAACTCTAGAAGAAAACCTAGGCAATACCATTCAGGACATAGGCATGCACAAGGACTTCATGTCTAAAACACCAAAAGCAATGGCAACAAAAGCCAAAATTGACAAATGGGATCTAATTAAACTAAAGAGCTTCTGCACAGCAAAAGAAACTACCATCAGAGTGAACAGGCAACCTACAAAATGGGAGAAAATTTTTGCAAACTACTCATCTGACAAAGCGCTAATATCCAGAATCTACAAAGAACTCAAACAAATTTACAAGAAAAAAACAACTCCATCAAAAAGTGGGCGAAGGATATGAACCGACACTTCTCAAAAGAAGACATTTAGGCAGCCAACAGACACATGAAAAAATGCTCATCATCACTGGCCATCAGAGAAATGCAAATCAAAACCACAATGAAATACCATCTCATACCAGTTAGAATGGCGATCATTAAAAAGTCAGGAAACAACAGATGCTGGAGAGGATGTGGAGAAATAGGAACACTTTTACACTGTTGGTGGGACTGTAAACTAGTTCAACCATTGTGGAAGTCAGTGTGGCGATTCCTCAAGGATCTAGAACTAGAAATACCATTTGACCCAGCCATCCCATTACTGGGTATATACCCAAAGGATTATAAATCATGCTGCTATAAAGACACATGCACACATATGTTTATTGCAGCACTATTCACAATAGCAAAGACTTGGAACCAACCCAAATGTCCATCAATGATAGACTGGATTAAGAAAATGTGGCACATATATACCATGAAATACTATGCAGCCATAAAAAAGGATGAGTTCATGTCCTTTGTAGGGACATGGATGAAGCTGGAAACCATCATTCTCAGCAAACTATGGCAAGGACAAACCCAAACACCGCATGTTCTCACTCATAGGTGGGAATTGAACAATGAGAACACTTGGACCCAGGAAGGGGAACATCACACACTGGGGCCTGTTGTGGGGTGGTGGGAGTGGGGAGGGATAGCGTTAGGAGATATACCTAATGTAAATGACGAGTTAATGGGTGCAGCACACCAATATGACATATGTATACATATGTAACAAACCTGCACGTTGTGCACATGTACCCTAGAATGTAAAGTATTAAAAAAAATAGTTTAGAGGTTGTTGAAGCCTTTGATAAATGAAGAGAAAGTATGGTTGGGAGAACAGGAGTTTGAAAATTTTTTTACTATATTTTTAAGCCATAATTACATGTAGTAAAATGCACAGATTTCAAGGATAGAGCTTGATGGATCCTGACAAATGTCTACAACTGGGTAATCATCACTCTAATCAAGATAAAGAACACTGCAAAAAAGATAAAAGTTCCTTTTCCTTTGGAGCTTCAGTTCTGTGTGGAGGTCTCATGACTAGAGTATTTGAGCTGGGAATCAAACCAGCTCTTCCTACAGCAATGTGGGTAAATCTTCAGAACATTATGTTAAGCAGAGAAGCCAGACAAAAAGAGTATATGCTGTAAGATTCCGTTTATATGTAGATCAAGAATGAATCAGCCATCTGAATCAATGGTGATAGAACTCAGAACTGTCACTTCCTCAGCAGAGGAGAGTAGATGGCAATGGACTAGAATAGAACCTGACACATAGTAAGTGCTCACTTTTTCAACTATAAAATGAAAATGAAAGTAATAATCTTTCTCAACTATAAAACGAAAATAAAAGTAATAATCTATATACTATATAAACTATATACTAATCTATATATCCCCCTATAGAAGGGGGATAGGGGAACAGTGAATTATAAGGAAATAGGGTAATCTGGAAGTGTGAGTTAAGAAGGAGCCAGTTTTCTGGGAGTTGAAATAAATTAAATAGGAAGTGGCTGGAAGAGACTCACATATGCTTTATGGTGAGTGAAATTAATTGAACCATGAGATGAGGAATGTACTTAATTAGATAGAATTTGAACCTTTAGGGTTTTTTCAATGTAACAAAATGAATGTGCACTTAAAATGCTTGGCAGGATGTGCTGTCCTACAATCTGGAGGTCATCAAAGAGAATTATAAGGGGGAAAAATTACAAATCTATTCCAGTTGTATGAGAAAAGCCTTAAGTTGAAGCTTGGTGAAGGAAAGTCTTGAAAAGTTTAAGGGAACTATTTGTCATTTCCTTCTTTTTTTGTATGTTTTTAAAAAGTTTTACTAGCATTCACATTGACTTAGCTATATTTTCTGAAGATTATTCTATATCTCATATATTTTGTTGGCATGTAAGTTTATTCCCCGCTCCACAAAGGGAGGGTATCTTGAAATGATTTCCAAGTGCAAATTTGGTAATGGACCTTTTATCATTACATTTATGCAACTTAGGGTTGTGATAAATGACTTTATAAGGCAAGTTCATCTCATCATGCCCTGGAACAAAGGATTTCCTAATTATGCTCTTGTTTTCCTAGTTCTTTAGTGATCTTAGAGTAATTGTATTGATGACTTTTTTTTTTTGCCAAAACATGATTCTTATCAATTAAATTATTTTGTTTTCTTAGCATGATTGTACTAAGCTTACTCACATTTAAGAGGAAATATATTGTTATAAATTTTCATTTTCTTGATGTACTTAAATTTTAAACAATGACTTTAATAAAGTCACTTATTTGAATAAATGGCTTTAGCTTTTTGGAGCTTATATTTACCAAATCATGGCTAACATTAATAAGAGAGGTATTATTGACAAAATTCTTGTGGCTGGGTGTGGTGGTGCATGCCTGTAGTCCCATCTACTTGGGCAGCTGAGGTGGGAGGATCGCTTGAGGCCAGAAGTTTGAGTCAAGCCTGTACAACATAGTGAGACCTCATCTCTAAGTAAAACAAAAGATGATTATGAATTGTAAATATTCTGTAAGCTGTGTAAATGCTTTGCAAAATAGATGTTAGATGCTCTTCTGCATATTTTACACAGCATAGTAGAGTTTGATATTTATTTACTTTAATTGTAGGCATTGTAGAATTTATTACATAGTTCCCCAGGTTATTTTCTGTAGTATATTTTCTTGAGCATATTTTTCACAATTTTCTTTGTCTTCTAACTTGTGCATGCTATGACTCATTATACTCTTTTATATTAAAATGACACCTTAGTGAGCATCTAAATTGCTTACTTTTCTTTTTTTTGAGATGGAGTCTTACTCTGTCACTCTGGCTGCAGTGTAGTAGTGTGATCTCAGGTCACTGCAACCTCTGCCTCCTGGGTTCCAGCAATTCTTCCACCTCAACCTCCCAAAGTGCTGGGATTACAGGCGTGAGTCACTGCGCCCAGCCTAAATTGCTTACTTTAAGTGTCTTAAAATGGTAATTATTTTAAGATACTTCAGAATCCTTTGGATTTTGAAAATACTAAAGGAATTTAAAAGAGTAAAATGTATACATTATAAACTATAAATTATGTAGGTACCATTTTGATGGCTTCTGAAATTTCAGTGAGTTTTTAATAGCCTATTAAAATGTATTTTTCACTGTCTGGATTGTGATGCAGATATTCCTGGAATGTAAAACATTCCATAGCCTCCCTTTCACCCCCAGTCAAAACATAGACATGTACACTTGCACATGAACACACACACACACACACACACACACACACACACACACAGTCAGTCTATGTCCTGTTGGTATGCATGCAGCATCTGTTTTGCCACCAAGCTCTGAGTTTGGTTGAAGGCAGGGATCGTAGAAAATGGGCCAACCAGGAAAATTGAAGGGATGGCATGGAATATATTCCCAGCCTAGCTCTTTGGACTGGAATTGGACCTTTGGGGTTAGAACAGAAAAGCAAGAAGTTGGAAAACCTGTTTGCATGAAAGATTTTGTAATATTATGGACATACTGGAGATACTTTGAGACCCATTCCTCCTTGACTCTTCATGGGTCCAGTTCTGCTTTGGAATCCCAAAGTGTAATGGTTTTGAGATCTTCAGGATTCAGCATGCATGGCACAGCTTTTGGGTTGGTGTCACCGTCAGTGGAGCAGGCGTTAGGTTCTTCAGTAAGGTTCAATGAAGGAGAGGATGTTGGATGCCACTACGTGACACAGCTGAATGTCAGATTGGCCAAATGGAAACATTGGTGGAATCCATTTGGGAGTATTAGAAACAATCAGAGAATGCTTTAAACAGCTTAGCATTCTTAATGAAGCCGTCACAATTTGAATATGTGTATACATATATACACACACTGGTGAAACAAAGTGACAATTTGGCTGTACTGTGATGATAATAAATTTCTGTGTGCATATGTAATCTAAAATTACAAACTTTTTGGCTAAATTAAATTATTATAAAATGGCTTTCAAAAAAATGGCTATATTTGTTGTCTCTGATATATGGTACTTTTGGGATTAGTGTGGTCAGAGGTGATTGTCTACAACCAGTTATAACATAACAGTAAATGTCTTTGTTAAAATATTGAAGTTGTAATTACAAGACATTGCTTCTGGTAGCAATTTCTTTTTCTTTAAATTTCAATAGGTTTCTGGGGAACAGGTGGTGTTTGGTTACATGAATAAGTTCTTTAGTGGTGATTTCTGAGATTTTGATGCACCCCTCACCTGAGCAGTGTACACTCTACTCAATGTGTAGTCTTTTATCCCTCACCCCCTCACACACTTTCCCCCAATTCCCCAAAGTCCATTGTATCATTCTTTTTATTATTATTATTATTATTTTATTATTATACTTTAAGTTCTAGGGTACATGTGCACAATGTGCAGGTTTGTTACATATGTATTCATGTGTCATATTGGTGTGCTGCACCCATTAACTCGTCATTTACATTAGGTATACCTCCTAACGCTCTCCCTCCCCCCTCCCACCACCCCACGACAGGCCCCGGTGTGTGATGTTCCCCTTCCTGAGTCCAAGTGTTCTCATTGTTCAATTCCCACCTATGAGTGAGAACATGCGGTGTTTGGGTTTTTATCCTTGCAATAGTTTGCTGAGAATGATGGTTTCCAGCTTCATCCATGTCCCTAACAAAGGACAAGAACTCATCCTTTTTTATGGCTGCATAGTATTCCACGGTATATATGTGCCACATTTTCTTAATCCAGTCTATCATTGATGGACATTTGGGTTGGTTCCAAGTCTTTGCTATTGTGAATAGTGCTGTAATAAACATATGTGTGCATGTGTCTTTATAGCAGCATGATTTATAATCCTTTGGGTATATACCCAGTAATGGGATGGCTGGGTCAAATGGTATTTCTAGTTCTAGATCCTTGAGGAATCGCCACACTGTCTTCCACAATGGTTGAACTAGTTTACAGTCCCACCAACAGTGTCTTATTCCTTTGTGTCCTCATAGCTTAGCTCCCATTTATGAGTGAGAACATGTTCAGTTTTCCATTCCTGAGTTACTTCACTTAGAATAATAGTCTCCAATTTTATCCAGGTTGCAGCAAATGCCTTATTTTGTTCCTTTTTGTGGCTGAGTAGTATTCCATATTTTTACACACATACATACCACATTTTCTTTATCCTCTCGCTGGTTGATGGGCGTTTTGGCTGGTTCCACATTTTTGCAATCGCAAATTGTCCTGCTGTAAACATGCACGTGCAGGTATCTTTTTCGTATAATGACTTCTTTTCCTCTGGGTAGATACGCAATAGTGGGATTGCTGGATCAAATGGTAGATCTACTTTTAGTTCTTTAAGGAATCTCCACACTATTTTCCATAGTGGTTGTACTAGTTTACATTCCCACCAACAGTGTAAAGGTGTTCCCTTTCTACCACTGCCACGCCAACATCTCTTATTTTTTGATTTTTTGATTATGGCCATTCTTGCAGGAGTGAGGTGGTATCGCATTGTAATTTTGATTTGCATTTCCCTGATAATTAGTGATGTCGAGAAATTTTTCATGTTTGTTGGCCATTTGTATAACTTCTTTTGAGAACTGCCTATTTGTGTCCTTAGTCCACTTTTTGATGGGAAGAAATCTTGCTGATTTGTTTGCGTTCCTTGTAGATTCTGGATATTAATCTTTTGTTGGATGTATACATTGTCAAGATTTTCTCCCACTCTGTGGGTTGTCTGTTTACTCTGCTGATTATTTCTTTTGCTGTGCAAGAGCCTTTTACTTTACTTAAGTCCCATCGATTTATCTTTGTTTTTGTTACATTTGCTTTTGGGTTCTTGGTCATGAAGTCTTTCCCTAAGCTAATGTCTAGAAGGTTTTTCCAATGTTATATTTTAGAATCTTTATGGTTTCAGGTCTTAGATTTAAGTCTTTGATCTTTTATGAGTTGATTTTTTAAAATAGGGTGAGAGATGAGGATCCAATTTCATTCTTCTACATGTGAAGAATTTAATTAAATTAATTTTAAATGGCTATATTTGTTGTCTATGATATATGGTACTTTTGAGCTTAGTGCGGTCAGAGGTGATTGTCTACAACCAGTTATAACATAACAGTAAATGTCTTTGTTAAAATATTGAAGTTGTAATTACAATACATTGCTTTGTTAAAATATTGAAGTTGTAATGACAAGACGTTGCTTCAGGTAGCATTTTTTTAATTAAATTTCAATAGATTTTTGGGGAACATGTGGTATTTGGTTACATGAATAAGTTCTTTAGTGGCGATTTCTGCACCCCCTCACTCAAGCAGTGTACACTTGTCAATTATCCTAGCATCATTTGTTGAATAGGGTGTTCTTTCTCCATTTTATGTTTTTGTTTGCTTTGTCAAAAATCAGTTGACTGTAAGTATTTGGCTTTATTTCTGGGTTCTCTATTCTGTTCCATTGGTCTATATGCCTATTTTTATACCAGTACCATGCTGTTTTGGTGACTATGGCTTCCTCGTAGTCGGGTAATGTGATGCCTTTGGATTTGTTCATTTTGCTTAGGCTTTCTTTGGCCATGTGGGTTCTTTTTTTGGTGTCATATGAATTTTAGAATTGTGTTTTCTAATTCTGTGAAAAATAATGGTGGTATTTTGACGGGAATTGCATTGAATTTGTAGATTGCTTTTGGCAGTGTGATCATTTTCACAGTATTGATTCTGCCCATCCATGAGCATGGGATGTGTTTCCATTTGTTTCATCTATGATTTCTTTCAGCAGTGTTTTGTAGTTTTCATTGTAGAGATCTTTAACCTCCTTGGTTAGGTATATTCCTAAGTATTTTATTTTATTTTTTTGCAGTTATTGTGAAAGGGGTTGAGTTCTTGATTTGATTCTTAGCTTGGTCGCTGTTGGTGTATAGCAGAGCTACTGATTTGTGTATGTTAATTTTGTATCCTGAAACTTTGCTGAATTTATTTACCAGTTCTAGGAGCTTTTTGGATGAGTCTTTCCAGTTTTCTAGGTATATGATCATGTCATCAGCAAACAGCAACAGTTTGACTTCCTTATTACCAATTTGAATGCCCATGTGTAGCAATTTCTAAGAGAAGTTGCCATGTAAACTCCACCTAGTATGAGTCCATACTTACTATGCAATCCCACCCTGGAAAAAATCCTTTATCAAAGTTTGGTTAAAAACAAAGTATCCAAGACCAGCTCTAACTTTCCATAGTGAACAATTAAACAACTAAACAAAATAATAAAACAACTATCTTTAGTGGTTGGAGAAAAACAGCACAGTGCTGTGATCTTTCTGAGAATAGTAACAACTACGAATCCTATGATTGTCTTGGCTTTCTTCTTAGAGTCAATTTCTAACTGTTGGCACAGGGAGGAAAATCCAAACAGATCTTGTAATCATTGATGAGTTGTGAAAATGGAGACCAGAGTTGGAGAATCTGAGGCAGCTAGCAAAGTTTTGGAAAAGGGGGCACTCAATAAGAGAACTCCATAAACCTGCATGGGCTCCTCTCTGATCTTTGTTGAGTACCAAGCTGCCCATGTGTAGAATTAAGCTCCACGAAGATGGGCTAAGGATGGCCAAGGAGTTGCAAACTGAAAAATTCCCAGAGCTCACAAAGGACAGGAAGACATTTGAGCTCTGGCCTTCCAGAATGAAGTCCTTGATGATGATCTGGGAAATTTGGTGGAGACTCCTGGAGTCCTGCCTTACAAGCAGGAGTGAACCAGCACTGGAGTGAAGCTACTATTAGACGTTCTCCAGCAAAGCGAATAAACAGGCCTGAAAGTCATGAAATTGATATTCAAGTTGTTTTTGTAAAGGAAGAAAACAATATCTAGATGCTTAAGAGTGTTACATTTACCATATCTAGCATCCAATAAAAGTTAGTAAACATGCCAAGAATAAGGACAATATACCCATAACTGGATACAGATCAGTAAATAGGAAAAAGTACCAAAATGACAAATGTTGTTAGAATTAACAGATAAAGATGTTAAAATAGCCAGTATAATTATGTTTATTATTAAAAACATGAGCATAGTGAGGGAAGTAACATAAATTGTTAAAAAAATGAAATAGAACTTATAGGAATAAAAAATACAATATATAAAAAAATTCTGGATAGGAGTAATAGCAGAATGAATAGCGCAGCAGAAAAGATCAGCATACTTGAATATATTGTAATAGAACCTATTGAAAACAAAAAGAGATAAAAGAAAGAAAACTAACAGAGCCTTGGTGACCTCTGAGGACAGTATTGTACAGACCTATTTATATAGGTATAATTAGATCGTAGGGGCACTAAAAAAATATGTGAAGAAATGATGGCTCCAAATTTTCCGAAACTAATGAAAACTTAAATCCGCAGATCCCAAAAGCTTAAATGGACCCCAAACAGGATAGATGCACACAATGCTTACATAAACACCTCAAGGTACATCATAATCAAATATCTGAAAACTACCAGAAAATGATATTTTTAAAAAGCAACTAAAGAAAAAAGACATTACATTACAAAGAAAAAAACATAAAACTTACAGTAGATTTCTTATCTGTAATTATGTGAGCAGAGGACAATGCAAGGACATCTATAAAGTGCTGAAATACATTTTTTAAAAAGGCTATCAATCTAAAAGTCTATAAACAGCAAAACTCCCCCCCAGAAGAAAACCAAATTAAAGACACTCTCAGAAAAAAATAGAAAACATTTGTTTTCAGCAGACCTAAGTCAGAAGAAATGTTAAAGGAAGTTCTTCATGTAGAGAGGAAATCATATCAGTTAGAAATTTGCATGAACACAATGAAATGAAGAGCACTGGCAACACTAAATATATGCTTAAATATGGGGATATTTGGCCTTAATTTTTAGTATCTTTAAAAAGCATTTGATTGCTTAAAGTAAAAATAGTGATGTGCTTTGGTAGTTTATAAGACATGTAGAAGTAAAATATAAATGACAGCAACGACGCAAAGGAGAGGAAGGAGAAGCAAAATACAAATGGCCAATAAGCACAAGAAAAGATGCTCAACATCATTAATCATCAGAGAAATACAAATTAAAACCATTATGAAATACAACTTCAAACCTTTTAGGTTACCTAAATTTATACGACCAACCATACTAAGTGTTGGCCAGGATGTAGAACCATTGGAACTATCATACATTGATTTTGGCAGGATACATGTACAATCACTTTGGAAAACAGTTTGACAGTTTATTATAAGGTTGACATACCCTTTACATATGATTTAGTAATTCTCCTCCTAGATTTTTATCCAAGAGAAATGAAAAGTTAACAGGCTCTGATGCATGAATGTTCATAGCAACCTTATTCACAATTGCCAGAAATGGAAATAACCCAGGTGTTCATCAAATGGTGGTGGATAAACAAATAATGGTACATTTATAACATAGAGTGTTACTCAACAATAAAACAGAACAATGTACTGGTAAATGCAACACCATAGATGAATCTCTAAAGTATTACGCTGAGTAAAAGTAACCAGATTCTGAACAGTACATACTGTATGATTACATTTATAAGAAACTAATCTAAAGTGACAGAGTGAAGGTCAATGTTTGCCTGGGAACAGGCTGGAAAGGGGGACAGCTCACTGATTTAGAAAGGACACAAAGAGCTTCAGAGGTGATGGGCGTATAGTATATCTTGACTGTAGTGGTGGTTACATAGTATATACATTTGCAAAAACTCATTGAAATGTACAGTTAACATGAGTGTAGTTTACATGTGAAAATTACACTTCAATAAAGTTGATTAAAATATGTCATCAATAAAACAAAAGGGAACATAATGTACTGCTACTTGGCTGATGAATGGAAACATTTTGAAGAGTTCGATGGTAGGCTTAGCCAGGGGTGCTTTAGGTGCTTGCTTACTGCAAGAAACAGGATACAAAAATATGTAATTATGGCAGGAAGGTAATTGTGTTCATTCACTAAGTTGGATCCTTAATCTCATATATCCTATTACCACTTGTTTCTGGTTTGAAACAAAAGCATCCTCCAGTTAGCTGGGCATCATCATTCTTGCTCATCTTAGAAAACACTTCAGTCTTTTGTCATCTGTTTATTGCACTCACCTGAATTAAAACAATCATTCTGTGAAGTAAAAATAACATGTGAACATAAACATAGCTATAGTGGAATGATTAAGTAATAGAGCAGTAAATACCTGGAAGTTACTGTGCCCAATATCTGAGGCCAAGGAAGTGGAATGGCTGCCCAAAGTCACAAAACTAGTTAGAGGCAAAGCCTTTATTTTTACACTGATTTTTTTTTCTTTTAATTGGTAATGCATTTAAAAATGTAATTCCTCCTCCTTGTTTCTTGTACTCTGTCCTTCTCTGTCCTGTCCCTATGTCTCCCTAGATGGGCTTCTGCCTTTCTTATGCTCATCTTTCCGGTTCACATGTCTCTGCCTTGACTTTCATCACCCCCTCATCTGAAATGTCCTTTGGATTCTCAGCAAATGCAGCTGGTGAAGAAAAGTTGTCATGTTGTACACCAATGTGTTTTTATTTCTTATATGTCTTACTTGAGGTCTTACAACAACTTACATTAATGTACATAATGAAATATACTCACCTAAATCATGTTTAACTCAACCTTTGTGACGACCAGTCTCTTTCAACACTTTCTGAGAATCTGTCTGCTTTAAGAAGGTTTTTCTAATCCATAGTTAATGTCTCCTTATACCCTTAGTAGCTATTTTGTAATTTATTATTTTTTTGAATTAGGTTTTCATAGGCACTATGTCACAAACCATATATAAAATAATGCCTTTAGCGAATTTATTATTTAATGTCTAAGGGCACTCCTCTTGTAAGACAGAATTATTTGTTTTGATCTGAGATGTATGAAGGATGATTATAGGCATTGCTCTATGACTGTAAAAAAAATGCACTGAGGCTGGGCATGGTAGCTCGACGCCTGTAATCTCAGCACTTTGGAAGGCTGAGGTGGGCGGATGACTTGAAGCCAGGAGTTTGAGACCAGTCTGGCCAACACAATGAAACCCCGTCCCTACTAAAAATAGAAAAAATTAGCTGGACATGGTCACATGCCTATAATCTCAGTTACTTGGGAGGCTAAGCCATGAGAATCACTTGAATCTGGGAGGCAGAGGTTGCAGTGAGCCGAGATCAGGCCACTGCATTCCAGCCTGGGTGACAGAGTGAGATGCTTTCTCAAAATAAAATACAATTTTAAAAAAGAAAAATGCATTGAATTTCTATAGCCATGTTTGAATTACAAAATTGATTTGCTTATCAAGGACTAATCTTCAGTCAATAATTTTATGAAAAAGAATTTTCCAGTAAAACACAAAATCTCATTTAACAAGTTACTTTTATAATACATTAGAAGCCAGACCCTAATTAGAATACATTTTTCTCCTTTAGATGTCCTTGGTATGCAAATTAAATTAGAATTCCTAGGACTTATATAGACGTGTCTCATCTCCTATGAGACAGCACGTCTTTTATTTCTTTTGTATTATCTTACTTAGGAAGGAAGGAAGGAAGGAAGCAAGGAAGGAAGGAAGGAAGGAAATGACAGCTCTATACCCCAACATTTTCTGTGTAGCATTTTTATAAGTAGAAAAAAAATCCAAATTGAGAAGCATGGGTCAGCAAAAGATCTGGATAAAGTACTCATGTTAATTTAACCAAAAATGCTCTTTACTTTTACTCTCAAAATGTGTTGTGCATTGCTTTAATTCAGAAAATTCAGAAAGAAACAACAGAAAGGGCATGTAAAGAAGTTTAGTAAGTGCCTTTTCTAGCTACTGTCTATACTCTCTCGATACTCTTCTGAACACTGGTAGATGAGATCCAAGATTCTTACACTAGTGAATGCAGTGCTACATATAGCCTTGTTCAAATTACTATTCATCATGAGTTTTTCCTCTATGTAACTGGCAACTTAATCTTACCTGTAGTATGGGATACATTATAGTTGGATTGAATATTGGTCAAATCCCTCACTTTCCCCCAGGAATTCATTTCCTCTCCTATATCTCAAGTGAATTGCACTCCTGGCCACACTGTTGCCATGCTGGAAACCTTTCTTCTCCTTTTCCTCACTCCTCAGACAGGTGGCAAGATGGTGATGGTGAAAGCAGGTCTGCAAACCTTCCCAGCCACCTCTCTCCCACCCAACCATAATCTACCTTGGGAGGAGGGCTCTCTTTTTGTCTTACTCACCTACCATGCTTTTGTTGTGATACTGTTAACAGCATAACAGATGAACACGCTGGATCCGGAAGCCTGAAAGTCTAAATTTCTTTTCATGACAAAAATAAAAAAAAGATGCTACAAGTGAGGAGCAAAATTAGCAAGGGCCTGTGAGGTTAGAGAGAAATAGAAGGAAAGATTTAAGCTGCTGCTGTGAGGAGCAGACCTAGGAAAAAGGAAGACATATGGGCTGGGCGCGATGGCTTATGCCTGTAATCCCAGCACTTCAGGAGGCTGAGGCGGGAGGATTGCTTGATGCCAGGAGTTCAAGGCCAGCTGGGCAACTTAGCAAGATCTCTTCTCTACAAAATAATTATTTTTAAAAAAGGGACGTACGTTATGTAAAAAAGATACATGCACATGCATGTCTATAGCAGCACAATTCGCAATTGCAAAGATATAGAACGAACCTAAGCGCCCATCAACCAATGAGTGGGTAAAGAAAATGTGGGTATATACACCGTGGAATACTACTCAGCCATAAAAAGGAATGAAATAATGTCTTTTGCAGCAACTTGGATGGAACTAGAGGCCATTATTCTAAGTGAAGTAACTCAGGAATGGAAAACCAAATATCGTATGTTCTCACTTATAAGTGGGAGCTAATCTGTGAGGACATAAAGGCATAAGAATGCTATAATGGACTTTGGGGACTTGGGGCGAAGGGTGGGAGGGAGGTGAGGAAAAAAAGACTACATATTGAGTACAGTGTACACTGCTTGGGTGACGGGTGCACCAAAATTTCAGAAATCACCACAAAATAACTTATTCATGTAACCGAAAACTACCTGTACCCCCAAAATGATTGAAACAAAAACATGAAAAAGGGACATGTACTCAAGGACAGTTTTAGGAAAATTTCATATGTAATATGTTATGCAAACACCACTTCAGTGACCCACAGAAATCCTCAGTAAGGCCTAATTTATGTTTTTTTATATGTCTTCCATTTAAAAAAGTATTTTCTTATCAATGTTTTTCTCCTTTTCTGAATTTTAACTAATAGACTTCTTTTTATATCAGTTTTAGGTTTGTAGAAAAATGAGTTGAAAGTAAAGAGATTTCCTATATTACCCTCTCATCTCAGTTTTCCCTGTTCCTGAGACATTGTATTAGTTGTACATTTGTTTCAGTTGATAAGCCAATATTAATATATTATCACTAAAATCCATAGTTTACATTAGATTTTACTTATTGTGGCTTTTGACAGATGCATAAGGGCACATATCTACCATTACAGTATCATACAGAATAATTTCATTGCCCTAATAATCTCTATGCTCTGCCTATTCATCCTTCCCTTCCCTTAAACTCCTGGCAACCCCTGATCTTTTTCCTGTCTCCATAGTTTTGCCTTTTCCAAAATACCATGTTAAACATCTGAGAAACATGAACTGGAAAACAAATTAAGTGAAAACAGTTATCTGTCTCTAAGCCAAAGATGACAGATGGATCCTGGAGGAAGTGAAGTGCAATGATTCTTATCCTTCCAATCTAGGTTTGCCCTACAACCAAATGAATATTTTTTTTTGCAAGTTATACCAAATAGTAAGCAATCTCCTCTCTCTGTCTCTCTCTCTCTCTCTCTCTCTCTCTCTCTCTCTCTCTCTCACACACACACACACACACATTAAATATTTTCTAGTATTTATATAGCATTTATACTTATAGATGTTATCTTAAACTTATTTTTGTTTTGTATGTGGTGTTAGTGTCAAATAATAATTGAACGTGACTTTCTTCTCTCCATTTTTCCTAAGTGGTTGAAATGATGGCTCACTGAACAATTACATTCTGATAAAATATTTATGGTTTTCTCTATTTTTCCTGCAGAGAGGAAAATATATTCCTGTGTGAGTATAATAATTTTATTCAGATGTATGTATTTAATACTTTTTCAAAATTTAGGAAGATTGGCAATTTCGAGTGCTGGTGGGGGTCTTTCTTCAAACGTCCATTGGGAAGAAAGTTCTACTTTTTTAAGGCATTTGGGTCAGTTCCTTCCCTCTAGACTTAGGGAATTAGTGACTAAAGATGGTTATTGTGGAAAAAGAAGATAAGAAAGGATGAGTCACTTGGTAGGCTTTTGACTCAGCATTTTTAGTTCATAGGTGATGTCCTAAGGCCTGAAAGCTTACTAT
Source organism: Homo sapiens (assembly GCF_000001405.40). Lineage (NCBI taxonomy): Eukaryota > Metazoa > Chordata > Mammalia > Primates > Hominidae > Homo > Homo sapiens. The sequence continues at coordinate 116,465,886 of NC_000007.14, read as the reverse complement.
AAATGAATAACTCAACTGACACATCTTTGGCTAATTTGAAATCTCTGGGCTTTTTAAGGTTACAATATCACCTTAGAAAATATTAGCATATGGTTGTAGCTAGTAGTTATTCCATGAAAATTATATTTTTCTGTTTTATACCTAAAAATGTTCCACATGTAAGAAATTGTTATATTTTTGCTTGGCATATCTTCTTTGTTGTTAAACTTTAAAAATATAATAAAAATTCATGAGCTATTTTTTCATTAAGGCAATCTTATATTTTAATCATGCATTTCATAGGAAACTTTTACAACTATTTTTAGAGCATTAATTATGCATTATGAAACTATCCTAAAATAAGGGTAAAACAATAGAGATGTTACTTACAATTCCTTTTATCCACAAAAAGAATAAGTTTTGGTAATTTGAGAACTTTGAAATGAAATCTTCATTTTCGGATAATGCTTAAGGCAGTATTAAGCAGAGGGCCAACTGCTTGAATTCAAAATTGAAGGGGAGTGAGAATTAAATTGTTCTGCATGAGAAATGCTGAGAGATACAGAAAGGAGTGAAAAAAAAGAGACCAGCAGAGAGATGGAGTGGTTGCTGGGAGAAATGAGTGGAGAGAGAGGGAAGATAGGTGATTGGGGGAGGAGAAGGGGGTTTGAGACTGTGAGAGGAACTAGCTGCTGAGAGTCCGAAGAGCCTGGGAAGAGGTAAGTCTAATGAGTAACATTTGAGTGAAGTGCTGGGCAATTCTGTGTCTCTTTATAAAATATTCCCTAAATGTACATTGGAATATAAAGTTTTTAAACATGTCAGGTTGGTTTGTGAAGCAGTGAAGAAGAGGACATGAAGAAAAGCTGTGTTATATAAGTAAAAATAATGCATAAATCTAGAAGTCTCCACAGTGTTCCCAGTTTTAATGAGGATGAAGAGCTATTTAAAATACTTAAAATATCTATAATGACATGAGGTGTTGTCATACATGCCATACTCTCTGATTCCTTGATTTGTTTAGCAAATGATTTAGAAAGACTAGCACATGATAACATAACTTTGGGGTTCAATATGAGTGAGTATGGAACATGACAAGTAATTATGAATCATTAATATGGAAATTTCTTCAACATCATTTAAGGGGCAGCATATTTTATAGCTCCTACTCTAGCAGGAATTATGCTTATTAAATGAGAAAATGAGATTGAATTTACAGAAGTGTCCATAGAACATGAACATGACTCAGAACTATTCTGTTGTATGAATATGCCATCATTTGTTTATCCATTCAAATATTGATATAACTTACTGAATAACGTGGGTTATTTCCAGTTTTGGGTTATGATGAATATAATTCCTATGAATCCTTACGTACAAATCCTTTTGCAGATACATGTTTTCATTTTTCTTGCGTAAAACAGGGGAAAGAATTGTTAGGTTATATGATGAATAGATGTTTAACTTCACATGAAAATGAAGAAAAGGCCAGGCATGGTGGCTCACGCCTGTAATCCCAGAACTTTGGGAGGCCAAGGCAAGAGGATCACTTCAGCTCAGGAGTTTTAGACCAGCCTGAGCAACATAGAGAGACCTCGTCTCTACAAAAAAAAAAAAAAAAAAAAAAGTAGCTGGGTATGGTGGCATGCACCTGTAGTCCCTGCTACTCAGGGAGGCTGAGGCGGGAGGATTGTTTGAGCTGGGTAGGTCAAGTTTGTGGTGAGATATGACATGTCATTGGACTCCAGCCTGGGCAACAGAGCAAGATCCTGTCTCAAACAAACAAACACACAAACAAAAAAAAACCAAAGAAAATACAAAACTGTTTTCCAGGTATTTGTACCATTTTACACTTTCAGCAACAGTGCACGAAAGTTTCAGTTGCTCCACATTCTTACCAGCATTTGGCATTGTAAGTATTTTTCATTTTGGCCATTCTCGTGGATGTGTAGTGGTATTTCACTGTGGTTTTAATTTGCATTTTTGATATGGTTTGGCTCTGTGTCCCCACACAAATCTCATCTCTAATTGTAATCACCACTTATTGAGAGAGGGACTTGGTGGGAGGTGACTGGATCAGGGAATGGTTTCCCCCATGCTGTTCTCATGATAGTGAGTAAATTCTCATGAGAGCTGATGGTTGAAAAAAGTGGCACTTCCTCCTTCAAGCATGCTCTCTCTCTTCCCACCTTGTGAGGAAGGTGCCTGCTTCTCCTTCACCTTCCGCCATGATTACAAGTTTCCCTAGGCCTCCCCAGCCATGTGGAACTGTGAGTCAATTAAAACTCTTTCCTTTATAAATCACCCAGTCTCAGCTAATATCTTTATAGCAGTGTGAGAATGGACTAATGTAATTTTCCTTATGATTAATGATGAACATCTTTTTATGTCCTTATTGGTGATTCATAAACTTTTTTTGTGTGTGAAATATCTGCTTAGTACTTGTCCTCTTTTTTTTTTAAAGTGGGTTGTTCATCTTCTAATCAAAACTTTAAAGTTCTAAATAAAATCTTGACACATGTATCTTGTCTGATATATATATGTATTGTGACTATTTTCTTCTAGTCTGTGGCTTGCCATTTCGTTTTCTTAATAATGTCTTCCAGAGAGCTTATGTTTCAAATTTTGTCCAACTTACCAATTTTCATTGATGGTGTATGCCTTTTGCATTTTTGCTAAAACGTCTTTGTCTACCCCAAAGTCCTGAATATTTTCTTATATATTTTCTTCTAAAAGTTTTTTTTTTTTTTTAGTTTTGGCTTTTACGTTTAAGTTTACAGTCTATTTCAAGGTAATTATTATTCATGGTGTAAGGTTCATGTTTTTCCATGGGCATATGCAGTTAATTTAGCACCATTTGTTAAAAAGAATTTTCTTTCCCATTGAGCTACCTTGCTGACTTTATTAAAAATAATTGCACATCTATGCGTGAGTCTCTTTCTGGGCACTCTTTTCTGTTCCATTAATTTATACATATATTCTTACTTCACTATCTCAAGTAATGTAGCTTTAACTCCTGAAATCTGGTTACATAAGTACTTCAACTTTGTTCTTTTTCAAAATTGTTTCAACTATTTACATTCTTTGTACACGCATGTACAAATATATGTATGTTTTTCACAAATATATAGTAATCTAAGATGTGTGTGTGTGTGTGTGTGTGTGTGTGAGAAAGAGAGAGAGAGAATCACCTTGTCAGTTTCTAAAAAAAAAGATCTATGGAATTCTTAACTGCAATTGTGTTGAATCTGTAGATCAATTTATGGAGAATGGGCATCTTAATAACATGGAGTCTTCCAACCAAGACACATGGTACATCTCCCCGTTTATTTTGACCTTTAATTTTTTTCAGCAGTGTTTTGCAGTTTGAAAGATCCAGCACATATTTTGTTAAATTTGTTTCTAAATGTTTTATGGTTTTGATGCTATTATACATGATAATTTAAAAATTTTAATTTTCCAATTATTTGCTTTGAATATGTAGAAATACAATTTATTTTTGTTAATTGACCTTGAATTAAAAGAACCTGATAAATTTACTCTTTACCTCTAGAGTTGTGTTGATTCCTTAGGATATTCTACATACACAAGCACAACATTGGCAAATAGCAACAGTTCTACTCCCTTCTCTACAATCTGTCTATATTTTATTTGTTTTTCTTGCCTTATGGTACTTTCAGTACTATGCTAATAGGAGTAATGTGAGTGAATGCATTTGTCTTATTCTTGATCCCAAGGGGAAGTGTTCAGTATTTCACTATTAACTACAATGTTAGCTGTGGGTTTTCATTAGAGGTACCTTATTAAATTGAGAACATTCCCTTCTATTCCTAGTTTTCTGAGAGTTTGGGCCCAGTGTTTAATTTTTTTAAGTGATTTTTCTTCACCTATTGAAATAATAATATGATTTTCTTCTTTATTCTGTTACTGTGGTTAATTATATCAATTGATTTTAAAATTTTGAGTCAGTCTTGCATCCCTGAGATAAATTCCACTTGGTCATAATGTAATATCTTTATTACATTTTGCTGGATTTGACTGGCTAATATTTGTTGAAAATTCTTGCTTCTCTATTCATGAGAGGTGTCATTCTGTTAATTTTGAGATTTCACAGTTTATTTCCTGCAGAATCTTCTGTCTTATTCTGCATAATCCATATGCTAATCTAGACCAGAATTTTTACTTTCTGTTTTAACTTGTAATTTCTGTGCATCCTATGCTTCCCCCCTAGTGTTTAATGCTGGATGTTGCTTTTTTCAAAAAGTTGATTTTATCTTTTCTTATTACCAGTTGCAGAAAGTTCACAATCTCTATTAATGTATTTGCTCAAAGTTTACATTGAGAATTAAGATTTTCATTCTAAGAACTTCAACCTCTTCCTTATATGTTTGAGCCAGAATTTCTTAAGATGTATTATACATAATAACTTTCATATCTGATACGAGATATTTTCACTTGGTTTGTTACATAATTACTTAAATGTTTCCCTCCTTTTCCTCAGATCTGATTATCTTTTTTTCCCAGTATTTTCTGTTATTGGAAACTCCATACATTTTATTACCCAAATCAGAAAAATGTGGTTCTCTCTGTCACTCTCTATTTTGGATCTGTAACTAAATCTTGCCAATTCTATACCTTAAAAATCTCTCAAATCCATCTCCTTTCTTCTCTCTGTCATTGGATTCATATGCACAACATTTTTCTTCTGGATTTCTGAAATCATATTCTGACTGATTGCATTTCTACTTTTCTTTTCTTTTCTTTTCTTTTTTGTGAGCAACATGGCTGTTTATTTCACCTGGGTGCAGGTGGGCTGAGTCCGAAAAGAGAGTCAGGGAAGGGAGATAGGGGTGGGGCCGTTTTATAGGATTTGGGAAGGCAATAGAAAATTACAGTCAAAGGGGGTTGTTCTCTGGTGGGCAGGGGTGGGGGGGTCACAAGGTGCTCAGTGGGGGAGCTTCTGAGCCAGGAGAAGGAAATTCACAGGGTTAATCACTCAGTTAAGGTGGGGCAGGAACAAATCACAATGGTGGAATGTCATCAGTTAAGGCGGGGCAGGGCCTTTTTACTTCTTTTGTGATTCTTCAGTTACTTCAGGCCATCTGGGCATATACGTGCAAGTCACAGGGGATGCGATGGCTTAGCTTGGGCTCAGAGGCCTGACATTCCTGCCTTCTTATATTAATAAGAAAAATAAAACAAAATAGTGTTGAAGTCTTGGGGTGGCGAAAATTTTTGGGGGGTGGTATGGAGAGAGAATGGGCGATGTTTCTCAGGGCTGCTTCAAGCGGGATTAGGGGCAGCGTGGGAACCTAAAGTGGGAGAGATTAAGCTGAAGGAAGATTTTGTGGTAAGGGGTGATATTGTGGGGTTGTTAGAAGAAACATTTGTCGTGTAGAATTATTGGTGATGGCCTGGATACAGTTTTGTATGAATTGAAAAACTAAATGGAAAAGATCTAAGAATTGGGAGGACCTAGGACATCTGATTAGAGTGCCTAAGGAGATTCAGCATAGTCCTGCCAGCAAAGATTATTTATTTACTTCAGGAGTTAAGAGTGGCAGTTTGGGGATAGCACGAGGAGATATCAGCTGTAATGGCTTGGAGAAACAGTGTAAACTGGCAGTGTAAACAAGAGCAGGGCATGCATGAGTAGTTGAGAACGGAGAATAGGAGTATGACCAGACAGAAAATAGTAGGGATGACAAGTTTTTTGGGGCACAGTCTAAGTTGGTCTGGTGTCTGGAATGAGACTGGGGCCTAATAAAAAGGAGCGTATACACAGGAGCTTAAATGGGCTGTACCTTGTAGGATTCTGAGGACAGGTCTGACTTCTGAGAAGGGAAAGTGGTAAAAGTATTGTCCAGTCCTTTTTAAGTTGGTGGCTGAGCTTGGTGAGGTGTGTTTTTAATAGACCATTAGTCTGTCACTGAATACCAAGAGCCTGAAAAAATGCTTGGCTGATTTGACTAATAAAGGCTGGTCTGTTATCAGACTCTATAGAGGTGGGAAGGCTAAACTGAGGAATTATGTCTGACAGAGGGGAAGAAATGACTGTGGTGGCCTTCTCAGACCCTGTAGGAAAGGCCTCTACTTATCTAGTGAAAGTGTCTACTTAGACTAAGAGGTATTTTAGTTTTTGTGACTCAGGGCATGTTGAGTAAAGCTAATTTGCCAGTCCTGGGCTGAGGCAAATCCTCGAGCTTGATGTGTAGGGAAGGGAGGGGGCCTGAATAATCCTTGAGGAGTAGTAGAATAGCAGATAGAACAGCAGATGGAACACTGAAAAGTTATTTCCTTGAGGATAGATTTCTACGATGGAAAGAAAATGAGAGGTTTTAAGAGGTGGGCTAGTGGCTTGTACTATAGTATAGCCTGCCTTCGCTGGTGTGTGGCGATTAGGCCTGGTGGAACTGCCATCAATAAATCAAGGGTGATCAGGGTGAGGAACAGGAAAGAAGGAAATATGGGGAAATGGGGTGAATGTCAGGTGGATCAGAGAGATACAGTCATGGAGGTCAGATGTGGTATCAGGAATAATGCGGGAGGCCAGATTGAAGTCCGGGCCAGGAACAATGGTAATTTTGGGACTTAACAAAGAGTGAGTACAGCTGAAGGAGCCGGGGAGCAGAAAGTATATGCATCAGGTATGAGGAAGAAAATAGATTTTGGAAGTTATGAGAAATGTAGAGAGTGAGTTGAGCATAGTTTTGTGATTTTTAGGGCCTCTAAAAATACTAAAGCAGCTGCAGCCACTGCACGCAGACATGAGGGCTAGGCTAAAACAGTAAGGTCAAGTTGTTTGGACAGAAAGGCTACAGGGTGCGGTCCTGGCTCTTGTGTAAGAATTCTGACCGCACTAACCATGCCTAGGAAGGAAAGGAGTTGTTGTTCTGTAAGGGATTGAGGTTTGGGAGATTAATCGGACATGATCAGCAGGGAGAGCACGTGTGTTTTTATGAGAATTATGCTGAGATAGGTAACAGATGAGGATGAAATTTTGGCTTGACTGAAGTAATGGGGGCTGTCTGTGAAGCCTTGCAGCAGTACAGCCGAGGTAATTTGCTGAGCCTAATGGGTGTCAGGGTCAGTCTAAGTGAAAGCAAAGAGAGGCTGGGATGAAGGGTGCAAAGGAATAGTAAAAAAAAAGCATATTTGAGATCCAGAACAGAATAATGGGTAGTAGAGGGAGGTATTGAGGATGGGAGAGTATATGGGTTTGGCACCATGGGGTGGATAGGCAAAACAATTTGGTTGATAAGGCGCAGATTCTGAACTAACTTGTAAGCCTTGTCTGGTTTTAGGACAGGTGAAATGGGGGAATGGTAAGGAGAGTTTATAGGCTTTAAAAGGCCATGCTATAGCAGGCGAGTGATAACAGGCTTTAATCCTTTTAAAGCCTGCTGTGGGATGGGATCTTGACATTGAGCAGGGTAAGGGTGATTAGGTTTTAATGAGATGGTAAGGGGTGCATGATCGGTCGCCAAGGAGGGAGTAGAGGTATCTTATACTTGTGTGTTAAGGTGGGGGGATACAAGAGGAGGACGCAAAGGAGGCTTTGGATTGGGGAGAAGGGCAGCAATGAGATATAGCTATAGTCCAGGAATAGTCAGGGAAGCAGATAATTTAGTTAAAGTGTCTCAGCCTAATAAGGGAACTGGGCAGGTGGGGATAACTAAAAAGGAGTGCTTAAAAGAGTATTGTCTAAGTTGGCACCAGAGTTGGGGAGTTTTAAGAGGTTTAGAAGCCTGGCCGTCAATACCCACAACAGTTATGGAGGCAAGGGAAACAGGCCATTGAAAAGAAGGTAATATGGAGTGGGTAGCCTCCGTATTGATTTAGAAGGGGTATTGATTTAGAAGGGGACGGGCTTACTTTCCACTGTGAGAGTTACCTAAAGCTCGGCGTCCGTGATGGGTTAGGGGGCTTCCGAGGCGATTGGGCAGTGTCAGTCTTCAGCCACTAAGCCAAGAAGATCTGGGAAGGAGTCAGTCAGAGAGCCTTGGGCCAGAGTTCCAGGGGCTCTGGGAGTGGCTGCCAGGTGAGTTGAACAGTTCGATTTTCAGTGGGGTCTCACACAGATGGGACGCGGCTTAGGAGGAATCCTGGGCTGCGGGCATTCCTTGGCCCAGTGGCCAGATTTCCGGCACGTGTAGCAAGCTCCTGGGGGAGGAGGTTCTGGAGGAACGCCTGGCTGCTGCAGTTCAGGTGTTTGGAAGTTCTTGTGTGCTGGAGATGTGGCTGGGGTTTGTCTCACAGTGGAGGCAAGGAATTGCAACTTTTTTCTATTATTGTACACCTTGAAGTTGAGGTTAATTAAGCCCTGTTGTGGGGTTTGAGGGCCAGATTCTAATTTTTGGAGTTTTATTTAATATCTGGAGCAGATTGGGTAATAAAATGTATATTGAGAATAAGATGGCCTTTTGACCTTTTAGGGTCTAGGGCTGTAAAGCGTCTCAGGGTTGCTGCCAAATGAGCCATGAACTGGGCTGGATTTTTATATTTGATGAAAAACAGCCTAAATGCTATCTGATTTGGGATAAAGAAAAAGGAGCATTAACCTTGACTATGCATTTAGCTCCAGCCACCTTTTTAAGAATAAATTGCTGGGCAGGTGGGGGAGGGCTAGTCACGGAAGGAAACTGTAAGCCGGACCAGGTGTGAGGAGGGGAGGCGATAAAAAGATTATAGGGTGGAGGAGCAGAGGCTGAGGAAGCATTGGGACCTAGCTCGGCCTGGCGAGGAGGGGAGAGGTCAGATGGGTCTGTAGAAAAGGAAGATTAGAAAGACTCAGCGACGCTTGGGGTTGGGACTGAGGGGACAGGCGGGAGGGAAAGAAGGAAGATTTGGGACGAGTTGCACTGGGCACAGAGACTAGGAAGGGACTGATGTGTAAAAGAATGCCTGGATGTCAGGCACCTCAGACCATTTGCCCATTTTACGACAAGAATTATTTAGATCTTGTAGGATGGAAAAATTGAAAGTGCTGTCGAGTTTGTATTGGGGTCAAGCGGCATTGCAGAAGAAAATAAGGCATTTACGTTTTAGGTCAGGTGTGAGTTGAAGAGGTTTTAAGTTCTTGAGAACACAGGCTAAGGGAGAAGAAGGAGGAATGGAGGGTGGAAGGTTGCCCATAGTGAAGGAGGCAAACCCACAGAAAAGAGAGTGTAGAGACACGGAGGGAAGGGTTTTGGGGGTTCTTACCCTCCAGAAAAGCAGGAAGGGGGGTTGGGGCACGGAAATAAGGGATTGGGGCACAGAGATAAGAGGTTGGGGTGTGGAAATAAGGGATTGGGTGTTCTTGCCCCCTAGAAAAGTGGGACTTGCCGCTAAGGGTGAAGGAGAAGGGGTTGAGGGGTACTTGCCCCTCCCCCAGAAAAGCGGGACTTGCCGCTAAGGGTGGAGGACCAAGGCAGGCATCCCTGCGTGGTCTGACACCTTTGAAACGTGGGTGAATAATCAGAGAGGCGCCCTGCATTGATTAAACACCAAGGGAAGGCTGCCTTCCCAGTCCGTGACCGGCGCCGGAGTTTTGGGTCCACAGATAAAACCTGTCTCCTTTGTCTCTACCGGAAAATGAAAGGAATTGAAATTAAGAGAAGGGAGAAATTGAAGTGTGGCACCAAGATTGAAAGGAGAAAGAGGTTGAGGGATAGTGAGGGAAGTTGGAGAAGAGAGTAAAAAGAGGCTGCTTACCAGATTTGAAATTGGTGAGATGTTTCTTGGGCAGGTCGGTCTGAGGACCTGAGGTCATAGGTGGATCTTTCTCACGGAGCAAAGAGCAGGAGGACAGGGGATTGATCTCCTAAGGGAGGTCCCCTGATCCACTAAATTTCATGCGCGTCCGTGTGAAGAGACCACCAAACAGGCTTTGTGTGAGCAACATGGCTGTTTGTTTCACCTGGGTGCAGGTGGGCTGAGTCCGAAAAGAGAGTCAGCCACATTTCTACTTTTCAACCTGCCCTTCACTTTGCCTCTAGATTGACTTTTCTGAAAAGCAAATTTACTTTTCTGCTTAAGATTTAGTGTCCCTTTTTGCCTTTAGAAAAAAACATGAACTCTTTAGTACAATTCCCAAATTATTAAAGACCTGTTTCCTATTAAAAAATATCCAAAATGGATTTGAGTTGAAAACAAATTCCACATAAGTTAGCAAAGTGAAAAACTGTAACAGCTTCTGTGCAATAACCTGAGTCAACATTTCCCCGACTGTGGCATGACTGAGACTTTCACACTTCTGCACAACTAAGAGAACCATCTTATTCCCACTTTTGCATGGGCCAGTAATTACATACTTGATTAAAAAAAAAAAACTTTGTTAAAATATTCACATTTCTTTGGCTCTACATCTGTTTTCATTTGTGTGAGGCAAAAAGTCCCATGATTGTAATGGAAAACTTGTTATTAATCATATTCATATAGAAAATTAGGCTGCATCTGATGAAATGCCAATGATTGGAATTAAACAATTGTTTTAGCTCAAATGTGTCTTCATTACTAGTGCCTTACCCTGGTTCTCAAGTCAGAAATGATCCACTCTTCTTTTGTGCTCTGAAAGCCCCTTGAACCTCACATTGCTTTACTTTGCAGCTAATTGTTTCTATATCTGTTTTCACAAAAGTTTGAGTTTTTGAGGCAAGGATGTTTTGCTATTTGCTCATAATGTGTCATGCAAAGTCTGGCTCAAAGACAGAACTTCATAAATGTGACTCAAATTCATGCTAAGACTAAAATTGTAAGTATAGACACGGAGCTGTTATGAACATGAACATTACAGAATGCCAGCTTTGGAACCTCTGGAAGACAATTATGTGACTCCTCGTTCTCCAAATTCAGAGTCTCATGGATCAAATTCATGTCATTATTAGAAATGCAAAAGCAAGAATATAAAAATTAGCTTCCTGGATGAGTGTTTCTTAGACTTTGGTACTTGTTTATATTTAAGTCATTTTTACTGCAGTTTCAGAGGGTGATGCTCATGTCTTGCCAGCAAAGCCAATATTCTTTTGGTGTTTTTATTATCTTAGACCCCAAGTATTTGATTTTGTTATGTTATCTTTTTTTTTAATGTTTGCTATCGTTGGCTTAATTTAACAAAAGAAAATTTTTTTATTTTTCATTTTGTCTTGCAATAACTGTAAAGTAGATTAAATCAAGTTTTTTCATATGGGTAGAGAAAAATTTTAATGAGCAATTTGAAATACATTTTTGCATATGGCCAACATATTTAAAATCTTCATTTGCTTTTTACTTTAATCTTGGATATAAAAAAAAGGCATCATAAAAGCAGAATCTTAACAGATGCATGATCCTCACATACGGTTTATGAGCACAGATCGCAAATGAGTAATACTAATTTGTTTATTATTTCCATCCCTGTGGAAACTTTGATGAATAGAAAGTTAAATCATGAAACAATTGTCACTTTCTCAAAAATAAGCAATTTATATTATAGTGCAAAAAATAAATATGCAAATGTATTTGAGGCATAACACTATTCAGATTTGTCTGAAACTTTTCTACCTACATCAATATCTTCTTTCATAAATTTAATTGTTAAAGACAGTAAAATAGAACTTCTAGAACATGTTATTCAGGCATATTAATCTAGAGTAAAAACATGCAGATCAGGTAGGCTCTTATTTAGTATCAAGATGAAACAATAAGATTTAAACAAACTATGATATTTTGGAAATTCTTCTTTTATTTATTTTTTGAACACTTATTAACTGCACAATCTTGGGCAAGTCTCCCCATTGTCTCTCTGAGTCTGTATTTTTACCTGTCACATAAAAACATGTCAGCCTTGCCCACCTTAATAAATCCAGGAAATATTTATTTAGCTCTTTTATGGGACATACACTGTTCCAGGCAGTTATGTTTCATAACAGAAGGGATACAGATGTGTAAGGAGACACTAATAAACATAAATAAATGAACATCACAATAAATAAGTGATGTGGGGAAAAACAGTAGGGTAAAGGCAGAAAGCTTCTGGTGGGAAGAGTAGGCTTATTGCAGCTTAAAATAAAATTGTCGCCGGGCACGGTGGCTCACACCTGTAATCCCAGCACTTTGGGAGGCTGAGGCGGGCGGATCACGAGGTCAGGAGATTGAGACCATCCTGGCTAACACGGTAAAACCCCGTCTCTACTAAAAATACAAAAAGAAATTAGCAGGGGGCGGTGGCGGTCGCCTGTAGTCGCAGCTCCTGGGGAGGCTGAGGCAGGAGAATGGCCTGAACCCGGGAGGCGGAGCGTGCAGTGGGCCGAGATCGCGCCACTGCACTCCAGCCTGGGCAACAGAGTGAGACTCCGTCTGAAAAAAAAAAGAAAAGAAAAGAAAAAAAATTGTCAGGGTAGGCTCCATTGAGTAGGTGGCATTTGAGAAAAAATTCAAGAGATGTAAAGGATCAGCCACCAGCAAAGAGCACTCCAGGCTGGGGGAGTCACCAGGGCAAAGGCCCTAGGGATTATCTGGTGTCAGCAGAGTCGTGAGGAGGCCAGCGTGGCTAGAATGGAGTCAAGGGGAAAGCCATGGAAATCAGAGAGGTAATGAGGACTCAGGTACAGCCTAATCATGTAAAGTCTTGTAAGCCACGATAAGAAATTTGCTTTTATTCCAGGGGGAGATGGGAAGACTTGGAAAGGTCTGAGGAGGAAGGAGATGATTTTAATTGAGTTTTAAAAGGATGACTTTGACTACTGTCTTGAGAGTTTACTATAGAGGGCAAGATGGAAGGAAGGAGACCAGTTAGGAGGCTACTAGAGTGATCTGAGAGAGATGATGTTGGCAAACAGACTCGGGTTGCTAGGGTTGGGAGTCAGGCGAAGTTCTTGAATTGTAGATATATTTGCAAGGCAAAGCCAACAACATCCCCTGATAGACTGGAGGGATGTGAGAAGAATTGAAGAGTCAGAGGGGCTCAAATATTTTGACCTGAGCAACTAGAATGGTGGAGCTGACATCAACTCCTACAGGGAAACTGCAGGTGGAGTAAGTTTTGAGGCGGAACATCAGAAACTCAGTGTTGGTCATGTTAAGATTGAGATATCTTTTAGGAAAACCTAAATTATGTTATAGTTAAAAGTCCCAAGCTGTGAATGGCTTAACATAGCACAGGATTTCTTCTCACTGAGGATACATATCAAACATGAGTGTTGGGAGCTCTGCTTCATACATATACTCAGGCATCAGAGCTGATGGAAACATCACCATATTGTAACTGTGTCTGAAACACATGGCTTGCAGGTTACACAGCAGGGAGATAAAAGAACTGGAGAGTCACACATTGGTTTCTAATATATCAGTCCAGAAGTGACACCAATCACTTTCTCTCATAGCCCGTTGACTAAGGCCAAAGCTATTCATATGGTGCCACCTAACTGCAAGGAGGAAGGAAATACAGACTCTGATATAGGAGCAGGCCAGGTGATAGGCCTGTCTGTATCATATAAGTTTGAGAGTGGTTGACCATGTGGATAGTATTTAAGTCAAAGAGATTGTAAAATCACCAGGGATTGAAAAGAATTAAAGAAGCGGAAGAACAGTTGAGCCATGGGGTACTCCAATGTTGGGAGGTCTGGGAGAGGAAGAAAAAACAGTAAAGGAGACTGGCAAGGGCCATCTGGTGAGGTAGGAAGAAAGTCAGGAGACCAAGGTGCCTGGAATTCAAGTGAAGAAAGGGCATCAAGGAGGAGAGATTGAAGGACTATGACAGATATTGCTGATATTTCCAGTAAGGTGAGAACTGAGAATTGACCATTGCATCAGCCAGGGGGAGCTCATTGGTGTTCTCCACATTTTTGGAAGCCTGACATGGATTTAGGGGAGAATGTAAAGAGAGGAATTTGAAACAATTGGAGTAGGTTTAGGCAACTCTTTCTGAGAACATTTGATATAAATGATGAGGAAAAACAAGAATGGTTGCTAAAAAAGAAGCAGGACCAAGAACAAGGTTTTAAAGTTTTTTTTAAATGGGAGAAATAGTAGTACATGTGTATCTTAATGGATAGAGAGAGAAAAATGGATGCTGCAGGAGAGGGGGTGAAACTTGCTGATATAATGTTCTTTAAATTTTTTTAAAGTTAAAAGTTTTCATTTTTGTGGGTACATTGTAGGTGTATGTATTTCTGGGGTACATGAGACGTTTTGATACAGGCAAGCAATAATAATCACATCATGAAGAATGGGGTATCTATCCTTGAAATGATATTCTTGACCAAGAGGAAGTAGATGTGTCTACAGCACAAGTGGAAGAATTGATTGGCTTTAGCTGGGAGCATGGAGAGCGCATCTGTAGTGACAAGCAGGAAGGCAGAATTAAAGACGAGATATGGGAATGGGAGTCTGTAAATCTGGTGAAGCTTGTGTGCCATGTCTATGGGAGCTGTGCCTCTGATTTGGCATGAACACCGAATGAAATAAATTCTAAATTAATGGACAGATATGTGTTATTATTAATTTGCGATTAGCTTTTAATAGCTTAGTATTAGCAAAAACTGAGGCTGGCAATAAAAAGCCCATAAGAAACTGGCAGGCCAGGCATATCTGGAAGAAGATACAGCCTATCTACTGGCTCTCGGCCACAGAAGAGTGTGCAGGCTTTCTGGACCAATCACACCTGCAGAGATGATACTCACCAGAGGAACATGAGTAGAGTGAGGGAGGGTTATCCTGAATTATTCTCATAGAAAGATGGATTTGGAATTGAAGTGGTATAGTCCTACACACCTCCAGTGCTAGGCTGCCTATGTTTGCCCATAAATTCACCTAGAGCCAATAGTTACAAGAATTTGTTAACTCAGTCACTTGGGTCTCATTTAGGTGTGTCACTTGTAGGCAAGCTGCAGCCTTCTTACTGGCCAGTGCTTTGGGAATCTGAGAGCTACATTTAGGAGAACTGCATCTTCCAAATTATATCATTTACATTTTTACCTAATAAACAGAATGTTATGTAATAATAATTATATAACATTATAGGTTCAGTATATCAATTTTAATATTATTACTTTCTGTAATAATATTTGTAATATTATTTGGTATATTAATAATGTAATATTATTACATTCTGTTCTGTAATAATAATTAATGCCTTCCTAATATGGCGTGAATTTAACTCTCTGAGGCCCGAGTGCTACCCAGGATTTGACAGGCTAGTGACATTTCTGTTGTTTTAGGGATTGATTATTATTTCCTTTTGGAACAAAGTTGAACTATGCAGAGATATGTTTTGTCCTGTGTGTGTGTGTGTGTGTGTGTGTGTGTGTGTGTGTGCATATTTCTGACTAATTCTAATTGGCAATAATTGACCAATTAACTCTATGAATCACTGGAACTTTTCTACCTTTTTGGATCTATGAAACCGTTTTATCTTAAATTAGTAGATGCTATATCGTGAAGATGCCGTGTTCTGGAAAATCAAGCTATTTTGCTTCTATAGTTCTTAAACATGTCCAAGGGATATTACCAATCACAGAAGCACAGAACTATCCAGAGCATTTCTGTGCTGTAGAGATTTGCACTCAGAGGAGTGAAGGAAAAGATTTTAGAGGCCATGTGGTTGCCCATTGCCATCATTTGTGTTGCCCAAAGAAGGGAAAGGACTGTGAAATAGAATTGCCAGTGGAAACTCTCTCTGGTCTTGTCAGCAAGCTTTTTACGAAAAACACAGTCCATTCTTCCACTCCAGACCTTTTAACAGGATAACAATTGACCAACTGCCAGGATTTATTGGCCGGAATAGAAACAGACATCACCATGTCATAACACAGTCCTAAATAGGAACTTCTACATTCTTTCTATGCAGGTTCTGCATTTTTCAGGCATTTGCCTTACTTCCCCACCATGCGTATCAAACGTAAATTGATATGCTGAACCTACAGAGATGTTTGAAGGCTTTTATTTTTTCTTATATGCATTTAGAATTTTGCAAACATAATACATGCCCATTTAAAAAAATAAAATATGGAAAAATTTGTAATAACATTAGCTCCTTGCCCCATCTTCTCCTACATGTAATTCTGTTTCCCAGAGACAACAGTTTTTTTTTTCCCTAAGTGTTTCTGTCTCAAACTTCTTTCATACCTCAACTTCATAAATCTACATGCTATGTATACTATGCCACTATTTCTTAATTTTGCACTTTGGTGTAATTTATTGACTTTCTGATGTAATCGATGGAGATTTAGCAGTGTTATGTCCTCCACACCATTGCTACCCCCACCGTCACCCTCCAGCTTTGTTATAGCACTGTTCTAGCAGTACTTTATGACTTCTTGGCTATTTGTGTATCTACTGATAATAGACAGTATCTCTAGGCTTCTCAGTCCATAAAAGGACAATAGTGATTTAAACTAATTTAAACTCTTGTTTTAAACTTTCTTCCTTGTTTCCATTTCCTAATTTACATCACTTATACTTTCACGTATACACGTCAAGTTTAAAAGCATTTGCATTCTGTTCTACACCCATAATTAACACCTTTCTGATGTATACGTAGGTTGACTTTCAAGAGTTGAAAACGAACACATTCTGGGCTGTGACTTTTTTTCTGGATAACTTCACTAGTTATCCCACCTCATTCTACTTTTTGCCTCCTGTAACTTCATTTAAAACTCTTATTTGCTGATAGTCCATCTCCAGTTCTTTCTTTTTTGTGATTCTATGTTTTCTCTATATCTTTACTTTTGAAAAGATCTAGAGAAGAAAAGAGGATAAACAAATGTGCTCAGTCCACCATCTTGCACCACTCCTTTTGAATTTGATTTTCTTCCCGGTACATGTGCAACAGAAGAAATGTGTTGTACCAGTAATTATCTAGTTAGGCTTTCATGTTTTCAGTAATGTACTACTGAAACTATGTTATATACATATGCATATACATATACATACACATATACATATACATAATCATTTCATTTCTGCAGTTTAACATTTTATTACTGCTTTAAATTTAGGAAGGAAAGTGGTTCTAATTCAAAACTCTCTGAGATAGCAAATAGAGAAGGCAAACACATGGTTTGGGAAATTTGAAGAAGCATGTAAGAACTGACCATTGATTTTAATTCAGTCTTTTCACTCTGTTAACCTTAAAAATATTGAAAACAAAAGCACTTTCTTTTAAAGCATTGGCATGATATCTTGATTCCTTATTTTGTCTCCTTTTCCAATCACAGTTTACAATACACCTGGCAGGCAATACCCCATTTTGATATCTTCATCTGCACTGCAGGATAAGATAGCAACATGCTTTCCTTTTGCCTCTGCCTTCTGTAAAGTCTGGTTTACAGTTTTAATAACTCCTTGGAACAAGTTACTGTACAACATAAACATATATTCCTGTTTATTCAGAGTGACGGTTTTGTTATTATTGTATTATAAAAACAATTGTGATTCTAAATAAAATATACCCGTAAATTAAAACTCAGGGATCAACTTAACTATAATATATACACAATTTAAGGTCCCCAAAATTTTATTTCACAAAATTCATCTAGCCTGAAATAGTTGCTTATAACTCAGGCAATGTCTGCATGATTCATTTTTTAAGTACATAAAATTTATATCTCCCTGTTTTCTTACTCATCTCTAGCAGGATGATCTTTTTGAATATTCTCATTATCCCTTTGTGAGCTCAGGGAGTGCCCTGATGCCCCAGCCGGCCTCACTGCTTTGTCCTGGACTGAAAATGGCCTTTGGAAAAGATAACTTCAAAAAAAGAGAGATAATGCAGCTTAATGGTGAAAGGGTTTGGCTTGGAGGCCAGGCATTGAGTGCCAGTCCTGGCTTAATACCTTTCTGGCTGGGTGACCTGGAACACTTGACTTATTCTCTCAAAGCTTGTGAAATGGGAATAATAATAATAATAATACTTACCTCATAGAGACATCAAGAGGCTAAAATAAAATAATGCATGGGAAAACAGCAAAATGTTGACATACTAAGTACACATTAATATTGTTTATTTTTATTCTTACTAATTTGACTTGTTAATGATTCAAAAGTATTAATCCTGTGTAAGCACACAGAAATACCTACATATGAACTTGTCCTTAAGTTTTTGAGGATCTAAAATGCATTCTGAGGGAGCTTTTCAGTATGAGGAACTTTTCCTTATTTCACTTTAGAGGTATGATTTGTATTTTAGGAATTGTTTGCACAGTATGCAGACAGAAATACTGAGCCCAACTTTTACTTTTTCTTCAAGTAGGACGTCAAGTTTGTATATAGTTTATTCATATCTAAATCCCTGTTTTTATTAAGTTGCCTTCAGTGTCTTGACATAAAGATTAGTTTCATAAAACTTGAGCTGTCTAGTTAAACCTGTTTAATGTTTACTTTGCATAGCAAGCAAATCCCTATATTTCTAAGAGGGAAGTTTGTGTGCCCCTAACTAGGCAAAGAAGAAAAGATGAGTTAGGGGTAGGGGAAATACTAAAGACTCGATTTTATTATTATTATTATATTAATTATTTAAAAAGAGTTTTAAAATTTTGATAGCTTTTGGGGAACAAGTGATTTTTGGTTACATGGATGAATTGTATAGTGGTGAAATCTGAGATTTTAGTGTACCTGCCACCTGAACAGTGTATGTGGTAATCAATATGTAATTTTCTTCCCTCGCCCTCCTCTTACCCTCCCTCTTCTGAGTCTCCAATGGCCATTATACCACTCTGTCTGCCTTTGCGTACCCATAACTTAAAGACTCGATTTTAGTCCTGACTCTTCTGCCAGCTTTCTTAAGTCAGTTCGTGAACTGACTTAAATCAATTCTTGTACACTTATCCTGTACTATGTTTCAGGAACTGAAGTAGAGAGACAAATAAAATCCCTTTCCTTAGAAAACACACACAGCTTGGTTTGGAAGGCTGGTAAGTACAATCCAGTGTCTGTGACAATACGTAAACAATGTGACAATACACACATCACCAAAAGGGGGTTTGGGACAGGATGCTTATGTCCTGGAGGAAGGGATATCCTACTATATATATAAGACACCTTGGCAGAGGTGGATGCAAGTTTAGTGGGGTCTGAAGCTTATACAAATTTTTTGTGTATGTGGGGAGAGAGGGAGTGGTTTAAAATAAAATGAAAAAAATTAAGTACATGGCTTTGGAAGAGAATGGTGGTGAAGTGCCCTGCTGTCTTAGCTTCCTTAGCTTCAGGGTAAATCCCCCATCATCTCCCAGGGGAAAAAGTAGAAAATGTTCTGGGAGTCAGAGTTTGAGAAAAAAACTGCCATCTAGGAACTTTCCAGTACAGCTAGCAGTACAGAGTGTCAGTGCTGAAGGGAGACGTCATCAGAGGGAGACGTAAGGAGGGACAGGATCTTGAAGGATCTAACATAACTAGGACTTAGACGATCTTTCCTCCAGAATTCTATCTGAATATTACAGGAAACAACTGAGGTATTTTTTCTCTCTTTTAAAGAAATTTAATTGTGGTAAAATACACATAATAGAACAGTTGCCATCTTAACCATTTTTAAATGTACAATTCAGTAGAGTTAAGTATATTCATATTGTTGTGCAACCAATCTCCAGAACTCCTTTCATCTTCCAAGACGAACTCTATACCCATTAAACAACTCCCCATTCACGTTTCCTCCCAGCCTCTGGAGACCACCATTCTGCTTTCTGTTTCTATAAATTGACTCCTTTAGGTACCTCATATAAGTGGAATCATAGAGTATTTTTGTCTATAAAGCCAACCTCTCCAAGCTGCCTGATCTCAA